>NC_000007.14:153700804-154013868 GCF_000001405.40 Homo sapiens | reverse complement strand
CCTAAGGCAAAGGATAGTGGGGTTATTTGAAAGGGACTTGGATGACAGCTGACAATCTGTCCCTTGTACACTCCTAGTGAATTTCCTAAACAAATAGAAACATGAGGAGCAGAGCAAGTTCCATGCCAATCAAGACAGGAAGCTGAGAAGAGAACATAGAAGATAAAGACAAGAAAGTAGGCTCAAAATTATTTCCCTGTGCAATCCTTCTACAGAGAGGCCAGCCTCTAAAGGTTTGTCCACATAAAGTAAGAATGTTACAGTATTTTTCTAAACATTATCATCTGACCCAACAGAAAGATATGAAGTAAACACAAATAGATTTTCCTGTTTTAACTATATTTGGTTGTATGTTGTTTTTTTTTAACTTCTAGAACAAAGACCTGAATTTGTTAAAAAAAAAAAAAAAAGAAAAGAAACCTGAGGTTTCTCTGAGGAATACACACTGGACTAAAAGTTTTGTTAATTTTATTATTTACCTTGGGCTTCTCCCCATAAAAATTTAAACATGGCAACAAAGTGGTTAAATACATCTAACATCGAATGATTAAAATGAAGTAGGAGAGATTTGTGGTTCTTCTCATAATAGAGTCATGAGTAACCAGGCTTCCTCTCTCACTATAAACAATTACACAACTAGGGAAATATATAAAGCAAGTGTTTTTAGGAAGGGGATTACATACGCTACAGGACTATGACCCTGGAGGTGAAGGGGGAAGCATGAGGGGGCTCCTCACTTGCAAGGGCTCTCTGCTTAAGGCTGTTTTCCAGCCTGGGAGAGGCAGAGACTATCAGAGAGCAGTGGCCTTAATGTGGGAGAAACAGAAATCAGCGAGTGAGCCTGTGAAAGAGGCTGGAATATGCAGGGTTGATGACCAGATGTCTGATCCACACCCACCCTGACAAAGCCACAGCCTGTCGTGAAACAGCCTCAACAGGACTGAGCTCACAGCCAGTAAGTAAACTGCCTCCAGAAGAAAACACAAACTCTTCAAAGGAATTTTAAACATTCAGATTCTCAAAAATATAAGATCCATAATGTTCTACATTCAATTAAAAGTTATTAGACACATAAAAGATAAGCAAACTGCCAATAACTAGGAAAAAATAACTCCATAGAAATAGACCAAGAGATGATGGTTTCAGTAACAAGGCAAAAACTTTACAACAGCCATTGTGAACTGTTCAATGATTTAAATGAAAAGGTATACTTGGTACTCCCATTTTCAATAGGGTTACTTGTCAGTTTGTTATTGAATTATATAGCATTCTTAATAGATTCCAGATACAAGTCTCTTGTCAGATATTCAATTTGCAAAAGTGTTCTCCCATTCTATGAATTGTCTTTTCATTTCCTTAATGGTGTTTGATGCACAAAAGTTTTTAATTTCAAAAATGCCCAATTTATCTTGTTTTCCCTTTGTTCTTTGTGCATTTGGTGTCACATCTAAGAAACAAATTGCCTAATCCAAGCTAAGTATTGTCTTCCTTTTCAGATATTGTACTTTTCAGAATTTTCTAGAATTTCCATCTGGTTCTATTATATATTAGATGTAGGGCTATGATTTCCTCTAGAAATTTAATAGTTTTAGTTTTTAATTTAGATCTTTGATCATTAGTGTCTTTAAAGAAAGGTTTCTGCTTAAAAATGAAAGACAGCAAAAAGGAATTCTCATGCAAAGTGAAGGAAATAAACAAAGAAATTGAATATGTGGACTAAACCTGGCTCTAATAGTGTCTTCTTTGTGACCCCAGGACAGTTGCTTAATGTTTCTGAGCCTCAGTTGTACCATTTGTGAAATGGAGATAACACCTACTTTGCCATTTTGTTATAATTAAAAAAAGATATTACATATGAAAGTGCTTAGTGATAGGTGTTTTGACATTGTTATTGTTCTATCATTTTGTACAGTTTCATCATAAAAACATTCACACGGGAATCACTATTACAGGTCTTAATGTCTGTTCTCCAGCTTACTAGTTCTGTGATAGTAGGAATGTTTGCATCTCTGAAACTCATTTTCTCGTCTGTGAAATGAAGAATGGATTCGATAATCACTCAGGCCCTTTCTAGAACTAAGCTTCCTGTTATTCATCTCAAGAATACATTTGGCAATTTTTTAAGATTCACCCTTAGGGAATAACATTTTCTTTAAAAACTCGCTTTTTTTGTTGGACAGCCTTGGCTACCAGCACCAACCAATGCTTCCAAACAAATATTTCTTTTAAGTGAGATGGAATACTTCAGGTAGAAATAATAATATGCAAAATTGATCTCTCGTCTTGGATGTTATGTTCTTAGTGAATAAAATTTTTAACACTTCTGAGTTTTTCAAGTTTATGAACTGAGATTTATTTCTTAGATCTGACAGCCCACTTTAAAATGATGAATTTTTTGTACTCCCTATTGAGAAAAGCATAGATTTCAACTGCCTATTGTGCAATGGAACGGCCCAAAGACAGGGTTCACTCAGAGTGTTAGTGCAAAACATTACAAATCAAGCAGTGGCATCTCCTGATGCAAACGCCAGCTGAAAGGACAGATTCTCATTAGCATCAGGAATGTGAGGCTTCATGCAATCATTTTTCATTGCTAGAAAGTAGGACAGTCATCTGTCCCAACATTACTCTCCATCCCAAGAGGAAGTTCTGTGATGGAATATGCAAGCCTTCAGGAACAGAGCTGGGTTAAGGGAGTAATTTGTCAGGACTTTCTTCCTTGGGAGAGTGGAGAGGGAGAGCTATTTGTGGCCCAGGGCAGATGATCAACCAGCAAGGAAACAGGAGAGGGATAGGGGTATTATGTTAAAGGTTATCCTGCACTCAACAACATTCTCAATGGCATATTGGAGACCTACGCTAGGTGCTGCCATGCCCAGATGAATCCACTCTGCTGCCACTCAAGTACCCATTTCTACTTCTGACTATTTTTGATCAGGATGGGGGCCAGATGAACCAGTATTTGAAATGCCAAATAAACAAAACCAAATACCATTCTTCAAGGGTTTTCTGCCAGGAACCAAATGGAATTCGGCACAAGTCTGGCATGAAAGCCTGTTCTTAAGCACAATTTCAATCCACTTGCACAGTTGGGTTTTATAAAAATTTCCAAACTCTAGGCCACTTCAATAATCTCAGTCTAAATTTCCCCAAGTCAAGCTCTCTTCATTCATCACTAATAAAAGCAAAAGCCCATTTCTATAAATAAATTAAAAAGGGAACCATTCTGTGATTTAATCCTTAGTTGCTATCTGCATCAATGCCACAGAAAGGTAGACACTGAGAACAAAACCTAATCCTGTGTTTTATTTTGTAGTTTAAAACAAAATATTGACATGCACGTAGATGAGCTCATTAATTCATGAGAAAGCATTTGAAGCAGCAGGCAGTAGAGATTATGATAAATAAATAATTCTCGTTTAATTGATGAGTTTGACTCTGACTTCCATTATTTCAGATGACAACTGAATAGTGGTCTGGGGTGGAAAGTTTTCTGGACTGTTTGATTTTGCAACATGCCAGAGCCCTCTGGGCTTCCGTTGTATGTGTCTATAAGATGCCTTCCTGATAGCTCAGATGAAAGTCGTATGCACATGTTTGCTGAGGCAGATTTGCTGTGTTCTGTTTCTGAAAGGTGTATAAAGCTTTGCCAGACCTTGGAGAAGTTAAGCTGATTTGTATTCTTTATTTAGAGGCTTTTGACTAAAGACAAGAATCCGGGTTGTTCAAGCTAAGTCGGATGGGCCTCCTCAGAGGCAAGTCAGTCTCAGGGCAGGAAAAGTCAAATACTTACAAACCTTCAAAGGAAAATAGATGACACCTCTTCCACCGACTCCCTCCTAGCTGGGCATTATAGCAACTAGTCTCAGCTGTATCTACTTTTAATTACCTATGCGACTTTAGGCAAATAAATTTTGCTAAGATGTCAATTTCCCTATGTAAGATACATAAGTTGGATGAAATGCCTAATTATAAAGTTGTCACTGCCTACAAGTGTCTGAGAACATGGTTTCATACACGTCAGGTGCTTTCATGCTTGGGTTATGTAATTTAGCTACATCCTTACATCTTTTCATGGTTGAGGGGCTGACTGTGGGGTGAGAAAGTGGCAGCCGCCTCTGGAGTGAGGCAGAATCTAGCTACTTCATGCTGTGAGGGCTCAGGGCCCAGCAGAGCAGAACAAAGGGCACCATCCTTTCCCTTCTGAAAGAATAGCAGGAATTAATGAGCTGGTATCTAATTACTGAATGTGAGCCATGGCAGGGACACAAGAGTGGAGAACATCATGAGTTTCATGGTGTGGCCAGGACCCCTGCTTTCCATCTCATTAGCAGGAGACCAGCCAGGCAGGGCTCTGGGTTCCTTCCCATGGAGCCAGGGTGAAGCATCAGGGATGGCTCACATGGGGTCTGGAAACCCGCTGCATTCTCAATTGCATTCTCCTGCAACCTCAATCTTCAAAGGTCACCAGGTCAAGGTGAGCGCTGGCTAAACCCTGTTTGCCTTACAAGGAGGGTGAGCTCACAGTTGGAAATCCTGGGCTGGCTGGTCAGGCTAGAGCAGCAGAGATGCCTTCAGACCATATGCTGTGGACAGGTGGTGGCTCTCTGGGTGTGCTACAGGCTTTTGACTCCCAGAGAAACTGGCTGAAACTGGGCTCAACTTGAACAGACATTATCATTAGGGAGAGCCAGCTAAAGTGAGAAGAAACACAACCTATTAAGACTAACTCTTGCCAGGCCATCAGCTTCCAAAAAAAAAGGTCCTCATCAACTTATAGTGGAGCAAAACTTGCTTGGAAACATACCTGGGATATGCTGAAGAGAGAACAACAATGGAGACTATTTTCTCTGGGGGGTGGCTAACATGCAGAAGAACTCTTGTGAGTTAGAAATAATATTCCTGGCCGGGCGCGGTGGCTCACGCCTGTAATCCCAGCACTTTGGGAGGCCGAGGCGGGCGGATCACGAGGTCAGGAGATCGAGACCATCCTGGCTAACACGGTGAAACCCCGTCTCTACTAAAAATACAAAAAAAAAATTAGCCGGGCGTAGTGGCGGGCGCCTGTAGTCCCAGCTACTCGGGAGGCTGAGGCAGGAGAATGGCGTGAACCTGGGAGGCGGAGCTTGCAGTGAGCCGAGATCGCGCCACTGCACTCCAGCCTGGGCGACAGAGCGAGACTCCGTCTCAAAAAAAAAAAAAAAAAAAAAGAAAAGAAATAATATTCCTAATTACTGTACTTATTGCAGCTGCCAAGCGGGAGAGATGGACTCTGCTGTGAGCTTTTCAGAGAGAAGGTTCTCAGGATAGGTAAGTAGAAATGTCTTCTACTTCTACATAGAAATGTGTTTCTATGTGGTAATGAGAAAAGATTTAAGCAATATTTACTACATGTTTTTCTCCTTCAGTCACTGAAGACTTGCTTAAACCTATGTCGCTAGTCCCTGTGGTAATACAGCATGCTCAAAACAGTAAGAAATATCTTGTAGTGGAAAAAGTACACTGAAATGGCAGTCAAGAAATCTGAGTTTTGATACCAGCTTTGTTCTGCCTCCAAGGTCAATGGGTATGTCCCAACCACACAGCCCTGGCGCCAGAGCTGAGAGCTGCCCACGGGTTCTCTGGCTCTCTTGTTTCTCAGGGGTGTGGACTTTTGCAAGTCACTTAAATTCTCTGAATCTGTTTTATCATCCTTAAACAATAGGGAGATACATAACTACATCCCTGGATTGTTGCAACAATACAATGTCAGTAAAAGCATAGGTTTCATGCAAAGATTTTCACTATTTAGATTCATTGCCTTACGGTCATTAATAGTGGTGGAAACTACTGCATGTGTTCAGCAGGGTCCTTTTCTTCTGAACATCCGGGAGGACACTGCCCACACTCCGTTGCATCTCGCTGAGCCTCACGGCATGGTATGCCTCAGTTCAGGCCAACGGAATACGGGCTAAAGTGATGAACGTCAATGCCAGGCTATCTGTAGCATGACCACACTCTCTCGTCTGCCCACACACCTGGCTGTGAAGGATCCCGAGGTGTGTGACCACAGGAGAACTACCTCACTATCTGTGGAGAATTGGCTCCAGAACCCCCTGTGGACACCAATTCCTGCAGCAGGCCCTGCAGAACCCAGAGATGCAAAAAGATGGCCCTCTGACACATTCTTTGGTTAAGCTATTGAGATGTAGGGAGCGTTGTCTAAAAAAGAAATCTGTGATTATCTGGAATAATATGTTAACTAATTATGTGACCTCAAACAAATTTTCACTCTAAGTACTTGCGGCCTCATCTAAAATGGGGACAGGAATATCTGTCCAATTTTCTCTTACAGGTTGTTGGGAGAACTAAAACAAGAGAAGCAATTAGAGGTGATTTTGCCTGGCAGCTCATCTGAGAATTTTTTTTAAAATGTAGGTACCTGAGTTTTCCTGAATGACCAAGCAGAGCAGCTTCTCAGGGGTGAGACCCCAGTGTGTGCATTTTTAATGCTTGATCGGTGATTTTTCAAGAACAACAAACTTTGAAAACCACTATTGTACAAATTAATTCACTTTAAAAAGTGAAAGGAACAAATAACAATGTCTATACTCACAGACGTTGAGTGAATGTGGGATTCTTTTATAAGAAGCCCAAAGATACATCGACATTCATGTGAGAGTAAAGTGTTTGCTGAATAGACAAATGTTAATGGTGTTTCCTCTGCAGTCATCTGGTCCCTATCCCAACACTGGGGCACCACTCACAGTCCTCCCCATGGAAGTCACACAGAAGGGTGCTGTCCAGGTGGGTGCAGGCAGTGGCCCTGTGTCTCTGTGACCCATAGCATGACCAGGCTCTGTACACAGCCACCTTCTAAACAACCAGTAGTTTGGGAAGAGCTGAATATCTTCTCAGGGGAGCAGCTGTAGGAGACAAAAACTCAGCCCCCTTTCAGGGGGAGGTAGCTTCTCATCTAAAAAAAGCCAAGCTGC
Source organism: Homo sapiens (assembly GCF_000001405.40). Taxonomy (NCBI): domain Eukaryota; kingdom Metazoa; phylum Chordata; class Mammalia; order Primates; family Hominidae; genus Homo; species Homo sapiens. The sequence goes on along the minus strand of NC_000007.14, from coordinate 154,006,894 downwards.
TATACCACTCTTACCTGAGCCAAATACCCAGCAGCACCAACCAGGGCAATTCAAGATTTCCTCACCTATATGTGGGGTGACCATTAATAATTACAGCAAACAATTAGTTATCGAGGGCTTCCTGCGTGCAGATAGTCTTTTAAGTGCTCCCTGTACATTAGCTTATTGCATTTTCTTGGTAACCTTATGATGCAAATACAACCATAGCCTCGGTTTTCTGGTGAGGAGAGGAAGCAGAGCACAGATAGGTAAAATAACTTAGGCAGAGACCCACCAGCTGTCCGTGCAGAGCTCAGCTTTCAACTCGGGCCACGCAGCCTCAGAGCCTACCCTAGTGATCGAATTACACAATCCTTTGCTTTGCTGGTGGAAGAGACCTCCACTTGTTGAGCCCTTTTTGTGATTTCAAAGGCAGCTGAATTTAGCAGTTGAGCACACCTGTGGACATTCAGAAAGAATCTACAAAGAACCATGGATAACAGAACCCAGAGTGAAATCTATTTCTGCCTCTGGACACTTAATTTCACCTCTTGCTTGAACAAAGGCCATCTCAATGCGAGCAGATAGGACTGATTCTGGCCCTCCCTAGACATAATAAAAACCTTGAACCCCAACATCTTGGGGCCCACCAAGCACCAAGGGAAAACATCTGTGATGTGAGCCCACTGTTGGTTACTGTTTATCTGTTCTCAACAATGCCACGGATGATTATAGGGCCAAGGTCAGGGCAGATGCTGCTACCTCGTATGTGCCAGTTCCCCATAACTGTACCTGTCAGCACCCCTTGGCACTAACCTATCAGTAAGGTCTTCAATGAACAGGCTCCACTGAGATTTGGGTTCCTCCAGCCCTGCAGCTGCTCATATTCAATCCAGCAACAGCCTCACCAAGACTCCAGAAGCTTCAGCCCGCCTGACCCCATTGAGATAAGGTGAGCAGGAAAAAAGTCCCTCACGGAGCTCAGTGCCTAGGTAGTGCTGGCTGAGTGGCCATGGGGAATGGCGGCAGTGAGGCCCGCAGGATCTCCATAGCCGCCAACACTCTGGGATGCAAAGCTTAGAAGCTCATGCTTGCAGCTCGTCCAACCGGAAGGTGAAGTGAGAGTCCAAGAAAACCCTACCCACTTCTCTCCTCCTATTCCCTGGGGTGGGTCACACCTCCCTGCTCCAGCACCCCCAGCCCCCACAGCCCCCCAGCCCCCACCAGCAACCATCCTTTCTTGACAGAACCACAATCCCCGAGGTCCAGCCTCCTGGGCGACGTCACCTGCCTCTGGGCCAGCTCCCTGCTGTGGTCCCTCCAGCTCTCCTTCCTGAGCTCCCTTCTTCAGGCCTGCCTACTTTCTTCCAGCCTGAAAGCCTAATTTTTCGATAAGCTATTAATTAATGTTAATGACTTCACATACTTCCTTCCCAGGAAATCCATTTTCATTTTCAGAGTATTCTTAAAAGTCAAATCCCGGGGTCTGACCACAAGGACAAACCACCAAGCGTTCGACCTTTCTCTGTGGAGCTCCCAACAGCACTAGTGGAACCTGCTAAAGTTCAGCCCCCGGCCCCTGAGCAAAGCCAGGCCAACTGGGGAAGCCCTGGATAGGACCAGCCAACTTCTCAGATGGCCCAGGCAGCCATTCCAGGCTATTCCATAAGGCTAGAGCAAATTAGTTATTTTCTTGGGGTAGGAACTATGATGAAAGGTCTCCAAGATGAAATCTGAAAAATAGGCCTTTTCAGATAGTCTTGGCTTCTTTCAATTGTTTGACAGTGTATATACCCTTGGAGAATAAGAATTTGCATCTTGCTTACCATTACTTTTTGTAGGTCATGAAACAAAGTCATATGCTTTTTTTTTTCAGGTCTGATTGTACCCTCATTTTCAAAACCAGGAATGCACAGAAAAAGACAGAAGGCAATGGCATCTTTTGACATAACGGACTATCATGACCCTCTTTAAAACCATTAACAACTATTATAGGCGACAAATGTACAGACAGCATATATTAGGAGAAATGAACCTTATTAGTGCATTGGTTCCATATGCATATCTATGAGAAAGCAAAATTGTAACATTGGGAACAAATGAAAAGTTAAACAAAATACTCCATATAAACTACAGTCACTGACATATAAACTACAGTCCAAAGCTGACAGACAACATTCCACATAATGTTATAGGGACGTGGAGAAATGACTCCTCCCTCTCGAAGGCAATCTTTGCAGCTTCAAACCGTGCACAGTGACATTCTTTTAAAAAAAATTCAGAGTTAAAAGAACAACGATTTATCATTGTTTACTATATATCAAAAACACAGCCATTACCAAAGCCACAGAAAACCTTCACTTACACATTTTTATTTTCTGCATTCTAGCCCACACCTTGGAAACTGAATCCCTTTCCTTCATCGAGAGTTTCCAAAGACTTTACACTTTGGATATATTATGCCTGATCTAACAATAAAACAATGCATAGATATCTCCCCACCAAAATGTCTATCTCAATTAATCTGGAGTTTACGAGGTTCTTGGCACAGTTCCTGACACGAAGTGATTACTCAGTAAATGTCACCCTCCTCACCCCTATGGCTCCATGAACCCAGGAAGTAGCAGGTGCTGCTCCTCCAGTAGCTGTGCAGTAAATGTTGATTGATTTACTAACTGACGACAGAAAACAATTTCAAAAATTATACTTCTTTACCATTCAGCAAACTTAACCTCAACAATGTATGGAAAGAAAAACATTGACAGTGAGGATAAAAGCAGGTCATGACTATCCACTCATGCTTCTACTACAGCTACCATCCTAAAGCCTTGCTGGACATTTCCAGGGTCCAGAGAGATCACTAATAGCAACAATAAGAGCTTAAGAGTAATCTAAGCATGTTAATTGCACTAACGGCCTCAATTCTTCATGGTTCCCTTTACTTACAGTCTGTGTACATTGCAGTTACTTCTGCAAAAGGGATAGAGCCTATTTCCCCATTCTTTGGCCATGGGGCTTCCTTGGAGCCACAGAAATGAGGGGGAAGTTCCAGGGCCTGTTCTGAGCTTAAGTCTCAGGAGAGCTTGCATGCGCTTGTCATGGCCATGCAAGGACCATGCCTCCCAGTCCCAGGAGGCAGAGAAGGAGAGATGCATGGAGCAGCCCTGCTCAGAAAAGATGCCCCTGGCAAGGCCACTTCCCAGGCAGAAGCAAGCAAGCCAGTGAGCTGACACACAGTGAGGCACACCCCAGATCATCCAATATTCAGAAGGAATAGTCAGTATTCCTTCTTTTATTCCAAACCCTTCTTATTAAAGATGAAAATGCATGATTTTCATAACATGATGCTGTCTTAAGCCCACTAAGTCTTGGGGTGCTTGCATAGCAATAGCTATCTGATACACCAGCAAAGACATCCCCAAAGAATCACAGGACTCTGTGTTAGGAGAGTGTCACACACGCTCAGCTTTTATCAAATGACTATTGATTGTGAGCCTGGCTAAACTGATATAATACTGATTTCTCTCTTAAAGCTTTCCTCACTGTTCCAAACTAACATACTCAGTGTCTACACAGGTTTCATTTTTTTTCCTTCCATCCTGTTATCTGGGACACACACATTAGTGAAGATTCATAAACTCTAAGCAGTCACTTTGGATGCTATCCTGTAGCCACTAGACTGCTTCGTAAGGAGTTCTGCGGGTCACCGACGTTGATAAGAACCAAGTAGAACTGAGCAAAGCAGTTCTTGTAAAACCAGCATCAACCTCACCTTTCCCTTTACATGTAGCCTAACCTTTTGGAAGTCTCAAAATTAAGCAAGGCCCTTTTCTCCTTTCTTAAAAACCTGTTTAAGAAATCACACTTCATCCTTTTGCCCTCTTTCCTTTTTTCTCCTCCCCTCAAAAGGCCCTGTTTTAGCCTGAACTCAAGGCTCCAAAACGCATGAGGGAAGCGACACTGACATTTCCAGGAAAGGAGACAGTGACAGACTCAAGCAGAGCTGGGCCACGGGCAGAGGCAGGGTGTTCCTGTCATCCGTATTTCTCACTTAGAAAGTGTGTTACCAACTCTCTCAGTCAAATCCACCCTCATATGCTCTGTCCTCTGGGCTTGGGCCTACCTTCTCAAGCAGTCACTCAGGCTCTAAGCAGAGATGGCAAATTGAGACACATATGACATGGCCCCTCCCTCATGTGCCTGTCACAGACGTCATGGACTGACCTCAGCATCCTCAGGATCCTCCCCAACATGGTCCCACCAAGTGATGGTTTTCACTTTGTGATCCAACTCTATCCATCTAGATCCACCCATATTCCATCTCCTATCTGCACTCACTGAAAAATAAGCCACCAAATGACTACAGGTTTCCCAATAGTTTAGAGATACCTACTATAGCCTAGATATTGGGCCAGCGACTGACCCCGTACAATAATGAATGAGACATAGCCAAATTCTGCAGGAATTCTTGTGGTTGAGAAAGCTTTTATCCTTGAGGGGTGTAAGGTTGAGCAATGAAGACCTTTCTGGCAATGTAGCAGGTCTATAAAAGAGATATGTGGGATCAGGCCTTGCTTTTAGTCATCTACAAATTATATTATATAGGAAGCTACTTACTACACTTCAGAGGAGGAAGCTGGTAAGAGGCCTAAAAAAGCAGTCAAGGCTCATTGTCCGTAGGATACAAAAATACGCATGACATGAAAAGACTGAAAGCCTGCACTGTGCTAAATGTGATTGTTCACTCAAGCTACATGTGAGCCATCTTCCTGTTTCCTCCTCTTAAACTGCATGTTTTTGTCAGTTTGTTTCCTTAAAGTGCTTTTTGAACTCAGGAATATACAAAAAGGGTTGGTAGAGTGGCAACTTGGAAAACACACACCTGTGAAACAATACACAGTTCAAATACGTAAATGGTAAGTACCAAAAAGTGGCACAGACAATGAAACCTGTAGGAGTTCAGAAAAGCCTCCATGCTCCGTGGTAACATCTGCACAGCTTGGATGTTACCAAACCATCTCAAGATGCCACCAGGAATGAGGAAACAATCGTCAGTATCTGTTTTCACTCCACTAGGGGAACACAAGGAAATCACGTGGATTGCCTTCCCTCATTGCATCTTACAATTTCAAATACAGGGATTTCGCCCATTAATGGTCTACAATAGCCTTTCAAGCAAAGCCAATCTGTAGGAATTTCCAACTGTATCTTCATGACCAGAAGAAAAGAGAATAAAGCATTATTTAGAAGAGGTAAAGGCCTTGGAGGTTACCTTGCTCCATGATGGCCTAATATGCCTTAACATTTTGACAACCCTCAATGAAAACACTGGAAAGATTTATAAACTGCCAGCAGTGGAGCTGTCAGTTCCAACAAGCATGCCCGAGGGTGGGGAGGCAGAGTGAGGACAGCGCTCCAGATGTCTGACTGACTCCACTCTGCCAGAGCCAACCCGCTGCCATGGTTTTATGTACTGAACTTCCTTTAAGACTTTGAAGAAAGAGCTCAATAGTTGGACATCACCAAGTCCTATCCTCTCCACAGGATGGTAACAGGGTTTACATACATAAGTACATACATAATTGATGGGCTATTGATTAGGGCATGAAAAGACATTTTCACACCACCATTCAAGTCTTCCTCCCAGGCATGTTAGGAAAACATCCTCTGAGAAAGGTCACAGTGTTCTCCTGTGTTTCCAGAATCTTGACGGAGAGGAGCCTCTAAAATGAAGAACGGATTGCTTCTGAGCTTCCATGATGATCTATGGGACATCCGACCCTAGGCTGTGCCTCACTGCTGGGCTGATCTGCAGGGGATGTGGAAAGAGGTGAGGAGGACAGGGATGGAAGGAGCTGGTCAGCATCCTCAGGCATCCTGGGAAGAAATCAGTGTCCAAGAAGGAAACCCTTCATGAGAACTGCCCCCACCTTGTCATCTGCCTGTCCTCTGTCTCCTTATCCTCGCCCTTAGGGTGGATCTCTGGGTCTGGGCCCGGGCGGCAGATACCCTGAGTACAGTGTAGCAATGTGACTTAAAGCCTGGAGTCCGTCAGTGCCCAGCCTGCCAGCTGTGACCCTGGGCCAGGGACTCAGGTTTATGCCTAGAAAAGAGAGGTCGCAGTGGCCTCTAGCCATAGAGTGCTGTTTGGATTGCACAGATGAATACGCGAAGAAGAGCAGCTGGCACCCATAAGTATCCAGGAAACGTCAGCTATTGTCAGTATTCCTTCTTTTATTCCAAACCCTTCTTATTAAAGATGAAAACTTGAAAGCCAAAATAACTTCTCTAGGTCAGGAAACTCGGCTCTTCTGATGTAGAGACTGGAACCTCTGTACTCAGCCTGGCTGGTGCCAACTTGCCAGCTGGATCCTTGGCTTCCACATACATACGCAGGGTGCATTCTCTCGCCTACTTGGGCCCTCCATAAGCATCCCTCAGTGTGGGCTGTCACCAGAACCTCTCTGCATCAGCAACCATATATCAGGCACTTAGGAGACATCAGTCAGTCATTGATTTCATCCTGCTCTCAGCAGACAGGGAGCTAAGGCCATCCTCAGTGCAGCTGGCCCCCAATCCGCAATGAGCTAGCAAGGACACACAACCCCATCTATTGCTGGGATCTGCGCTGAGTTTTACAGGTTTTGGGGGAATCCTTATTCCAGCATCTTGATTTGAAATGAAAATGTCAAAATACTGTGCATTTGCAAAAGAATATTTAGTTTCTTTAGTAATTTTCCACACTGGTTCTGACAATCATAAAACATATTTGTGCTCAAAGAAAATATTATCATGCCCGGAACCTATTCATTCTTCATCCAGACACTAAACACATACGGTATTGTAAACATTACAAAGCAAATTTACTTAGTCTTATTTTTCCAGCTATCTTATATATAAATTTTCCACCTTTGAGGAGCTTGAGTTTTTTTTTTCTTTCTTTCTTTCTTTCTTTGAGATGGGGGTCTCACTTTGTCACCCAGGCTGGAGTGCAGTGGTGCGATCTTGGCTCACTGTAACCTCCCCCTCCCCGGGCTCAAGCAATCCTACCACCTCACCCTCCAAATTAGCTGGGACAACAGGCACATACCACCATGCCCAGCTAATTTTTATATTTTTAATAGAGACAGCATCTCACCATGTTGCCCAGGCTAGTCTCAAACTCTTGAGCTCAGGCGATCCACTTGCCTTGGTCTCCCAAAATGCTGGGATTATAGGCGTGAGCCACCCCCCACTGCCAAGTTTCTTTTAATGTATCTTAGTTCTCCAGCCAAACTGAAGTTAAAGATAGATACTAAACTATAAAAATAGCCCCTGCCTTAAGGACTTATCCTTCATAGGACTCTACCTCCATTCAAAGGAACACAGTGAGCACTCGGCAAGTACTCACTAAAGAAGCCATAGATTTCAACAGTAAACGCCAAATGCATTCAGAAAAGGAAAAAGTTACTCAGTGCCCATAAGGTCAAACAAAGCCTTGAAGATGTGATGGGGCAAGATATTATGAAGAAATAAGATATGAGAAACAAGTTTCACAGAATAGTCAACAATTCTAGATATCAGGTTTCCATACTGCTTGCAGGGTAAGTGACCTATCTGCACCATGCTGCAGATGACCTCAGGAAATTAATTCTGCATCTGGAAGTTGTGCAAACTCAGAAAGTTGTAGCCCCAGGGAAATAACTCTCTTTTGACCCTTGTGACTCAGAAGCATTGATACTGCTCGAGAAGATTGTCCCACATCACAGAACAATACAGCTCAGGTCCTGGACAAACTCAACTCAAGTGGTGCCCAATGCTCCTCCCAGAGGAGAGCTGGGCTGCCCACTTGGAACCCTGCCATAGCTGAACAGGGGCATGATGGGGCTTAGCGCTTCACCTGGAAGGAATCAGTCATCGGCCAGCCACGTTAAGTCACTTGAGAGTCTCACAGAAGCTCTTTGGCTCTCAGGCTGCCAGCTCACTCTAGTTTCTGAGTTAATGAACAAAAGATGATGTGTGTTAATGCAAAGGCATAATTGACTCTCTATCAATGGGATTCCATTCATTCAAAAGATCACTACTTAGCACTTTAGTCTGGGGTGTAATGAAAATTGGGGTACATTCTTCATAGACTCATGTCTTCACAGTGCTAACAGTCAGAGTAGCCAATTCTATAAACACCATCTGTTACAAAAGCTTTAATAGGAGGATAAAGGGCAGTGGGTAGATGTCACTTACAGGGAGCTGTTCCTTAAAACTATAAATACCATGAAGAAAAATAGTGTAATCACTTCCCATCTCATTACAGGTGAGTGTTTAGTTGGTTTCCTCTGATGTGCATTCCACTGCTTTCCTCAGAACCATGACCACGATGTTGCTGTCATTCTCCCTAGATACTAAGGTCTAGCATAAGGTAGTAGAGGCAGATGTCCTGAAGATTCTGAGCTTTGCTTGGTACCAGGGGATTAACTACATTTAAGGGTCTGGGATGACAGCTCCCCCAGCATCCTTTTCTACAACCTAAAGATAGGATGTGGATCAACTTTATAAAACAATGTAAGTGGTTGCTGAGAAGAGCAAGGATTTATTCGATTACTGCATTCTTATACCATGAAATTAAATATAGAATATTTGATTGAATATTCAGGAACTTATTTTTCAGCTAGTTCTGGCACATTTTGTTAAATATTTTTGGCAGTTTCTAAGCATAGTCAACTTTTAACATTTTCTTGCTCTCCTTTTTTTCCCTTCTATCTAGAGATACGTCTTTGTGAAGCTGAACTTGGACTGTAACCTCTTTTTGGTCTTATTTTCCTAACTGTTAAATGAAGGATGCTGATATTCCTTCCAATTCTCACAGTCGGTGACTCGGTGGCAAGGCAGACCTAGACAAGACACTGTCACCTTCGTGGAGACATCCTGATGGTGCTGGACCTTTCTTCAGGTTCTCTTTCACATGTCCCTTCAACAGGGCGACCTTCCATGATCTCACTTCTGAAATCAACACTCCTCATCACTCTTTGTTCCTCCCTTGATTTTTCTCCTTAGCACTCCTCAGCAGCTGCCCAGTGCTTCTCTATTCTTTTCTCCTCTTATTAAAATGTAGGTGGCATGAACGCAGACCTGCCTCCCTTGTAGCCTGCTATAACCCCAGCACCCGAACAGCAGTGCTGCATGTAGTAGACGTCTAGGAGCTTTTTGTCGCTGGATGCTTGATAAATGCATTTGCCTTATCTGATTGTTGGATGCCTTAATTTTTGTGTGCTTAAGAGGAGAGCTGTGTATAAATGAGCATTCTCAGTTTGAATACAAAACAGGTGTGTGTGTGTGTGTGTGTGTGCTGTGCACTCATACTCAAAGAGAATAAAAAAATCCTCTATTATAGGGAAGCAAGCTGGAAGCAAGGAGATGGGCCTTAAGTGATCACCAGGTGAATGCCTGGCTTACAGCAGGTGCTCAATAAAACATGGGATGAATGAAACTGACATAGAAACTGTGTGTTATTTACTCGTTCACCAGATAAACAAGATGTGGCTGAAGACTCAGACATAATGGGAAGTGAATATTTAAAAATAAAATAGCGTAACAAGGTTCCCAGCTTGACCTTGGCTCAGAAAAGTTTGAGCTCTTCTGAGCTTCACCCAGAAGGAAGCTCAATCCCAAAGCCAGAAGCAGTGCTGGTGAGTGGGGAGTGGAGTGAAGATCTAGCATCTAGCCACTGCATTTCATGGTGGGGTTTCCCTCCAATTTAACCTTGGAGGACCACGCCATGATTTCCACTATAGGACCTGTCATGTTTCATTGCCATGGTGGTTGCAGTGAACATATATAAGCAAGTACAATATTCAGACATCCTGAAGTAGTCATTAGTGTCATTGGATGGAGAGAGAGAGAGAGAGAGAGGCATAAAGATTTTCCATTTTTTTAATTCAGAGACAATATTACCTTCCAAAAAATTGCCTTGTCATTTATTTTAGTGACACTGCTATGGTTGAGGGCACCTTCATGATGGGGGTAACTCCAAACAGAGCTCAACATTCATATAACATACATAGACATGATTGGTTTCCTTTTAGAACAACCATTTTTTGGAAACCAAACCTCATCTCACCATATCAACCACTCTGAATATCTATCTTATTAATTGTTCTTGACATTGAATTACCTTTTGTTGTTTGTAGACTGTAAAAATTACCACTATTGGAGACGATTTAAATATTCAACAACATAAAAGTTATTCAAAAGGCTTGGAAGGACATTATTCAAGAGGGCTGCAAAGGTAAATGAGTTTGAAGGGAAAATACACACCCTACATTCTGGTGTGTACTTTTCCAGTCTTTTTTCTAAACAAATAGTTTATAATAGGCTATAGTTATAAAATATTTACACAGAAGAAGATTGCTTATTCCAGATGAGCCTTAGGTCATGTTTTGGGGGAATTGGACAGACATGGAAGTGCCATGTCTATCTGCTAGGATGGCCAGAGGAGGTTTTCCTGAGGAAGAAACTATGAGATTGAACCTTGAAGGATAGGCCCAGAATTTTTAGAACTTCTCCGTCCCTACATCTTTCTAAGACAGGAGGAACTGGTTGCCTAATAAAAACCTCCAAGAAATAATAATTTGAAATAAAGTTCAAATACAGAACACTTTTATTTCATCCTAAGTGAATTTGTATCTTTTCAAGCCAATACTACGTGAAATAAAAATAGACATTTGTACTTCTCAAAGGACATTAGTTTCCCTGTCTTCAGGATGTGTCATCACAGTGGAGTGTCTCTTGAAACATCATCTGATGGCTGCAGTCTCCAGTGCCACCAAGAGTCAGTGCCATCTGTTAACTCATCCATGGCAACAAACCTGAGGGCCTACTGGGTGACAGGAAATGAATGAGACATTGGATTTACTACAATAAATGACACAATCCTAGCCCCTGCGGAATGTTGCCCAGATACCAAAACTGCCACGTTTTTGTCAACGCTTCCTTATAGTATAACATAAATAGCTTGGTCAACAAATGCCATAGATGTTTGGAAGCAGCAATGATCACTGTGGCCTAAGTCTGTCAACGACTCCTTGGAGGAAGTGATGTTTCATCCAGGTCTTGAAGGTAGGTAGGACTTAGGTAAGAGTGAATGCCGTATCTCCCATCTGGTGCTTTTATTCCCTCTCAGAATTACCTTTTCTCAATTACACTTAATTACTGTATGCCAATATATGCCGATAGCACATTCTAAGAGAAGCTAATTTTTTTTTCTAGTTGAAGGGTGTTATCGAGCACATCATCTAGTAAATCTCTGTCACATTGCATCTGCCTTCTTCATTCTTTTTTTTTTTTTTTTTTTTGAGACGGAGTCTCACTCTTTCACCTGGGCCATACTGCAGTGGTGCTATCTCCGCTTACTGCAAGCTCTGCCTCCTGGGTTCACGCCATTCTCCTGCCTCAGCCTCTCTCCAAGTAGCTGAGACTACAGGCATCCGCCACCACCCCTGGCTAATTTTTTGTATTTTTAGTAGAGACGGGGTTTCACCGTGTTAGCCAGGATGGTCTCGACCTCCTGACCTTGTGATCCACCCGCCTCGGCCTCCCAAAGTGCTGGGATTACAGGCATAAGCCACCGCGCCCAGCCCTTCATTCCTTCTTAAAAGAACTCATGGGATAAACTGTCCTTATGTTTCACTAGCAGGAAATGGCTAGTGAATGGCTGCTTTGTTTTTATCAGTGGCTACTGTGAATAGCACCTCAATGGCTTTCCCTCCTTGCCATGGCTATTAGGAAGCTCAGAGCTCAATCTGTGGTTTACTTCTAGCAACTGCAGTGAAGCACAGACTCCATGTCACCAGTCATTCTGAGATTTCTTGTTTTCTGATTCCTTTGCTCCAGGCAGGCTGGTCCCTCAATTATTTACTTATAAATGTAAAAGACATTGTACTTTTGAAGTTTCTAAAAATCACATATTGAGAAGACAAACTCAAAGTAAATAAAGCAGTCTAATGCTGGAGCATATTTCACCTAAGGGAGTCCAAATGTCTGCTTAGGGCAAATAAAAAGGCCCAAAAGCATCTTCTAAAACCAGTTAAGTGAAACTTATCTGTAGGGACATTTTATGAACAGCATAATTTTAGTCTTTCATAGGCACTACAAGAGTAAACTTAATTTATACCTTAAGTCAATATTAATTTTGACTTGTATTATAACTAAAAAAAATTACTTCCCAACTAATCAGAATTTCTCATGAAATTAAAATTTTAGGAGAAACTTTTAATAGAAAGAAACAAAACAGAAAAATAAGTTTAAATCACTGACTTACTTGAAATGAGCAACTTCTTTCTGGCAGATGTTCAGGAATCATTAAAGATACAGCCAAATCACTCAAGCTGTATGTTTCCTGCAAGTCTAAATCCACTGTTGTTGAGATGGATGGCTCTTTCTAGACCCTGCTAACCAGGGCACAAAGGTTATCACAGACATATAGAAAAGAACTAACAACCAATTTAATATTGGATATGAAAAATGATTTTTTAAAAATTAGCCCTTGGGTAACTTTAAATCTAGTGCATTATCACGTACTCCACTACTCCTTGAATATTACAGGTGAAGTTTTATTGAAAATTGATGGGGTTGGCACCATGGCTAGGCAGAGGAGTTGCTGTTACGTGGTATGGTTTGAGAGAACTGCCTTCTTAACATTGTGAATTCTACTTTTTTATTCCCTCATTGTAGCTTTGTTCTTTGGAGACTCTAGAGGAAAGGCAGATGGTATGGTGAAATACACATGAATTGGGAGTTAGTGGCACAGCCTGGACTAGATCTTATATCACTCAACCAGAGAGGTCACTTAATTCACTTATAAAAGGAGTTAGAATATGTACCTATAAGGTTGCTTCCAGATCTAGTACTGGATAGTGTAATTCTATAATATTAGCTTATTGATCCAATAGCTTCTTCATAACTCCCTCATTGTAAGGAAGTATCCCTGATCAGGCAACACACTTAACCAACAGCTTCTAGAATCGTTAGAGTTGGCACCTTAGCCAAGATTGGCCAGAATTGGGGCATACAGGTGCTTCCCTGGCTAAAGACAGGAGATGTACTGGGTGGCTGGGAAAGAGGGCGTATTAACTGTGGTCTACTTTTCAGCTTGGTTTAGAACCCCAAAGAGATCTGGGGAAGATGAGAAAATGATTAGCTTTACTCAAGCAAGGGTAGAGGAATGAAATGAATAAGATCATTGAGGTGATATAACTCTGGAACCAGAACTCACACCCATTATGATTTCTAGCCTTGGTTGACCTGTTATCTACACATGCATGAGGATGAAGTAGGTTGTATGGGGTAGGGTGGGGAGAAATGCACACACACTCTTTGGTTTACAACCTTGGGTTCAAACAGTAACCAGCTGTGGTTTGTTGTCATTTGCTGCCGAGGTTGATACATCACGAAGAATACAAATTTCATCAAGAATATAATTTAAAGTATCTTTGAGGCAGAGTTTTTTAAGGAGAGCTGGGCTCTCAGCAGATCATTCTCACACTATATTTTTTTATTCAGGTGAAATAAAATTTAAACGAATATCAGTGTCAACTTTGAAGAAGACACAGGGGGACAGCCTAAAGATGTGTTTGTAAGAAGACGGGATCAATCTGGGTGCTAGATCTATTGCTTCACAAGAGTTCATTCATCTGTTCATTGCATCAGCACTCTTGAAACCCCTGCTAGGTTACAGGCCCTGATATAGACACTGATTCAGATACAACCTTGACAAAAACAAAGCTTACATTTTAGTGAAGTCTAAACTCTGTGGTTATGTAGGAGACTGCTGCCGTGAAGCAGGAGTGGCTTCTACTTATGATATTTCATATTTAGTAGAAGGATAAGAAAAATGTTTGGATGCATGTGTGTGAATAATGTGAATATAGAATTACCAAGTATACCGGGGAAGGAGGAGGTAGGGGGAGAGAGCTATGACTTCAAGTTAAGAAAATTGGAAAATCTTGTGAAAAAGAAGGTATGGGACCTGTATTTTAAATAATGGACAGTATTTCAAGAGATAAATATGAGGGATGAGAATTTCAGGGACAGAATGGGCCCCTTATAGGGTGAGGAACTGCCTTACAGAAGCAAGGAAACAAAAACGTTTAGAGCTTTTTTGGAGGAAGAGCAAGTACCCCATTTAGTCATAGTGTCAATTGCATGTAGGAGAAGAGGGTGAGGATGATGGAATAATTAGAGCATAAAGGACTTCAGCCAATTCTGTGATTAAACTGACAATGAACATCTGATAGCCTGGAATTGACATGATTAGGCCTGGGCTCTCCATAGTGATCTGATGGCAGTGGGTAGGACGGATTAGATGCTGGAGAGGAGAACAGCAGGTGTGGGGCACACCAGGGGACTGTTCCAATCATGGAGGATGCAAGTGATGGCTATAGGAAGAAAAGGGCATTAGTTATAGGACACCACACTTACACTGGAGAAAGAATTGTCAAAATGTGGTCACTTTACTATATGTAGTAAATGAAAGAGATATTATAAGTGTCAAAGATGGATAACTAGAAGAACAGGGATATTAATAAAAATCAGAAGTCAGGAATAGGAACTAGTGTGTGTAAGGAAGCCCAGTGAAGTAAGTTATTGTTGATAAAATGTGATAGGACATTTAAGTGGGGTTTAAAAGACAATTGCAAATGAACAGATAGAGCTGAGAGCAAAGTAGAGGTGGCCTTATAGATTTGGGAGGTACTATGGTCTGAATGTGCCCCCCAAAATTTATGTGCTGGAAACTTAATCCCCAATGCAACAGTGTTTGGGGGGTGGGGCCTTTTGGGAGGTGTTCAAATCATGAGGCTCCACCCTTATAAATGCATTTAATGTATTAAAAAAATGGGGTTGCAGGAGAAGGTTCGTTCTCTTCCACCTTCTGCCATGGAGGACACAGCAAGATGGCCCTTGCCAGATGCCAGCACTTCGACCTCAGACTTTCCAGACCCCAGGACTGAGAGAAAACAAATTTCTGTGCTTTATAAATTATCCAGACTCAGGTATTTTATTATAGCAACACAAAGGGACTAAGACAGGGAGTGTAATAAGTTAAAGATGGAGAGTAGTTGTGGGGAAGGACTGAGAGTAAGGTGCTGGAGAGGCAGCTGCAAGGTGGGGAAGTTGCAAGAACCTCCTGGAACATCAGTGTGTGGACTCAGCACATACCCCACAGACCGCTGTCTAATGGACTGTGAATTACTCAGGATGGCTGCGTGCTCCAGACTGGTCCCTTGGGCCCTAAATTAACACATGCAGGATTGGACAAAGTCATGATGCAAAGGCAGGTGCAGCCAGAGGCCACTGGATTTAAGCAAATGCACATGAGTGTAACCAGGGGAAAGAAGACTCTAAATATCCCTGCTGTAGAAAATCAATGCTCCGTTTTTAAAACATGCTTAACACTTCATTTTTTAGCTACAAATACATTTCTGTTAGAATAGTTACTAAAAACCTACAAAGGAATTTGTATAGCTTTGCATGAATATTTATTTTCTTCTATGGATGTAAACTATTTAATTCAGGAAATGTAAGTAGAAACTTGAAGGTTTCTTCCCTATTTTTCTTTTTTATATACTAAAAATTACCAAAGAAGATCACTCTAAAAGATATATAAGTATTTTTTTTTTAATATTTGATTCCCCAATGAGAGAGGCAGGCCAGAGTCATGGCAATGCCCTCTTCAAATGCTATGAGCTATCTGCTTCCAAAAGCCGGTGTGTGCTCTTTACTTCCTCCTTTCCCATCCATCCACTCAGCCTGACGACCACAGTCTCCTGGCCTTTACGGCATAAGGGAGCATTTCTTCTCGGCATTTGCTTCCAAACACCTTGCCCTTATTACTCCATCATTCTAGGGACCCCTTTATCCTCTAACCACGAGGACTATGGGTACCACTGCACATCCCAAGGGGACTTTGTATCCTCACATTTTTGTGGGGATCCAGAAACAACCTTGACCGTTTAATAACCCAGAAGAGACATATGATTTGAACAGACTTCCAGCAAATAAGAGAAAATCTCAAAACGAAATCTGGCCGTTCTCTTCCTAAAGCTCAATAAACTTGGACGTCACTCCTTCGTCCTCTTTTCTTCAATGAGCTTTACAATTATGTTAAATGTGGACAGGTCACCTACCCTTCCCTGAGGCCCCCACACTATAACACCATAGGCAATACCTGGGGACAGTCATGGAGGGAGGGGTCCCACTGCCATGAAGGCCACCATTAAAACAAGAGCAATGCACCTGCCTGTGAGGCACGGCGGCCCTTGGACAGGGGGCTCCAGGGCAGGCGAGGGCCAAGACCTGTTCTCGGAAGCCACCTCGTGTTTTCCAAACAATAGGAACTGGTACTAAAAGGCAAAAGCAAGCCTGAGCCCTCTCCCTTGACACCCACATCCACGCTGAATGCCTCTCATTTTATTAACTGTGTATTGAAACTGATTGCAATTCCCTGGGCAAAGCAAAAACAGTAAGAAAGAGTTGTCTTTCTGAGCATTTAAATTGTTCTCTCTGCTCTCCTGGCTGTTCTAGGGCAGAAGGATGTCTCGGAGGCATTGGGGTCACCCTGGTAGTCAGGGGCAAGACCCAGGAACCCATGTGGGTGGCAGGGGCGGGACTGTTCAGCAAGGCTGGAAGCAGGTGGGGCTGCCTGAGGGTGGGGCTGGAAGAGGGTGGGGCTTACTAAGAGATTCACTCTGGCTGGAGGAGGCCCACCTCCAGCTGGCAAGGGGCAAAACTGTCTGAGGGCGGGGATGATCAGTGGTGGGGCTGGCAGGGGGCGGGACTGCCTGAGGGTGGGGCTTAGAAGGGCCAGAGCCAGCAGGGGGCGGGGCTTGCTGGGGGACTGGCTCTGGCTGGCAGAGGCAAGGCCGGCAGGGGGCAGGACTGAGGGCAAGGCTGGCAGGGGGGTGAGCTGTTGGGGGTGTGGCTCTTAGGGGTGGGGCTTGCTGGGGGCGGGGCTGGCCACTGCGAGGCTGGCAGGTGGCAGGACTGTCAGGTCAGGGGACATTGGAGACAGGGCCTCCTTGCATCTTGCAGGTGGGCAGAGCCCTGTGTAATTGGACATGCTGTCCCTATCCTGGCCTAAAACAGTGGTCCACGCTCTCTCATGCAGGGATAACACGTGGCAAACCTCGCACCAGTACCTCACAGGCATCCACATCCTCCTACCTCTGCACCACACCAAGCATCCCCAGTGTTCTCCATCCCCAGACTCTCTCAAGCTCATTCTGGGGCAAGTCACTGCCTGTGGGCTCCAGGGACTCGCCCCAGCTGTGAGCACCCCCCTTTTCCTCCCTGGACCGCAGCTGGGGTCCTGCTTCCCGCACACGTTGGCAAGGAAGCTGGAGTCCGGCTTCTGGCATACCTTGGCAAGGTGAAAACTCGCAGGGTGCCCTGGTGCCCTGCTCCCAGGACAGCGGCCAGCCCAGGAGGACCTCCGAGCCCCTCCTCAAATGCCAAGCGCGGCCCGCCCTGTGTGCACACGTGTGTGTACACACAATCACACAACTCTCACTCCTCCCCATACTCACTCCCCCACACTCACACACTTGCACACTCACACTCACACAAATCTTACTCCCCACACTCACACACTTGCACAGTCACGCACACATTCACCCACTTTCTCACTCGCCCACTCAGTGACACACACTGTGACACGCTCACACTTTCTCCCATTTTCACACCCACCCACCCACTCACACTCACACCCTCTCCCGCACACGCTCACCCACACTCACACCCGGTGCTGCACACCAGAGAGCCGCCCTCCTCCGCCCACAAGCCCCGCCACCCCAGCAGCACCTCGCGGGCGCTGTCCCTGAAGCTGGGCTCTCTGGGAAAGGGCAGGGGAAGAGCAGGCCAGGGAAAAGCTCATGAAATCCCCACCAGGTGAAAACGCTAATCCCTTTTTCTGCGCGGAGAAATCCCCGTGTAATGACCTGCGAAGCCCCCTTCCCACCACTCCCGGCGCGCTGGCCCGCCTGACTTCCATACATCACCGCTCTCCCAGCTTTCGCTGACTCTTCGTTTTTTAAGTCTTGGGAAAGCAATGCAATCTCCATAGCAATCTGGAGTTCACAGAAACTGCATTTCCGGGATTCATTTATTCCTCCGACTCACTGCTGGAGGCTAGATCATTCCTCATTTCCATGATTTCCTATCCACGCTGAGAAGCTCTTCAACTCCAGCCTGCCCACCCCGACGTGCCATCGACCAGGAAGCACCGCTTGGAGCACCCCTTTCTCCGGGCCCCGCTCTGAGCTTCCTCAGTGGGAGCATCCCCCGATGCCCTCCTTGACTCATGGGGCTGGGAACGGCCTCCTTCCTGGCCCCTCTCTCCCTCAAAAAAGGGTGGGTGAGGCCAGAACTTGGAAGACAAACAAATGTGCAAGCCTCCACAATTCTAATTCCAAATGAATAATGGTAACACTGTCCATCTCTTTGCCCTTTGCACACACACAGGCACACACACGTCACCACACCTTACCAGCACAGCAGGCAAACCAGAGGACAGTGGTATCCACTTTCTGATGGGTCGCAACCAGGAGGGCCATCCTGGCCATTGCCATCCACACACCCCTGGAGCATTCAGACCCCCGGAGCTCCGCGGACTGGTCCACTCCAGCACTGTCAGCCCTCCTGGCTGGGAAGTGGAGCAAAAGGCGCCAGCTTCTTGTCACCCTCAGTTTGATGCATCACCCTCGACGCCCTCCCTCCCTCCTCCGTCAAGGGAAAAAAAGAAGGAGGACAGCCACCCATCTAAGATTAAGTTCACTGAGGCAATCCCATCCCCTCTGGAATTCTCCAGGGACAAAGGGTAATTAGAGAGCAGTTGCTGAGCAGCTCTGGTTGTTTAGGGACTGGCTTCCAGGGTTCAGGTCCTGGTGCCCCAATTTAGCTCCTCCTGGCATGCTGTCTTCCCCCTGACTCTGTTTCCCCTCCTCCAAGCTGACCAATTCCATACTGGCCGGTGACAAAGCACCCCACGTATTTATGCTGCTGCCTCGCTCTCATAAATTATATCAGTTTCCCAGACGAAGGCCCCTTGGCTGTGAAGGAGGATGCCATTTTATTTATGCTGCACTTACACACCTGCATACTGAACTCTATATTTAAATCAGACAACAAATCAATGGTACCAAGGGGAAACAGATGGAGAAAGTCCTCCCCAGCTGCAGCACCCCACAGCTCTCTGCTGGGTCCTCCGATGGTGACTGACCCTAGTTATGGTCAGCATGCCACTCTACCTCACGCTGCTCCTACGTCAATTTCCCCGTCCAACGGAAATGGAATGAGATTGACATTTAGTTTTCTGAGGGAAAAAAAAAAATGGTTTGAATTCATTTCTTCCCACTTCTGTAAATTATATGTGTGAATTACCTAGAAGGCACTCATCTGCAGACCAGATTGAGAATCTCCCACTAACTCCTTCCCTGGTGAGGGGGAATAAGCTTCCAAGAGAAGTTTCGTTCTACAACTACACAAACCATGCATTCTTTAGAATGATTTTCTAAGCCTGTTCAGTTCACAAGGGGAGTCTGGGAGCCAGTGATTCAACGTAAGCAAATTGCATTGAAGCCCCAGGCATGGTACTAGAAGCTGTCTTAGTGGAGCAGTATATATGCTTAGTGGAGCACATTTACAAACAATGACACCAATTTATATTGCAATCTACTTCTCCTCATTGAGAGTTCTTTGGTTTAATCATGAATAAATTAGCAAGGGTGATGCCATAAAACTCAGGGGTGTAAAATCTTACATCTTGGTGCATTGCAACTTTTACCAAATAATAAATAACATCTCGACAAATTTTTAAATGCTTACTTTCTGAGCAGTCTGTGCCTGGCTAAAAATGAAACAATTCAAACCAAACCGAACTAACCTTACTCTGGATAATGTGACCATACTATAAATTTATTTTATAAGTAGCCTCTTTTTTTTCCTTTTATCTCACAGCTTCATTCAAATTAAATGATTCAACTAGAACTTTCTCAGTATCTACTTCTGGGGCCATCTCAGTGCAACGTGCTCTACAGGATAAAGAGATGGAGAAGACATCAACATTTCTTGCTTCAAGAGTTTACAAATCACTTGCCTGGTTTTCCTCATAAGAAGTCAACAGTATTTCTTGCTGAAATTTAAATTATACATGTAATTTTTAGTATACATTTGTCTATGCCTGTAACAAGAAGCACTTGCGGAATTCCAAAGGAAAAGTTCACCAACGATTCCTGCTAAAACTTTCAGCATTCAATGTTGTGGCATCTCAGTGATCTCAGCAGAAATCACGCTCAATCCCAGCAGGATTTTCATGGTCCTCTGGTCCCTACTTGCATGCATCCTCTAATGAGTCCTTCAAGTTTGGACTGAGGCAAGGAGATTATATTATTTCTATTTGCCTAGTCTTTTCTTAAGGGCATTTTTTTCCAGATCTGTAAGATCTAAGCAAATACTTCGCTGGATCACATCTTAATTAAAAATTGTGTATCCAATTTGGGGCCTGAAGATGTGAGATGAACAGGTCTCGGTAGGAGTTCAGAAGAAGCCATAAAAAAAATAGAAAGATAGCTTCTCTACTTAGACAAATAGAAAAAAAGGCACTGAAAATTTCCAAGGAAGACATGATGGCATGAAATGTGTTAAAAAGCAATTTTTTTACATGATGAGTTCTTTAAAGTGTGAAAAATGCATATCTATTTTCTGTTTCCAATGGGGACTGGGAAAGAAAAGGGTTTGGTTTGAATTTCATCAGAAGGGATGTAGGTCGGACATCAGAATGTGTAACCAGTGGAAACAAAAACATTTTTCTGTCTACAGCCATACGACCCTGAACGCACCTGATCTTATCAAAGACATTTTTTCTCCCTTTCTCTCTCTGGAGGGTTTTAAAACAATGTGTGGGTGTCTGTGATTACTCAGACGCCTAGAAGTCAGAGAGGGCTACAGAGGACCTGTTAAGGTCTTTTATTCCTCCTGGCCCCAAACTGTTGCCCAAGTATAGATTTGAAATAAAGAGTTTTCTTTTTCATAGTTAGATTTTTGTTCCAGAATGTCAATTTCACCTGTTTCAGAGAGATACACAAAGTTCATTTCTCCATCCATCCCAAATTGCCAAATCCCACGTCTAGGAAATGTAGCTTATTTCCTAAAATGTTATTTAGTCATTTTCCTTTTCTCTCTGTTATTCTGCTCAAATTATTCAATGTCTACTACAGTATGGAGAGTTCATGTTTCCACTGGATTTACTCAATGCCTGTCAATATAATCTACTGAGTACAAAGTAAAGAAATAATATGACAAACCCCAACTCTTTCTTTCCTTAGTCCCATCCACCACACCAAGATAAAAAAGTAGATCATTTCTCTCTGACCTGGAAGAATGGGAGGCTGGCTGGTCACATGATCAGCTGGGGATGCCTTGGGCCACCCGGGGAGCAATGACATTAGTCCTTGACAGAATTTCTTCCTACTGTGACAGAACTGGTCCCACTGTGAGTAAAGCTACAGAGGATGTCATGCTAAAGCTGTGAGCTAGTGCTGTTGCTCTTAGGGGAGTGGTGAATCTGGGGACCAGAAGATAAAGACACAACTTTGTCCAGTCCCTCTTGATTCCTCTCCCTCCACAGATTATTTCTGTACCCCTTCAAAGTGTCTCACCTCTCCCTCTAGCCCAATCAAAGATCTAATCCCAATCCTCAGTCAATGGGAGGCAAAGTAGTCTTAAAACATGGACCTCCACTCTCATTGGAAAATAGAAAGACACATCACATGGGCAAATAGGTACAGTACTCAGTCAGCACTGCGAGCAGGGACCTGCCTGGATCTTAATCTCTATCTTTCCCTTGTACAGTGAATGGCAGGACCTGTGTGTTCAGCAAAGGCTGGCCGATAAATGAAGGACCATTCTAGCTTGGGGAATGAAGACACATTGGCCACTTTATCCCTAGTGCACTGAATATGCATAGTGCAAAGATTCTTTCCTCCTAGACACTGGAACAAATGGCAGAGATGAGACTGGAAGATGCACCACTCAAACTTCCTCGCCACAGATCACAGCTTTGCTTTTAAGGGAAAAGTGTCATAGAAGCCAAAAATGAGATCAGAGCACTCCACATATAAAAAGTTTCAAAAGAGTTTGAATTTTAAAGATTAAATTGAATTAAATGATGACAACCTCATGGGGGAATTCATGAAGAACAAGTGGGGATATTTCAAATGGTATCAGTACACTGTACTGTCTGGATCTCCCTCTCCTAATTCAGCTATGCGAATGCAAAACTCAGCAGAACAGGAGTCTGTATTTCCATAGGATTCATTTTTTATGCAATAAAAATAAGAGAATTCCCCCTGAAGTTGCACCTGCTCCAAGGCAGTTTCATGCACAAATCATTCAGACTGCTTCTTAGGATACCAGAATTTGCAAGGGAAGAAAAAAAGTTTGTTAAGTCTCTTCTTCGTGCCCCCTGATGCCTTCATTTTGGGGGTTGATTTCTGGTAATATTGTCTTGTGTACATGTTTCTATGAAAAAGTTTTTCTTTAGGCCCTCCTGTGAAATGCAGAAGGAGGTGTTTGCAATAAAGGTTTCTTGAACTTTTAAATTACTGCATAATTTCTGAAATTCTTATATTAATATACACATTAGATAGAAATCACAGACATAAGGAGAAATAGCTCTGACCTAACAATTGAGATAAATTGTTTCTAATCCTGGGATACCCACAAATTTGCTGTGTGAGTGATATTCAAAGACATCTAATGACTTGCCCAAAATTTCACTTGTGACACGTGTGTGTGTGTGTGTGTGTGTGTGTGTGTGTGTGTGTGTGTGTGTGTGTTATGGACAGAATGGTTGTTAGAATAAACAGCATCTGTAAGGAGGATTCCTGGCCAAAATGGCCAAATAGGAACAGCTCCGATCTGCAGCTCCCAGCGAGACCAATGCAGAAGGTGGGTGATTTCTGCATTTCCAACTGAGGTACACAGTCCGTCTCACTGGGACTGGTTAGACAGTGGGTGCAGCCCATGGAGGGTGAGCAGAAGCAGGGTGGGGCATCACCTCACTCAGGAAGCACAAGGGGTCACGGAACTCCCTCCCCTGGCCAAGGGAAGCCATGAGGGACTGTGCCGTGAGGGACAATGCTATCCAGCCCAATACTAGGCTTTTCCCACGGTCTTCACAACCCACAGACCAGGAGATTCCCTTGGGTGCCTATATCACCAGGTCCCTGGCTTTCAAGCACAAAACTGGGTGGCCATTTGGGCAGACACCAAGCTAGCTGGAGGAGTTTTTTATCATACCCCAGTGCTTCCTGGAACACCAGTGAGACAGAACTGTTCACTCACCTGGAAAGGAGGCTGAGGCCAGGGAGCCAAGTGGTCTTGCTCAGCGGAGCCCATCTCCATGGAGCCCAATAAGCTAAGATCTACTGGCTTAAAGTTCTGGCTGCCAGCACAGCCGTCTGAAGTTGACCTGGGATGCTCAAGCTTGGTCAGGGGAGGGGTGATCGCCATTACTGAGGCTTGAGTACGTGGTTTTCCCCTCACAGTGTAAACAAAGCCACAGGGAAGCTCAGACTGGGCGGAGCCCATGGCAGCACGGCCAAGCCACTGCAGCCAGACTGCCTCTCTAGATTCCTTCTCTCTGGGCAGGGCATCTCTGAAAGAAAGGCAGCAGCCCCAGTCAGGGGCATATAGATAAAACTCCCATCTCCCTGAGACACAGCACCTTTGGGAAGGGGCGGCTGTGGGCGCAGCTTCAGCAGAATTAAACGTTCCTGCCTGCTGGCTCTGAAGACAGCAGTGGATCTCCCAGCACAGCGCTCAAGCTCTGCTAAGGGACAGACTGCCTCATCAAGTGGGTCCCTCACCCCCGTACCTCCTGACGGGGAGACACCTCCCAGCAGAGGTCGATAGACACCTCATACAGGAGAGCTCTGACTGGCATCTGGTGGGTGCCCCTCTGGGACCAAGCTTCCAGAAGAAGAAGCAGGCAGCAATCTTTGCTGTTCTGCAGCCTTCACTGGTGATACCCAGGCAAACAGGGTCTGGAGTGGACCTCCAGCAAACTCCAGCAGACCTGCAGAAGAGGTGACTGACTGTTAGAAGAAAAACTAACAAACAGAAAGGAATAGCATCGACATAAACAAAAAGGACGACAACGCAAAAACCCCAACTGAAGGTCACCAACATCAAATACCAAAGGTAGAGAAATCCATGAAGAGGAGGAAAAACCAGCGCGAAAAGGCTGAAAATTCCAAAAACCGGAATTCCTCTTCTCCTCCAAAGGATCACAACTCCTCACCAGCAAGGGAACAAAACTGGATGGAGAATGAGTTTGACAAATTGACAGTAGGCTTCAGAAGGTGGATAATAACAAAATCCTCTGAGCTAAAGGAGCATGTTCTAACCCAATGCAAGGAAGCTAAGAACTTTGATAAAAAGTTATAGGAACTGCTAACTAGAATAACCAGTTTAGAGAAGAACATAAATGACCTGATGGAGCTGAAAAACACAGCACAAGAACTTTGTGAAGCATATACAAGTATCAATAGCTGAAGCAATCAAGCAGAAGAAGGGGTATCAGAGATTGAAGATCAACTTAATGAAATAAAGAATGAAGACAAGATTAGAGAAAAAAGAATGAAAAGAAACGAACAAAACCTCCAAGAAATATGGGACTATGTGGAAAGACCAAACATACGTTTGATTGGTGTACCTGAAAGTGACAGGAAGAATGGAACCAAGTTGGAAAACACACTTCAGGATATTATCCAGAAGAACTTCCCCAACCTAGCAAGGCAGGCCAACATTCAAATTCAGGAAATACAGAGAACACCACAAAGATACTCCTCAAGAAGGGCAACCCCAAGATACATAATCGTCAGATTCACCAAGGTTGAAATGAAGGAAAAAATGTTAAGGGCAGCCAGAGAGAAAGGTCAGGTTACCTACAAAGGAAAGCCCATCAGACTAACAGCGGATCTCTCTGCAGAAACCCTACAAGCCAGAAGAGAGTGGGGGCCAATAGTCAACATTCTTAAAAAAAAAAAAATTCAACCCAGAATTTCATATCCTGCCAAACTAAGCTTTGTAAGCAAAGGAGAAATAAAATCCTTTACAGACAAGCAAATGCTGAGAGATTTTGTCACCACCAGGCCTTCCCTAAAAGAGCTCCTCAAGGAAGCACTAAATATGGAAAGGGAAAACTAGTAACAGCCACTGCAAAAACATACCAAAATGTAAAGACCATCGACACTATGAAGAAACTGCATCAACTAATGAGCAAAGTAACCAGCTACCATCATAACAACAGGATCAAATTCACACATAACAGTATTAACCTTAAATGTAAATGCACTAAATGCCCCAATTAAAAGATACAAACTGGCAAATTGGATAAAGAGTCAAGACCCACTGGTATGCTGTATTCAGGAGACCCACTTCACATGCAGAGACACACATAGGCTTAAAATAAAGGGATGGAGGAAAATTAACCAAGTAAATAGAAAGTAAAAAAAGCAGGGCTTGCAGTAGTCTCTGATAAAACAGACTTTAAACCAATAAAAGTCAAAAAAGACAAGGAAGGGCATTACATAATGGTAAAGGGATCAATGCAACAAGAAGAGCTAACTATCCTAAATATGTATGCACCCAATACAGGAGCACCCAGATTCATAAAGCAAGTTCTTAGAGAACTACAAAGAGACTTAGACTCCCACACAATAATAGTGGGATACTTCAACATCTCACTGTCAATATTAGACAGATGAAGGAGACATAAAATTAACAAGGATATTCAGGACTTGAACTCAGCTCTGGACCAAGTGGACTTAATAGGCATCTACAGAACTCTCCACCCCAAATCAACAGAATATACATTCTTCTCAGCACTACATAGCACTTATTCTAAAATTGACCACATAATTGGAGTAAAACGCTCCTCAGCAAATGCAAAAGAACGGAAATTAAAGCGAACAGTCTCTCAGACCACGGCACAATCAAATTAGAACTCAGGATTAAGACACTCACTCAAAACTGCACAACTACATGGAAACTGAACAACCTGCTCCTGAATGACTACTGGGTAAATAATGAAATTAAGGCAGAAATAAGTAAGTTCTTTGAAACCAATGAGAACAAAGGCACAATGTACCAGAATCCCTGGGACAAAGCTAAAGCAGTATTTAGACGGACATTTATGGCACTAAACACCCACATGAGAAAGCAAGAAAGGTCTAAGGTTGACACCCTAACTTCACAATCAAAAGAACTAGAAAAGCAAGAGCAAATACATTCAAAAGCTAGCAGAAGACAGTAAATAATTAAGATCAGAGCAGAACTGAAGGAGATAGACACACAAAAAACCCTTCAAAAATCAATGAATCCAGGAGCTGGTTTTTTTTAAAAGATTAACAAAATAGATAGACCACTAACCAGACTAATAAAGAAGAAAAGAAAAAAGAATCAAATAGACACAATAGAAAATGATAAAGGGGATATCAACACTGATCCCACACAAAATACACACTACCATCAGAGAATATTATAAACACCTCTATGCAAATAAACTAGAAAATCTGGAAGAAATGGATAAATTCCTGGACACATACACCCTCCCAAGACTAAACCACGAAGAAGTCAAATCCCTGAATAGACTAATAACAAGTTCGGAAATTGATACAGTAATTAATAGCCTACCAACCAAAAAAAAGCCCAGGACCAGACGGATTCACAGCCAAATTCTACCAGAGGTACAAAGAGGAGCTGGTACCATTCCTTCTAAAACTATTCCAAACAATAGAAAAAGAGGGAATCCTCCCTAACTCATTTTTGAGGCCAGCATCATCCTGATACCAAAACCTAGCAGAGACACAACTAAAAAAGAAAATTTCAGGCCAATATCCCTGATGAACATTGATGCAAAAATCCTCAATAAAATACTGGCAAACTGAATACAGCAGCAGATCAAAAAGCTTATCCACCATGATCAACTCGGCTTCAACTCTGGGATGTAAGGGTGGTTCAACACATGCAAATCAATAAACATAATACATCACATAAACAGAATCAGTGACAAAAACCACATGATTATCTCAATAGATGCAGAAAAGGCCTTTGATAAAATTCAACACCCCCTCATGCTAAAAACACTCAATAAACTAGGTATTGATGGGACGTATCTCAAAATAATAAGAGCTATTTATGACAAACCCACAGCCAATATCACACTGAATGGGCAAAAGCTGGAAACATTCCCTTTGAAAACTGGCACAAGACAAGGATGCCCTCTCTCACCACTCCTATTCAACATAGTATTGGGAGTTCTTGCCAGGGCAATCAGGCAAGAGAAAGAAATAAAGCATATTCAATTAGGAAGAGAGGAAGTCAAATTATCTGTTTGCAGATGACATGACTGTATATTTAGAAAATCCCATTGCCTCAGCCCAAAAACTCCTTAAGCTGATAAGCAACTTCAGCAAAGTCTCAGGATACAAAAATCAATGTGCAAAAATGCACAAGCATTCCTATACACCAATAATAGACAAACAGAGAGCCAAATCATGAGTGAACTCCCATTCACAATTGCTTCAAAGAGAATAAAATACCTAGGAATCCAACTGACAAGGGGTGTGAAGGACCTCTTCAAGGAGAACTACAAACCACTTCTCAAGGAAATAAGAGAGGACACAAACAAATGGAAAAACATTCCATAGTCATGGATAAGAAGAATCAATATTGTGAAAATGGCCATACTGCCCAAAGTAATTTATAGATTCAATGCCATCCCCATCAAGCTACCACTGACTTTCTTCACAGAATTAGAAAAAACTACTTTAAATTTCATATGGAACCGAAAAAAGAGCCCATATAGCCAAGACAATCCTAAGCAAAAAGAATAAAGCTGGAGGCATCATGGTACCTGACTTCAAACTATAAGGCTACAGTAACCAAAACAGCACGGTACTGTTACCAAAACAGATATATCAACCAATGAAGCAGAACAGAGGCCTCAGAAGTAACACTGCACAACTACAACCATCTGATCTTTGACAAACCTAACAAAAACAAGCAATGGGGAAACGATTACCTATTTAATAAATGGTGTTGGGAAAACTGTCTAGCCATATGCAGAAAACTGAAACTGGACGTTTTCCTTACACTTTATACAAAAATTAACTTAAGATAAAGATTTAAATGTAAGACCTAAAACCATAAAAACCCTAGAAGAAAACCTAGGCAATACCATTCATGACATAGTCATGGGCAAAGTCTTCCTGACTAAAACGCCAAAAGCAATTGCAACAAAAGCCAAAATTGACAAATGGGATCTAATTAAAGAGCTTCTGCACAGCAAAAACAAAACAAAGCAAAACAAAAAACAACTACCATCAGAGTGAACAGGGAGAAAATTTTTGCAATCTATCCATCTGACAAAGGGCTAATATCCAGAATCTACAAGGAACCTAAACAAATTTACAAGAAAAAAACAACCCCATCAAAAAGTGGGCAAAGGATATGAACAGACACTTTTCAAACGAAGACATTTATGCAGCCAACAAACATATGAAAAAAATCTCACCATCACTGGTCATTAGAGAAATACAAATCAAAACCACAATGAGATACCATCTCACACCAGTTAAAATGGCGATCATTAAAAAGTCAGGAAACAACAGATGCTGGAGAGGATGTGGGGAAATAAGAACGCTTTTACACTGTTGGTGGGAGTATAAATTAGTTCAACCATTGTGGAAGACAGTGTGGTGGTTCCTTAAGGATCTAGAACTAGAAATATCACTTGACCCAGCAATCCCATTACTGGGTATATACCCAAAGGATTATAAATCATTCCATTATAAAGACACATGCACACGTATATTTATTGTGGCACTATTCACAATAGCAAAGACTTGGAACCAACCCAAATGCCCATCAATGACAGACTGGATAAAGAAAATGTGGCACATATACACCATGGAATACTATGCAGCCATAAAAAGAATGAGTTCGTGTCCTTTTCAGGGACATGGATGAAGCTGGAAACCATCATTCTCAGCAAACAAACAGGAACAGAAAACCAAACACCATGTGTTCTCACTCATAGGTGGGAGTTGAACAATGAGAACAAATGGGCACAGTGAGGGGAACATCACACACTGGGGTCTGTCGGGGGTGGGGGACAAGGGGAGGGATAGCATTAGGAGAAATACCTAATGTAGATGACGGGTTGATGGGTGAAGCAAACCACCATGGCACATGTATACCTACATAACAAACTGCACATTCTGCAACATGTATCCCAGAACTTAAAGTATAATAAAAAAAGTAAAATCAGGACAAAAAGAAAGAATGAGGCTGGGGCCTGGAGAAAGAAAGATAAACAGCTCGGGTACTTCTCATAAGGAGCTGGTGACCTAGAGACACATGCACATAAAGCTGTTATAATAAATGTGATATAATAGAGGGAGAAAGACCACTGAAGCCCAGTACTGATTGTGGCAAAGGCCGCTGCTGTCAGCCACAGCTGTGCACCTCCTCTTCCCTAGTGTAACTTTGCTGCTAGGTAGCAGCTTCCCAGCCTGGGACTATACTTCCAGCGGCATCTCTTGCACACAAACGTAGTCATGGTCAAATTTTGTAATAAAAGCTGATCAAAGCAAAGGTCAACACACACACACACACACACACACCCCTATTGGTACCTACTTAATGCAAATGCCACCTACCAT
This sequence comes from Homo sapiens, assembly GCF_000001405.40. Classification (NCBI taxonomy): domain Eukaryota; kingdom Metazoa; phylum Chordata; class Mammalia; order Primates; family Hominidae; genus Homo; species Homo sapiens. Next base: position 153,977,159 of record NC_000007.14, on the reverse strand, counting down.
GTTAACCTTTGGGCCAAGAGGAGTCTAGAGACTCCTAAAGAGAAAAAAAAGAAAGAAAACATGAAGATTTCTGTATTTAAGGCTCTTTGGTGACATGAAAAAGAGCCAGGAGCTCCTGCAGCTTAGAAGAAGTGTGCAGAATGAAAAGTGGGGCTACCGTGCACAGCAGAGCAGAGGGTGCTATCCCCTGAGCAGGACCACGGCTCACCCCGACCCTGAGGTCCCAGGCCACAGAGCCGCGTGGCAAGGCTGAGCTCTCCTGGTGGAGCATGAGGTGTGAGGGAGGGGCCCAGTGGCAGCCCCGATGTCCCTTCCATCTCTTCAGAATGCTTAGGATCATGCCTCCCCTGACTTAGAAATAAAGTCCAGCAATCAAGTCCCCATGGGCATCCTCTTGATGAATTACACTCCCTCCTTTTATGTCAGATGTTCCTTAATGCTTCATTGTGACTTCCAGGCAGGTGAGCTTTTGAAAATATTCATTTTCTTCCTTCTTCATGAAAATCATTTCTTGCCCTCCCAACCTGATTCAACATCAGATCTTTGACTTTCACTATAACACTATTTCTCAGTATGTTTCAATAGAAGTTGCAGTTCTTACTGTTTTTGGCAAAATACATTTTTCCATTATCAGTGTTTAAACGTACGAGTGCAGTTTTAGCGAAATATCTTCATGATGACTTCTGGATCCCTGGAGGGATAATAAGACTGAAACACCACAGGAAGCTTTACTTTAAACCAGGGTTGGCTCTTGATGGAGTGGTATGCAGTTGGTTCTTCGTGTTTCTGTTGTTAGCTGGATCAGATTTCCACACTGTTGTCTGTTAGAGAAATGCGCCCAAGGAGATGTATAAAGCTGTCTCAGACGTTTCAGTGTTTAAGACTAGAGAACACTGGGTTTGCTGGTTCCCTCACATTCTACACTCTCCCCTGTATCTCTGGGGATCCTGGCTTCTTTTTCTTTCAATACAGACTTCTTTTATTACAGGTTTGCAGTACACCCTCTCCTTCACCCTTACTCAGGTTTGCAGTTCACCCTCCCCTTCACCCTTCCCAGTTCATGTCCAAGTCCAAGCACAGCCTAAGACCTCACACACTGCAGGTAATAATAACAGTAACAGTAGCAACAAGAATGATAGTAAATGAAATTTACTGAGCATTTTCTACATGCCAGGCACTTGTTAAAGAGCTTTTCAATTAGCCACTCATTTAATTGTAATAATAACCATGTGAAATAGATATTATCATCCCCATCCTACACATGGAAAGACTGAGGCTAAGAGAGGTTTCATAAGTTGCCTCCGACCTCACATTGAGTGACGGCTAGAGCCATTATTTGATTTCAAGCTTTTTGACTTCAAAGTCTCTATTCAATGTCTATGCTATATTGCTTTTGTCATATTTTCCTTTTTTCTTGAAGGATTTGCAATTAAGATGTAAAGAAAACTATTATCTTGACTTCCAGTTCATGTTTTACCATTTTGATATTAAGCCAAAGTAATAACATTCTTATTTTGACCAAGGTCTTACAGGGAAATTTTAGGTATGACTTACTCTACCAAGTAAAAAAAAAAAATAGAACTCTCATTGCAGTATTTTCTTTTTTTTTTTTAGAAAATATACCATAGTTTTCTCTCTTAGTTCAAGTTGCCTTAATTCCCTGTAGACCCATAACAAGGAGACTTGCTGTGAAACTTGCAAGGCCACTGGGTAAAATGATCCCCACTTTCCTGAAACATAACTGTTTTGGTAAAATTTCTCTAATAGAGAGTCTAGAAAATCTTTGTAGGCTTAAGTTCCCAGGTACTCTGTGGGGGTGGGTGGGGGGTCCTGTTTCTAACGATCTATCCCCAGGGCTTACACCTAGGGGTGGTTTCACAGAAGACTCCTTTCATAAGTGAAATAATTTTTTTTTTTTAAACTAAGAATTCTTGCTTTTTTTGCATTTGATATTTCTTCCACTACATTTTCTTTGTTTGGCTATACACCCGAATTCCCCAGTCCTAGCAAATTTAAGATTCCCACTATGTACCTAGATTTACGTCTCATGGGTACTCCAGTGCCTACTGCTCTGGCTGGTACGTAGTAGGTATTTAGTATTTGCTAAGTAAAGAGGAACATTGAATTAATTGAATTGGATTCCCTGAAACAGGATTCGAAGCCTTAGCCAAATGTGAGCCCTCGCTTGGACATGGTCGAAGAAGCCAGCGCATTAGGAAGGATTAGCTTCATTTCCAGCCAGAAAAACACTCCAGAGTGACAACTTAGTTGAGTCCTGCTGCAGGCTTGGTTCTGGTTTGCTGCATGCAGGGCTGCTCTCTCTGGCTGAACTGGGCACAGAGATTGTGCAGCAAAGTAAACAGCTGACTGCCTTGCACCAGAGTCTCTCTGATGACACAGCGCTTGACTTCAAGTGTCAACAAACGGACCCTGAAATGAGACTAGATGTGAAACAAAGGACAGAATGTTCAAGCACTTTGCAACCGACCCTCAGGGCCCTGTGTTGGAGTCAGTGAGCCTTGGAGACAACAGGAGAGAATCCAAAAGAAAGAGGAATTGTGGAAGATTTTCTCGCTTAAGTTAACTGGAATACTCTTGTGTTTGTATTTGACTTTTTCTGTTCCCCTCTTTCTCTTGCACATTGACACATTCCCATACATTTATGATTCGGAATCAGGAAAGGGACTGCAGGCTCTGAAAGCTGAAAGAGATCATCTAACCCAAACCCTTCTTTTTTGGGGTCACAAATAAATAAGTACATTTAAAATACTTTATTCATTAGGAACTAAATCTCTGAAAATACGAAGCTCCATGGTCACAATTCCACATGGGAAACGAGAGAGTTGCCACTGCAGAGCAAGATGAAGCATGCTTGCCGGGCATCTGCCACACACTGAATGAGCCCACTGTCTATAAGAAAGTTACTACAAAAGGTGCAAGTGGCTTACCTGAAACACCCCATCAAGGATGCCATCCTGCAGTGCCTTAAATAGGCCCAACAAGTGCTTTGTGCTTTGCCTTGGACAGAAAAAGCCCACGGATTCTCATAAAGAAAGGCTTTTTTAAGACGGTCAGGCTCCAATGTGCCCGATCCTTTGCAGATGATTGGACCTGCATAGGTAAGTCCCCCTTCTGAGCACCTTGTCTGTGGTATGTTCACGGTTGTCTGCAGGACTAACAAGGATGGCTAAGGGTTCATCGGGTAAAACTTTTAAAATTGCCAAAATGAAGCTACACCAGCCTTTCCCTAAGAACTCCTGCCTTCTAAAACCAGATGTAGATTAAGACAAGAGTTGCAGCTTCTATACTAAAAATGAACAGTGCAAAATATTACAGGTACTCTTTCCTGAACACATTATACATTAAAGTTTCTGTAGTCCACACTCTGTTCTGAACCACCAGGAAGAATCCTCAGAAGACTTGTGAGACCACAGCGCTCTCTCTGGAGCAATACGAGAAGAGACTGAAACATCCTACCATTAGACACACACACACACACACACACACACACACACACACACACACACGAGCGATGGTGAACACGTTACTCTAAGTGCCGGATTCCCCACCAGACTCCCACCCCTGTTGCTTGACCCAGGACTAGAGATGGATTCATGGATTGACTTAAGCTGTGAGTTAGCTTACCATAATAGGAAAAAGAAAATGGATGAAGACTGCCCAGGAATTCCTCCCCAATCTTGCCCACGGGACCTCCACATAGTCCATTTTAGATTATGCCTACTTGGCCGCATTTTACTGAATGTTTGAAAAGAATTGCTTGATTCAGGTCGGACAACGGCTTAACCTTTCTAGACTTCCATCAGCTCTGAGTGTCTCATGCCACACCACAAAATTCTGCAGCAGCGTTTAATTCTGCATGTGACTAATGTCTGTTTATTTCAGAGAGGAAGAAAAGCCAAGGAGAGTGAGCCTTATATAAAGAATGAATGCTTAAATAAAATACCAACAACGAGAAAGCAGAAAACCATATCCGTTTTATTGTAGTTTTTTTTTCTTTCCACACTTTTCACTAAAAAATTTTTGCGACTTGTATTAATATGTTTTCAATTATTTATTAAAGTAAACCTACTTTCCTCTATGAACTAATTCAAACCAAAACAATGCCTATTTACACAAGACCTAATTTCTAAAGGCACCGTTACATCTAACCCACTTTTAGACTAAATTAAATTATTAAGACATAAAACATACTAAGTAGATTTATAGTCCTCCCTCTTTTTAAATAAATTCCTAAATGTCTTCACGTGGTCTATTTTATGTGAGTTTCACAAAATCCTGGAAGATAACAGAAGTAGACTATTTTACACATGGCAATACTAATACAATACTGAGGCTCAGAGATAACAAATTACCTGATCAAATTCATTCCAAAAAAAAAAAAAGTTGCAATTTACTAAGTTGCTACCATGTGCCTTGATTGGCAGTTCCCAGTATTAGTGCCTGGAGTGACTGTCCACAATTCTGACAATTCTGAACATAGCACATGTCCACGGGCACTTCCCAACTGCCACTGTACTACCAAGTGAGATCAAACCCTCCTGCCCCTCAGCTCCTTAGAAGAATTGCAGCTTGTCTGAAGATACTGGAAGTACTAGAGCATGCTGCCTAAATTGCTTCAGTCTGTAAATACTTCAATATTGGTAGGCATCTCAGAGCCAGCTCAGTGACCTCACATAAGACAGGTCAGAATCAGCTTAGAGGAGCTAGCCCCATGCTTCACACAAATAGGTTCACGTCAGTTTCCCAAGCATAGCTTTCACAGAACACTGGTGCCTGGGATTTTGACTTAGTGTTTGTGAGGCAAAACAGCATCAGTGTTTTCCTAGACACTCCCCAGGTCAACCTAATGTGTGATGGAGAAACATCAACCCCAGAATGGTGGTCCCAGCCTCATGCGCTACCTAGGGCTTGCCATTTCTGTCCTTCACTCCTCCTAGAGCACATCTGCCTCTGGGAGTTTCTCTCATGCACGCTTCCTTCATGAAATCAGAGACACAAGATCAGTGTGATAGTAAACCTACAGATTTCTGTTTCTCAGCATAAAGGAATAACAGGGACTAGATTTACTCTCCTTTCTACAATAAGAACATAGGAAAAATACACGAATGATGTGTTTTAGACTTTGGACAACAGGCAGTACAAGAGAGTCATCTGTAATAGACAGGAAACAAACATTTGAGCTTACGAGGGCCCCAGCTCACTGCCTAGAGAAAGCTTCCAGACCACAGCCTAAGAAAGGAGATTGAGATAAGACCTGGTGGCCTAATGAACTGAGGACACAAAGCCCAGAGTTCCAGGAGTTCGGTAAAGCTAGACGTTATGGAGCAGGGTGTTGGAGAGGAGGTGCTTCACAGAAGACCTGAGCTCTAGAGACCTGCAGCACAGTCCTATGGGACCTTTAGCTCAATACTTATCTGTGTAAAAATGTGAGTGTGAAATGAACAAACACTAAATAATCACACGTCAAAATTCATAGAACGCATGCAAGGAAGTGCTAAGAGGAAATTTATGGCATTTTCCATAACCCAGGAACTCTCATAACCTGCCAAAAGATATCTGCCAAATGATATCTATGAGAAACTGACAAGTAACATACTGAATGGATGAATACTGAACACTTTTCCCCTTAGATCTAGAACCCAGGCAGAGATTTAATCTCTCACACTTCTAGTCATCATTTTACTGGCAGTCCTAGCCAGTGTAACAAGGTAGGAAAAGGAAATAAAAGCAGTAAAAATCAGAAATTAGTAAGTAAAACTGGCTTGATTTGCAGATAAAATGAACAGCTATGTAGAAAATCCTAAGAAATGTATGGAAAAACTACAAAATCAATAAAACAGTTCAGCAAATTTGTAGGATAAAAAGTCAATTTACAAAAATAAATAATATTTCTGTATACTAACAATTGGAAATAGTAAGTTAAAAATTCATAACACATTTTGAATAATCTTAAAAATATAATCTCAGTGATAAACTTTAAAAAATATGTGATATTGGTAAAAATTTAAAATACCTAAATAAAGAGATCTACACGCAAATACACTTAATGTTACTAACATGCCAATTCTCCCAAAATTGATGTATAGAGTTAATGCAATCTTAATATTCTAAGTGGATTTTCTGCAGAAATCGTCAAACTTATTCTAAAATTTATATTGAAACATAAGTAATCTAGAATAGCCAAAACAATTTTAAAGAGGAAGAAAATCTGAAGACTTAAACGACCTGATTTTAAGTCTTTTTAAAAGTTACAGTAATCAAGACTGTAATAATGTTGCAAAGGTAGTCAAATAGATCAATGGAACAGAATAGAGTCCAGAAACAGACCCATCCATCAGTAGCAAATTCATTTTCAATAAAAGTGCAAGTAAAAGCAACTCCATGGAGACAATCACCATTTCAACATAACATGAACAAACTGGACATCCACATACCAGCAGAAATGATCCTTGATCTTTACTTTATACCATCTACAAAATTTAACATGAACTGTATTACAGAGCTAAATGTGCAAATTAAAACTACAAAATTTCTAGAAACAAACAAAATAAAGCTTAATGACCTTGGCTGAGACAAAACTTTCTTAAATAGAGTATGACAGTCAAAATCACAAAAGAAAAAAGTTGATAAATTAGACTTGGTGAAAATTAAAAGACTCGGCTCTTCAAAAGGCACTATTAAGATTGTTAAAGAAATGACAGCAAGCCACATATTGGAATAAGCTATCTGAAAAACATTTATTTGACAGTATATATTTAGAGATCTTACAATTCAATAATAGGAAGGCAATGTCCAATAATAAACTGGTCAAGGAGCTGGGTGATCCTTTTGTCAGTGAAGTTACAGGTGGCAAATAAATACACAAAAAGATACTCATCATTTGTCACAATCTGCCAGTTTCTAATAACGTTAAACATAAACTTATCATATGACCAGTAATTCTACTAAATATTTTGCTAAAAGAATAAAAATTTTCACAGAATTGCCTATGCATGAGTGTTCATAGCTTTATTCAAATTAGCTAAGAACAGGAAACAACCCAAATGTCCATCAACTGTTGAATGGATCAACACGCTGAGTTATGTCCATATAACGAAATTCTACATAATAATAACAAAGAATTGAACTACTGATAAGCATGCAACAACACGGATGAATCTTGAAGGTATTGTACTGAGAAGGAGGCCAGACCCAAATGATAGGTACTCCATGATTCCATTTATATGAAATTCTAGAAAGGGACTTAACCACAGTGTTAGAAAGCAGAGCACTGATTTCCAAGGGCTGGGGTGTAAAGGAATGGACTGACTGTAAAAAGATAGAGGGAAGCTGTTTTTAAGGATGAAATTGTTTTGTATCATAATCGTGCTTACATGACTACACATTTTTTCAAAGCTCATTAAACTGCACTCTTAAATTAGAGAATGTGAATGAATGCATACTGTATCTCAATAAAGAGGACACAAAAAAGTATAGAAAAATTTAAGAAAGAGAGGGAGAGCAGTAGAATATGAACTTACTGTGCAATGAAGGAAAACAATCTCAGGGGAAAGTCCAGTCACCAAGGTATCCTGACTTAGGTAACTTTCTGTCAAAGTTTTGGGGAATATGATGTGATTTAATGAGTTTATCTCTGAAATATGATGCATCTGTTAGAAGCAAAGTTCAAGTAACACTATTAAAGCTTAAAAGCAAAGAAAGTAATTTTAAAAATAAGCAATAGGATGAGAAATTTATCCCAAAAAGCCGCTCTTCTGTTAAAGCAGCTCGAACAAAACTGTCAAAATCACCCTCCTCAGAACTCTGCAAAATAACCAAAGGCTTACAAGAATCTGAGGAGTATTTATTCAAGAAAAAAAAAATGGCTGAATCTTAGCCAGGACAGGAGCTACACCACTTGGGAGCTATACTCACCACCTGGGAGAGATTTGTGTCATTCTAACGTGGCAAGGTACCAACCTTCTCCCTCTAGTTCATCAGGTTAAACATGGAGTTACCACATGACTCAGGAATTCCACTCTTAGATATCTACCCAAGAGAAACAAAAACATGTCCACACAAAAGCACGTACACAAATATTCATAGTAGCACTACTCATAATAGCCACAAAGTGGAAAGAACCCCAATGTCCACCATTGATCAACAGATAAATAAAATGTGGTAAATACACCCAATGGGATGGCTCAGTCATAAAAAGCAATGAAGTACTGACATGCTACTACATGAATGAACCTTGAAAACATCACGCTGTGTGAAAGAAGCCAGCCATGAAAGATGACACCATGTACGATTCCACTTATATGGAATGATAGTTGCGCGGAATGATAGTTGTTTTTGGTTATACTACAGCGATGGCTATTTAGGAATACACGGAGGCATGAGGGTCAGGCATTGAAGTTTTAGGGAGTGTCCTAGTGGGCTTAGCAATGGAAGTGGCATTAGTTTGGTGGGTGGCAGAGTATGATGGAGTGGTGGTAGGAAATTCATAGAAACTAAAACAATAGTGGTTTTCAGGAGCTAGGGGACAGGGTAGACGGGGAATAACTGCTAATAGGTTTGAAGTTTCTCTTCTGAGGTGATAAAAATATTCTAAACTTAGGTCATGATATAGGTTGCATAGCTCTCTGGATATGCTAAAAACCAAAATATTGTAGCTTTAAAAATGTCCATTTTTCACAAAAGGTCTGATATCCACAATCTACAAGGAATTTAAAATAAACAAGCAAAAAGCAAATAACCACATTAAAAAGTGGACAAAGAATATGAACAGACATGTCTCAAAAGAAGACATACAAGCAGCCAACAAACATATGAAAAAATGCTGAACATCACTCATCATCAGGGAAATGCAAATCAAAACCACAATGACATACCGTCTCATGCACAATGAGATACCAACTCGATGGTTTTTTTAAAAAGTCAAATAACAACAAATGCTGTCAAGGCTACAGAGCAAAGCTCACACACTGTCAGTGGGAGTGTATGATAATCCCAGCCACTGTGAAGAGCAGGCTCAAAGAACTAAGAGTTGAAATACCATTCGACCCAGCAATCCCACTACTGGGTATATATCCAAAGGAAAATAAATAATTCTACCAAAAGATACGTGTATGCATATGTTCCTTGCAGCACTACTCACAATAGCAAAAACATGGAATCAACCCAGGTGCCCACCAATGGTGAACTGGATAAAGAAAATGTGGTACATATACACCATGGAATACTACACGGCCATAAAAAAAGAATGAAACCATACCCTTTACAGATAGGACTCACTAACTCAGCTGTTTTTCTCAGAGTCCTCTATCTATATCTTTAAATTCATTATTCCTCATCTGATTCCTGTTCCTAAACTCTAGCAACCCTAGACGTGAGCTCATTAATAGTTTGTGAAAGAGAATTAAAACTATCTCGCATGCACACAGGACAAATTCCATGAAGCACCACCAACAGTGTATCACAGGCAGCTCTCAAGCTCGCAAAAGGAAATCAGAGAGAGACACTGATGTTAGGTTGGACACGAGCTTTGTAACAGCTGAACAGCCCTGTGTTCGACGAGCCAGAGAAACACCCCCGAGGTCAGCTAATGGACTAGTCACAGCAACAATGTGACAACGGACCAACTCTCCCTCCCCAATCACTACAAGGCAGGCTTGGTAATTCTACGGAGTTGTTGTAACTACTGCACTGCAAGCTGCTGTCCTGTCAGGCTGAAGTTAGATGCTCCTTGTTCATGCTCCGGCCTCTTTTCCACAGTGGCTCCTAGGAGCTCCTGGAGTTCAAACTGCAAGGCCATCTCCTTCAGAGAAACTGAGAGCTAAGTCACATATCGTGCTGAGCTTATCAGGGATGGGAAAATGCATTGGACCTGGAATATGACCCCAACTGCAAATCTAAACACAAGCCCAAAGCCACCAGCATCCCCAGCACAGGATGGGCAGTGTCATGCAGGCAGGATGAACCCTGACCACACTCTAACATTTCCCCTCACCTTTGACTACTGGATCTCTTTAGCATCTGCTTCTGACCTAGAGATTTTTTTTTTATCTTTTGTGTTTGTTTGTTTGTTTGTGAGACAGGGTCTTGCCCTGTCACTCAGACCGGAGTGCTGTGGCACCATCAGGGCACACTGCAGTCTTGACCTCCATGGGCTCAGTGATCTTCCCACCTCAGCCTCCCAAGTAGCTGGGACTACAGGCAGATGACACTAAGCTCAGCTCATTTTTCTATTTTTGGTAGAGATGGGGCTTTTCCATGTTGCTCAGGCTGGACTTGAATTTGCGAGCTCAAGTGATCTGCCTGTCTCAGCCTCCCAAAGTGCTGGGATTACAGGCATGAGCCACCACCAAGCCTGGCCAAGAGATTTCTTATTTTAAGGTAAATGAGGCTTGTCATTTTGTTCCATACTTCTACTCATAGTATTTTGTTTTTACAAGTCTCACATCCTTAAAAAGCCAACACATGTATACATATGTAACAAACCTGCACGTTGTGCACATATACTGTAAAAATTAAAGTATAATTTTTTAAAAAAAAAGGGCTATATGCAGTAAAAAAAAAAAAAAAAAAAAAAAAAAAAAAAAAGCCAACACAGGACAGACCGTTTAATTACTTCCTTCTCTGGAGCAGGAGGAGAGGAAGATGAACGGGAGAAGGGGCCAAGGCGGGAGGTAAAGGGCTGGGGAGACAGCAGAGGGAAGACGAGGGGAATGAAGACCCTTCTCTCTCTTTCACCACTGACAGCTGGTGCCTCCCCTGCAAGGGTGAGGATGCGTGTTTTCTCTTAGAAAAAGTTACTGAGTCACAAACACCAGGCCCATTTACACACACATGAACACATGCACAAACATGAACACGTGCACAAACACACAAAGCAATTGCTGACTTCGTCAGATATAGTTCAGGTCACAGCCCCATATATGTGTGTTTTTCAATCTAATCAGCTCACAATGTGAAAGATTCTCCAACAACTGAGAAGCTTTTCAACGCCACGAGAGGGGTCGCTTTCATGATTCGTCTTTGATTCCACCCTCTCCTTCATCTTCCACATCCCATCTGTCACTACGTCAGGATGATTCCTTTTACCAAGTCTCTCCATATCTACCTCTTCTTTAGAGTTCTGGCCAACCTCAAGGGTCTGAAAACTTATCAGTCTTTCTAGTGTGACTTTCTCTGTAGGGAACTTCATCATCATCAAGTTTGTGTCATCAGAAAAATTAAATGAACACCGGCCCCATCTGAAAGCAGGTAACTTTTTTTGTACAAAGCAAGCCCGTTTCCAGGTTAACAGAGCAGCTACAGGTTCTGTTACCACTCAGAGTAACAAAAATATGATGGAAATGGTGCATGGGAGATCTCCTGACCTCGTGATCCGCCTGTCTGGGCCTCGCAAAGTGCTGGGATTACAGGTGTGAGCCACCGCACAGGTGAAACCCCGTTTTTACTAAAAATACAAAAAATTAGCCAGGCGTGGTGGTGGGCGCCTGTAGTCCCAGCTACTCGGGAGGCTGAGGCAGGAGAATGGCGTGAACCCAGGAGGTGGAGCTTGCAGTGAGCTGAAATCGCGCCACTGTGCTCCAACCTGGGGGACACAGCGAGACTCCATCTCAAAAAATAAAAAATAAAATAAAAAGAATTGGTGCATGGAGAATGGTGTCATTTTCAACAGCCTGATGAAACTAAGCTATTTACACCCTTGTCTGTGTAGGATATCACTGCAGGGACCTTGGCTTCATGCTCAGTGGCCATGAGGAGCGCTGCCTAAGGAGGAACCGGAATGGTTAATGAGGGGAGGCTGGAGAAATAACCAAACATTCAAGTAGTAGATGCAGCTGACAGGCAGATGCAGAGACACCATAATATTATCTAGACTGCAAACTGGCAACCCATTCTCAAATGTGAACTAATAAAAGCATTAACAAGCATATGCTCTCGATTATTTCAGAAAATAAATATTATGAGATACACTGGATAAGAGCCACGGTTACACACCAAGGAAACTCTGGCTGACAGATAAAGCACTGTATTGTATGAGGAAACTAATAGAGCAGAAATTATTAATAGGTTTGTCACAATTAACCAAAGTCTGAATTCTGAGAGAAAGAAAGGAAGGAAGGAAGGAAGGAAGGAAGGAAGGAAGAAAGGAAGGAAGGAAGGAAGGGAAAAGAAATGAAAGAAAGAAAGAGAGAAAGAAAGAAAAAGAAAGAAAGAAAGAAAGAAAGAAAGGAAAAGAAAAGAAGGGAAAGAAAGGGAAGAAAGAAAAAAAGGAAAGGAAAGGAAAGGGAAAAGGAAAAGGAAAAGGAAAAGGAAAAGGAAAGGAAAGGAAAGGAAAGGAAAGGAAAGGAAAGGAAAGGAAAGGAGCCACGGAGAAGAATGTGGAGCATCAGAGCCAAGCCAGCTCTCATGCAACCTGCTACAGATTCTCGCCAGGCATCTCACAGACACGAAACCCTGTCATGATGAAGAAATCACCACAGGATGTTGGCGCCGGTGGCCCAACCAGCCTACTGTTCCTGGAATATATGTGAGGACACTGAGACCTCTGAGCAGCTGTCATGCCCCTACATCTCCCAGGTAGTGGGTGCAGACTTGGGGTTTGGAGCCAGGCCTCCTGGATCCCAGGGTGGAAACACTGGCATCCCAGGAACACATTTTCACGGAGCCCTGGTGTGCCCAGGTAGATGGCCAGTGCTGCTAGGAGACATGAAGCGGTAGCGTCTCCAGAACCTGTGGTATTTTCAGAAACGCCAACAAGAGATGAATGAGACACACGTTTTCCAGAAAATGCATTACATTTCAACAACTCTGGAGCAGGTGAACTTTTGTTTGAAGACCTGAAACTCAGGCTGGGCACAGTGGCTCACGCCTGTAATCTCAGCACTTTGGGAGGCCGAGGCAGGTGGATCACTTGAGGTCAGGAGTTCGAGATCAGCTTGATCAACATGGTGAAACCCCGTCTGTACTAAAAATACAAAAATTGGCCAGGCGTGGTGGGGGGTGTCTGCAATCCTAGCTACTCAGGAGGCTGAGGCAGGAGAATCACTTGAGCCCGGGAGATGGAGATTGCAGTGAGCTGAGATCGCACCACTGCAATCCAGGTTGGGCAACAGAGTGAGACTCCATCTCATAAATAAATAAATAAAAGGTAAAAAGACCTGAAAGTCAGTACAAGTTCAGGAAGCAGTAGACGACCTGATGCTGTGTCCTCATCAGTCACCTCTGCTGCAAGGGCTCAGCCAAGTCTCAGAGCTCAACCAGGCCTCGTGCACTGTGCATGCTTTACAGCAGCAGTCCCCAAATTTTCTGGCACCAGGGGCTGGTTTTGTGGAAGACAGTTTGTCCATGGATGGGACACGGGGTGGGGATGGCTTCGGGATGAAACTGTTCCACCTCAGATATTAGGCATCAGATTCTCATAAGGAGCATGCAACCCAGATCTCTTGCACATGCAGTTCACAATAGGGTTCCCACTCCTATGAGAATCGAATGCCACCTCTGATCTGACAGGAGGTGGGGCTTGGGCAGTCATGCTCACTCACCTGCTGCTCACCTCCTGTGCAGCCCTGTTCCTCACAGGCTGTAGACACATATTGATTCACAGCCCAGGGGTTGGGGACTTCTGCTTTACAGGAAAGAGTACCTGGGTGCTCTGTGTCAGATGGTGGCCTCTTGAAGCGGGATGCTTTTTCCAGCCACCCTAGGAGCACTAAATACCAGTGAGACAACCTGGGCACCTTCTCCAGGTTTTCTCGGGTTTTTTACTTTGGTGCTTCCTTCCTCTTGCTATGAAGGAGCAAGACGAGGGAGAAATCATCTACACTAAAGCCCCCATAGTGCCTGGCACGTGGCAGGTGCTCGGGAAACCGAGGGGTGGCAAAGCTCCTTATGAGCGTGGCCACTCAACTCCCCTACCCTTGGACTTTACTCTGTTCTTTCTTTTCACCTCTTCTGCCTCACCTTCCCTCCTACCCTCACATTAGCTTCCCTTTTACTCTCATTTTCTACTTTTCCATATGGTATATTCCTTGAAACAATGAGGGTTCTTAGGAGGTTGTCTTAGCTCAGGGGTCTTTAATAAATGTATAGAAAATAGTACAAACCCTTTAGAGAATACAAATGAAGGAACAGTTAATTTAGTCTTCGTAGGAGAGTCAAAAAGGCCCCAAAATAGAAAACACATTGGAATTGGGTCTTGAAGGATGTGTATTAGCGTGTGAAGCATCAAAATGAAGGAAGAGCATTCCAAGAATAAACAACATAAATGAAGGTATGGAAATGAGAAATGTCATGTTACATTCAAGAAACTGCTACAGTCTTATACTGCTAAAATGTAGAGTATTTGTGGGGTGGGAAGGTGGTGTCTGAAGGTGATTCTTAGGCTTCTAGATGGTTCCACATGGGTGGATGATAGTACCAGTAACCAAGACATGAAACACAGAGAAACAAGAACATTTGGAGGAGCAAATAATGTGTTGGCTTCTTGACAGGTTTACTTCCTGAGCATCGGGTCTCTGTGGGCTTCATCTAGAAACGTTTGTTAGGAAGTTCCAAAATAAAAACCCAGCTCACGTAAGGGGCTGGGACCGACTGTACGGCATGATGGTGGGTGGTTGTGACACCAAGGAGTAGACAACATAAATCACACAGTGACCATATGATCTTAGATTGTTAACCAGAAACGTCAATATTGAAAGTTCAGGCAGAGGAAGAGAAGCACAAAAGACGAGAACTTGAAAACTTTGCAGAGAAGGCAAGGAAGGCTATTACCACAGGAGCGAAGGAGGAAGTGAGCTTCAGAAAGGAAGAAGGAGTCACTAGCATCAGATTCTGCAGACAGTATCAAATAGGATAAGGATTTAAAATAGGCCATTGGAGTACAAAGAAACACCGTTTCACAGGACTAGTCTTCAAAACTATTATCTCCTGGCACCTCACTTCCCTTCCAGTGCTTTACTTTTGGAGAGCTAGTCATCCATTCAGGCTCTTGTAAGATAAAGTCTTCTGGAGAAGCATTCATGCTGCCTTTATCCTGCCTCCAGAACAAGACAGCCTTTCCCAGCAAAGTGATGCCACCGCCATTTCTTTCCCCCCAGCTCTGCTCTCCTCTGCAGTGTAGTCTGTGCTCCCACAGTAAACAAATCAGCCACAAGAGGGGACATATAATGGCTGTGTGTGTGCTCTAGCACAGGGGTCCCCAACTTGAGCCATGAATGATGGCTTCATCTGTACTTACAGCCGCTCCCCATCGCTCGCATTACTGCCTGAGCTCTGCCTCCCGTCAGATCAGCTGCAGCATCAGATCCTCATAGGAGTGCAAACCCTACTGTGAACTGAGGGATCTAGGTTGTCAGCTCCTTATGAGAATCCAATGCCTGATGATCTGTCACTGTCTCCCATCATCCCCAGATGCGACTGTCTAGTTGCAGGAAAACAAGTTCAGGGCTCCCACTGATTCTATATTATGGGGAGTTGTACAGTTATTTCATTATACGTTACAATGTAATAAGAATAAGAAATAAAGTGCACAATAAGTGCAATGTGCTTGAATCATCCTGAAACCATCCCACCCCACCCCACTCCCCGGTCCATGGAAAAATTGTCTTCCATGAAACCAGTCCCTGGTGCCAAAAAGTCTGGGGACTGCTGCTGTAGCAGGTCACAGATAAACTCACAGACAGCAGCGAGGGAAGCTCTTTGAAAAGAGCGTGCTCTCCATAAACCTAGAATCACACGATCTGTGCCTCTGCCCACTCTGCCTACACAGAAGACTGGCCCTGGTAAAAAAAAATAAAATAAAAAAATGAGGAAAAAGGACATGAACCATCTACCAACTTCTCATAGGAGCTTAGGCAGCTGGCATGAGGCTTGAACTCACAGCTTGTGGATTCCTGCCACAGGTTCCACCTGGCTAGGGAGTTCCTGCCTGAACCATGATGAGAGACCTAGATAAATGCCAAACACCATTGTTCTTAACAGTGGCTGGGCATCGGCTCCTCTCACCTTCCCAGATCATCTCTTTTTATTCTGAGACTTCTTAAAAATAGCTCAGAGCAATTTTCAAAGCCTAATAATCATAAAAGAAGGTGTTAGGGATAATCACATGTATGGAAGCCCAAAGCCGGGCATGGCTTTCCAGCTGCCTCATTAACATACCTGCCATGCCCAATGTCAGAAGCACTGCCATCCTTCCCCACACATGGGCCTTTAGGAAGGTTGGAGAACAGTCCTCCCTTTGGACAGCCAACTGTGAAACACTGGGCTTTTTCCTGAGGGGACAGCAAAGGAAAAGGTACTCATGTCCTCAGGCAGTGATATAATCCTAGATCACCCAGTGACACAGCAGGGGAGCAATCAACTCATTGTCCCCACACAGTATGAGGGCACCTGGAGAAATCACACACAAATATGCACACACACACACGCATGCACACACATTCACACACACATGCACACGCATGTACACACATACACACCCGCACACACATGCACACACACACGTGCACACACAGACAGGCTGCTAAGCTGAGCTGGGCTGGGGTCCAACAGATGACCAGTCAGCTCAGTGAAGGAAATATTGTATTTCCTATGAAAAAATAAAGTTCGGTATCACTCACTCTTTCCAGCTTTCACCTTCCCTCACATATCAACCATCCCTAATCTTTTGCAGGAAGGTGAAGAGCACATTCCTACAGCTTTTTCCTACAAGCATTTTTCCTGGCTCACTTGGGGTGCGGCTATTAAGAATGTGACCAATGTGTTTTTGTCCAACTAAAACTAGGCCTTTGAATTATAAAATTATGCGTACACAAGGAAGTCAACTGGAGAGGATTGACTCCAATTTTAAAGAAGTTCTACTGTGGGTAAAATGTTATAAAATAGCATGACGTGCCACAGAGAACCTTTTATGAAAGTAAGAGTCAATCAGTGGGGCAAACCTCACTGTTGTCTTATTTTAAGAAATGGCCACAGGTACCCCAAACTTCATAAAGTTTTACTTTATGATATCAGATATCTAAGTGATATCAGATATCTAAGTGATTAGAGTTTGATCACACACCTCATTTGCTTGATTTGGCTCCAAATGGTTTTTTACTCTTTTCAAAAAGCAACACTGATATTGAACTTAGGCCAGCTAATCAACCAACAATAGCTTCAAAGTGTCAAAGTGAAAGGAAGAGTCACACATCTCTCACTTTAAATAAAAAAAAAAATTAGAAATGATTATGCTGAGTGAGGAAGGCATGTTGAAAGCTGAGATCGGCTGAAAGCTAGGCCTCTTGTGCTAAACAGTTAGCCAAGTTGTGAGTGCAAAGGCAAAGTTCTTGAAGGAAATTAAAAGTGCTACTCCAGTGAACACATGAATGATAAGAAAGCAAAACAGCCTTATTGCTGACATGAAGAAACTTTGAGTGGTCTGCATAGAAGGTGAAACCAGCCACCACATTCCCTTAAGACAAAGCCTAATCCAGGGCAAGGCCCTACCTCTCTTCAATTCAATTCTATGGAGGCTGAGAAAAATGAGGAAGCTGCAGAAGAAAAGCTGGAAGCTAGCAAAGATTGGCTCATGAGGTTTAAGGAGCAAAACCATCTCCATAACATAGTGCAAGGTGAAGCAGCAAGTGCTGATGGAGAAGCTGCACAAGAAAAAGTTCACAATTTGGCTTTCCACCTGAAATGTCTGCAGGTAATGTCTCCTTTATCATCTCAAGAAGTCATATCCTTCTCCTAAGAATGCAATTAGGGGACTCCTAGTTTGAGTCCCTCCAAAATAGGTGGACCCTAGAGGGATTCTACACTTACTGAGCAAGGGAGATTCAACCCACAGGTGAGCACCAGGACACCTGGGGTTCATTTAGGACCCATTAGTAACGAGCATGCTATGTGCCAGGGAAAGAGGCACTGCAGAAAAATTCTGTGGTGCTGAAGTCAGAAGCCCCAGCCTTCCCTGCTATTTATACAACAGAAAAAAAAAAGTCCTGACTTATTGTTATTGTCATTCTCTTTCCCTTAGTGACCAGAAGCATCGGATGGGAACGGAGAGGAGGCCAGGTTCTTGGCCTGCCTTTGAAATATGTCATAATTAATTTTTGCCACCAAATGCCTCTCATTAGAAAATCTCTGCACTCATCTCAGCAGGTGAAGTGATGTATCCCCTCAACGGCGTGCTCTGCCAAGCAGGTAAAGATTATTACTACAAGCAGGGGGTGTGGGAAGGTGCATACTGAGCAGACTGTGTTCCAAGCGCTTGCCAAGCAGTTCTTGAGGGTTTTTTTAATGTCTGTGTTCGCAGGTGCTGAGCTGAGGCCCTGAAGGAACAGAAGGCCTCTCTCTACACACCCCAGGAAACAGGCCAGATGTTCAGGGAGAAATAGCAATGGGCTTTCAGGGATTGGAGCCAAGAGAGCTGATTTTGTTGTAGTGTCTGTTCCTGCTGTCCTCCAGCCCCAGCCATGGGGCAATGATAAAGAGGGCTGTACCAAGGATGCAACCCCGCCTCCGATGATTCTAGAGTTTCACAAAATAAATCAGGCTGCAGACTCAACAGGAATCAGTGTACCCAGTATATGCAAAACCCTCAGCTCTTGGCTCGACCTGCAAGTGTAGCTGGGGCTAGGGTGAGGTCTCCTCCTCCTCCCTGGCTCACCCACCTAGTTAGTCTACATTCCCAGCCTGCCTTGCAGCTGGGCATGGTCGAGTGACTGAGCTCTGCCCAAGAGAATAGGATGCGTGTTAGAACCGCAACAGCTCCTGCATGGGGTCCTCCCTGTTCTCTACCTGCTCGGGTGGAGGGAATGAGGCAACGCTTCAGGACAACATTGGAAAAATACTGTGAAGATGACAAAGCCCACTTACAAGTGCACTCCCCCAGCCCTGCGCCTGCCTCACTAACCTCTTACACAGGAAAACAGAAGCAGTTATTGTGTTCAAGCCATTGTCTATTTTGTGGTCTATCTGCTTGTTTTTTTGTTTGTTTTTAAGATGGAGTCTCACTCCGTCGCCCAGGCTGGAGCGCAGTGGTGTGATCTCAGCTCACTGCAACCTCCGCCTCCCGGGTTCAAGCGATTCTCCTGCCTTAGCCTCCTGGGTAGCTGGGATTACAGACGCCCACCACCACACCCAGCTAAGTTTTGTATTTTTAGTAGAGATGGGGTTTTACTATGTTGGCCAGGCTGGTCTTGAGCTCCTGACCTCAGGTGATCCACCCACCTTGGCCTCCCCAAGTGCTGGGATTACAGGTGTGAGCCACCGCGCCCGAGCAATTTTTCTAGGGCAGCTAGTCTACACTAATGACAGTGAGTCATAGGTCCTCTCCACAATTATTAGCCAAAGGGCATGTAAACTTGTTGAGAAAGTTAACTAACACACTGCTTCAGATGAAAGAGGAAAGAGAGCGTTAATGAGGTAGTTCTGATTTTTTTTATTTCCAAACATCAGAAAACAGAGAGAGTGGAGAGTAGGATGAATAACCCCACTGGATTGGAGGCCAGGAAGTTTCAGTGTTGGCTGGTACTTCCATAAACTAGCGATGTAAAATAAAGCAAGTCCTTTCTCTTGCCCAGGCCTCCTTCTCGCCCTCACTTGCCATAACCTGAGGAGTTTGCATCTCATATGAAAAACAGTCCCATCAGCTTTACTGCTCCAACTTCTATGTGGCCGGGAAGTGGACTAACTTAGGTTTATTCAAAAACTCCGAAAGCCTGAGTCTGAGAGGCCGGAGAAGGCTCATTTCACCATCCCCAAGCCTATGCTCTCTCATCTATACAACAGGCACCACAGTGCCTTGTTTTCTGTTTGTAGACAAATTCAGCAGACAGTCTGTGGACTTGCTAGTGAGCGGGGAGGGTTCGGAGTGCAAGAGCAGGTGGCGTCCTTGGACTCTTCACACCTTCTCCCTCACATTCTGTACTGATTTTTCTGACATCTCAGTACCCTGAACCCCACACCCATGCCATTTACTGTTTTTCTCCCTCTTACCCTGAGGTTATTTTACTTCAGCTTTCCATGTTTTGCTTGTCTCTCTGATAGAACATCACCAGTGGCAGGAACTCATCTCTCCTCAGGTAATCGACCCCATTTAGAAACAATATAAAGAATTTACAAACACACTTTTCCGAAGTCTTCTTTCTTATAACTTATTATTAGTCAGAATTTACAACTAAGAACATATCTGGGTTTCGGAATTTTTTTTAACACTCTAAAAATCCTAAGAGCCTTGCTACCAAAGGCAGTTTGTAAGGAGCTGGTTAGAACTAACCGATTCCAGATAATGACCCTTCCAGACAGCAATGGTGTTGCACAATGAAGTTGCTTCTAGAAACAGTGAAAGATAATTACAGACACAAGACCACTGAAAATGTTGCACTGTGTGCTGAGGCTGGGATTAGCTGAGACAGAAGAAAGATTGCTGCCAGGACTGGGTTCCGCTTCAGAAATCTGCCCAATGACAGGCTGAAAGTAAGAAAGACTCGCAAAAGACTGGTCCTCTTAGCAGCTGAAGACAGCCTGATCCTTTGGGTCCTGCTGAAAAATGTGCCAGAATGAGCATCTTGGGATCCTGAAGTCACATGGCCTGTGACACAGAGACCCACCTGGGGAAGCTATTTGAGACTGTGGCCACCCCCTCAGTCACACCATGAACTTGCTGCAGAGGTAAGAGGAAGACCTATCACCTGGGCTTTCTATGCTCTGTAAGCCGAGATGCTATCATGATGCTCGTCCATCTCCTATCCCCAGCCCTGAGTTTCGCTGTCTCTTTTCTGGAGCAAACACTGCCAATTCTTTCAGGCCTTCCTCAAACCGCACTACTGTCCATCCTCCATGTCCTGCCTTGTCTCCTGCCTCTCCGTGGTCAGCCCAGTCTCCCTTCTGAATGGTGATTCTACACTGAGCACCCCTGCAGGTGGGGTCTGAGCAGCATGGACTGGACCAGCCCCCACCTGCCCACATCTAAGTGTTGCTTCCCTGATGATACAGCCGAAGTGTTCGTCAACTTCACTGCCTCCTACACCAGGTTGTATTGGGTCTACCCTTGGCTCGGTCACAGGACTCTTGGTTAATGTCTGCTCCATCCGGTACTTTTGCAGCTGTGAACTGGGCCCAGGGGCGGTACTGAACATCCATCTGCTTCTCACGCACCTTTATAGGACCACAATCCAAAGGAATCCTGGTGGGATGGGATGAAGGGCCACATCTGTCACTCCACACAATCACTACTTCCTCCTTCTTTATATCATCTTCTGATTCAGTAGCTATATCTGAGAGTGCACATGGGTTAAGAGTGTAGACTCTGAAATCATACTTACTGAGTTCAAATCCCTGCTCTCCCATTTACCACTGTGTGACCTTTCCCAAGTTAACATCTTCTGTGTTTCAAATTCTTAATTCTAAAATAACAACAACGGGCCGGGCGCAGTGACTCACGCCTGTAATCCCAGCACTTTTGGAGGCCGAGGTGGGTGGATCGCCTGAGCTCAGGAGTTCAAGACCAGCCTGACCAACATGGCAAAATCTCATCTCTACTAAAAATACAAAAATTAACCAGGCGTGGTGGCGGGTGCCTGTAATCCCAGCTACTCGGGAGGCTGAGGCAGGAGAATTGCTTGAACCTGGGAGGCAGAGGTTGCAGTGAGCCGAGATTGCACCACTGCACTCCAGCCTGGGTGACAGAGCAAGACTCCATCTCAAAATAAATACATAAATAAATAACAACAATAATGCCTATTCTAACAAGTATTATTATAAAAATTAAATAAGGTAACACATATAAAGCACAAAATAGGCCATGTTAAGTACTCATACCCATTAATGATGACGGTGATAATGATGATGATTTCTTTATCCACGAAGATTTTATTTCTCCATGAAGCCATCTAGACAAATATTCACTAGGACACAATAAAGAACAGTGGTCCCTAAAAACCTACTAGGACTTTCCCTCTAGGTTTACATTAATCTACCCCTTGTTTTCCTACCTCCCAGAAGATTTTCCTCCATCTTATCTATAACAACATTATGACAGAACTTGATGATGCCCTGTTAAAATTCAGAGATGCTACATTCTCGCAGTCTGAAGACTGAAGAAGGCTGGCTAGCCGAACAGAGTTTAATTTTTAAATATCAATTTGCCCCAATGCTACACACCCACCAACCATCACTTCTGACACCTTGCATTCATTTTTCTTACCTTCCCGATAGTAAGGATTGCCTTTCAGCCTTGTTTATGCACGAATCAGCATTCTCCCAAGAACAGAACCAAGAGGATATATGCATTTAGAAAGACGAAGAAATTTATTTTAAGGTATTGGTTCACATGATCGTGGAGGCTTGGCTAGTCCAAAATTGCATGGGAGAGACCAACAGGTTGGAGTCACAGGAAAGAGGTGCATCAAGTCCAAAGGCCGTCTGCTGGAGAATTCCCTCTTAACTGGGGCGGTCAGTCTTTTGCTCTATTTGGGCCTTCAACTGATTGGATGAGGCCCACCCACATGATGGAGGGTAACCTGCTTTATTTGAAGTTCACTGATGTAAATTTAATCTCTCTTCCAAAAATACTCACACAAAACACCCAGAATAATGTTTGAACACACATCAAGGCACCAAGGCCTACCCAAGTGGATGCATAAAATTACCCATCACAGTTTGATTCCATTTTCATGAGGTGCCAATCTGGTAAACCGTCTCCAAAAATTATGAATATCTGTACTGTATTCAGGAGCTTAGAGTCCTTCAAATGTAAAGTATGAGAATCAGCAGATAATTATGGGTAGACACACACAAAATTTAGTAGAAATTTAAATTTTAGTTCTGCAGTTTGACTATTAAGAAAGTTATTTAATACTAAACATCTTTGGTCAGAGTTTACTATTCAACTAATGTATATTTTGTCCAAAGAAACACACATCATAGTTGCGATAGTGACACTTTACAGACAAACATTATAGTCCAAAGGACATTTTCTTGTAAGGGCTAATTGTAGATGTCAACTTGGCTGGGCGATGGTGCCCAGCTGTTTGGTCAAACACTTGTCTGGGTGTTCAAGTGAAGGCATTTTATAGAAGCGATGGAGATCTGTAATTAGCTGACATTTACGTGAAGGAGATTGACTCTCTAGAATATGGGTGGGCTTCCCCTGATTTGCAGAAGGCCTTAAGAGCAAAAACTGAGGACTTCTGGGAAGGAAGGAGTGCTGCCTCAAGACTGTAACATGGAAGACCTGCCTGCATTTCCCTCCTGCCAGGCTGCCCTCCAGATTTCAGACTTGCCAGCACCACCATGAGGTGAGCAAATTCCCTGAAATAAATGTCTTTGTATGTGTGCCTGTAGACGCACATGCACTCATCTATCCTGTTTCTTTGTGTGTATGTGTGTGTCTACGTGCACACACATATACACACACATGCATCCTATTAGTTCCTTTTCTCTGGAGAATGCTGACTAACAGTATAGCCAAGAAACCTCCAAGTCAGAGTTTAATCCAGGTGATCAGGTGATATTTACCATTTCCTTCCCAGCTTTATCATTTTATGGAGAGGAAAGTGGGATACTGACAGATCACCGACTTGCCCAGGCCCATGCAGCGAGGGCACAGATGAGGCAGGTCTGGTCCCTCTTTATCCCCTACGTCCTGGGCATGATCTTTCCCCGAACCACAGCAATCTGTGCATGAATTCCACAGACAGCACACGGAATTTTGAGGGTTGGTGGGAAAAGAAGGAAACATCTTTTACTTAGAAAAAATTTACAGAAATGCTTGGAGATCTGTGTCATTTCCTTAGTTCCATCTCTAAATAGCTGTGTGATCTTAGGCAAATTACCCAACTTCTTTGGCTTCCGTTTCCTTATCTATAAATGGCAGTGATAATACCAACCCTTATTTAATTCTTGTGGTGTTGAGGATAAAATGCAAACTAGATATGAGGACACTCTGGAAATTTAAAGGAAGATTTTAAAAAAGTGTTTTGACAAGTGGGAAAGACTACTGAATTTTTTTAAAAGATAATGGTAGTATTGATATTTATTTTCAGTGGTTTTCAAGGAATACATGGTGAACTATCTCATTTCACTGCTGCAGGCTGGAGATAAACATGGGTATTTATCTCCCTTCCTCCCACCTTCCCTCTGCCACATTATAAGATTGTAATACAGGACATAAAATTCTTCTAGGAAAGGTTTACAAAAATAATTTTCTCCTGGATTAAGATATGCTTGACTATGCAAAGATTTAGAGCTTTCTATGGTAAGCCTTTTAAAATTGTATCTGACTGACTCCTGTATTTGACAGGGCTTTGAAAGATTGTGGGTATACCAATTTTAAGCATTTGCTATAAATTGCTATAACTGAATGCTTGTGTCATCTCAAGTTCTCATAGTGAAGGATGTGATTTACTATGACCTAGAGATTTAGCTGAGACTTATGAACTATTAATAAGATAAGAATGGAATGTAGTAAAGGAATAAATAAACCTTTCAAAAAGTCCTTTCTCTGCTGGAAGGACTCAAGATTTTCATTCAAAGGTGCTCATAAGACATTGGTTCTCCACATTTCACCCCATGTGGGGATGGATGCTCCGTAATAAACTGTGCTCATCACAGTCTGAATTTGGAAAATGCGATTACCCTTCTTCTTGGAATCCCCTCCAGGAAAAAAATAATAAAACACTTTCTTTAATTTGCATATACTTGATAGAATTAAAATCTGGATTTGAATCTGAGTGAGATTTACCTAGTGATATAAGTGATGTATCAGCAGCCTATATAGCTTTGAAACAGTTTCTTAATCTTTCTGGCCTTAGTTTAATCCTCTGTGAAATGGGAATGAAAATGTCTATTTCACAATGTGGTTGCAGGGTACACATGAAAGGCAGCTATGCTGAAATAACACAAATGGTAGAAAATTGCTTTTGATATCACATTAATTGAGCATATACTAAGTGTTAAAACACTATTCTTTTCACAAAGGCTAACAGGAGCTGGGTCTTGTATTTAAGAGGTCTACATTCTACCACAACCCACGAGGACAAACTTCCCACAGTGACAGGATTGTTCAAAAGGTTAATGAGATTCATTCAGTAGTTTTTTCTTTCTTTCTTTCTTTTTTGAGACAGAATCTAGCTCTGTCACCGAGGCTGGAGTGCAGTGGCACGATCTCGGCTCACTGCAACCTCCGCTTCCCGGGTTCATGTGATTCTCCTGCCTCAGCCTCCCGAGTAGCTGGGACTACAGGCATGCACCACCACGCCCAAGTAATTTTTGTATTTTTAGTAGAGACGGGGTTTCACCATGTTGACCAGGCTGGTATTGAACTCCTGAGCTCAGGTGATCCCCACACCTCAGCCTCCCAAAGTGCCAGGATTAGAGGTGTAAGCCACTGCACCTGGTCAGTTTTTCTTGATTATCATGTTCCAAGGCAAGGAGTGGGGGAAGAAAGCAAGGGAAAACTTCTTGTGTTTGGTGTGGGAAGGTTTAGGATAGTATCCAGAAATAAAATAAAATAAAATAATCTCACCACGCCTGTAAATTCCTGGACAGCAAGGCTGATCAGTTATTTGCACATCCAGCAGCTGCAGCATGTCAGTGGCGACTGCCAGGGGGAGGGATCCAGACTGAGACAGAGTCCCCGACACCTGGGTCACTCCATTTGAGGAGGGTGACACATTCGGTGACAGAGTGGAAAAGAGTGGAGCTCAATCCTCAGTCTCGTAGCGTTTCCTTGCCCCCATACGTGTATCTCACCAGCTCCTGCCTGACTGACCTCGAGCGCTTCTAACCCGCTGGAATCTCAGCTGAAACAGGAGCAGGTCAGATATTCTCCCTCACTCTCCCCCTTGCTTTGCGTCCAGATGCACCTGTGCTAGGGTGAGCAACTGTGCGTGTTGGCGAGTTCCACGCTCACTCCCCCGGGTTTTTTTAACCTCCAATGCGCTTCTCAGCCCCAGGGCTCTGATTTTCACTTCTCACTTTTCTGCAGAGTAGCTCTCGCCAGGGCCACCAAAGTGCAGTGGATAGACAATGGGAACTTTGGCCTGTCTTTGACCTCCGGTTTTTTTATTTCTTCCCTCTTACTTGAAATGTTTCCCTCACTGCATTCCCTTCTGTTGCTTCTCAAGTCTCATGGTTTCTCTCCCTGCCGTGAGCTGTCCTAGGGAAGACTATCTGCTCACCTAGGTGTTGGCCGCTCCCTGTGCTCCATCCTGTCTTCTCTCCCTAGGGCACCGCACGCACACCTACGTGGCTTGCATTCCACGAGACATGTTGACCCCCAGCTTGATCTTCAGGTTCGACCTCTATGTTCCAGACCTAGAGAGCCAACTCTTTACTGCATCCACCACCGATATGTTCCTTGCCATTGTACATGTCCATGTCTGCATCTCCATCTTCTCTGCCCTCTGCTCCTTCTTATTTTCCTTGAATGAGGTCAGCATCCACCCAACTGGCAAGGTAAGAAATAGGACACTTATTTTCTCACAGCTCCTCTCTCTGTAAGCAATGCTACAGTCCATCTGAGTCCACCGCCTAAGGGGCTGCCAATCTTTCCTTATTTCCACTTCAGGCGTTCCTTCCTGGGCTGTGGTATTACCTCTCAATACCGCTTCTTTATCCACCCTCACTTCTCACCAGTCTCTTCTCCACCTGCAAACATATTTCTAACAAGCATATGTGATCGTGGCAGTCCCCTGCTGAGACTTATGTCATACCTCCTCATCACCTACAAACTCCCGGCGCATAACGTACAGGGATCTTCAAAACCAGGCTTCCAATTCCTAGTCCAGCTCTACCTCCTCTTGTCTCACACCTAACATTCCATGAAGTTTCAGCGGCTCTCTTGGGCCTTGTTATTTTTCTACATGCCGCCATCTCTGCCTGGACTCCCTTCCTACCATGTCTACCTGACAAACTCCTATTCAACCCAGAAGCCTCAGTGTTTAATTTTAATTCTTAAATGCCTCCTGTCCCTTGAAACCTTTCCTACCCTGTCCCCAGGTAAACCGAGGTGCTCCTTCCAGTAGGCACCTGTTCCACCTGAGGCTGAGCCTAATGATCCCTCTGTATGCTAATTTTTATAAGAAGTGCTCTTGCCCTGTCTGTCTCCCCACAGGAATATGTTTCCTTTCTTTCTTATACCAAATCGACTCAGTGCTGACTCAAGCTAGGAAAACATTAGAGATGTGTTGACTAGATTAATCCAGCTTGGCCTCTAACCCAGTGCTGGGATCCCCCTAGAGTAGCCACTCACCCTCCAGACCCTGTTTCAGCCTTTCAAGGGGCGCTTAGTTTATTCCCACCAGCTGGTTCCCACTAGCTTTAGATAGCAACAATTGTTACAGAGAAGCCAGCTTCCCTTTCATGCAAGGAGGAATTTTCTACCTTCTACTCACCAATGTCTCTTTGCCCCTTGCAGTTACACACAGTAAACTCGGTTCTTCCAAGTGATTAGAGGAAAATAAAGTTTATCAGGGACATATGCAGTTTGGGGTGTTACAGTCCAGAGCTTAGTAACAAAATGCTTTCGTGTTTAGGTGTGTGAGAA
This sequence comes from Homo sapiens, assembly GCF_000001405.40. Lineage (NCBI taxonomy): Eukaryota > Metazoa > Chordata > Mammalia > Primates > Hominidae > Homo > Homo sapiens. Next base: position 153,949,612 of record NC_000007.14, on the reverse strand, counting down.
TCAGCTTGCTCAGTTTTTTTGAAGAGACACAAAACAAGTTCATGATTCCCTTTGAACGTCTACCCTACCCACCTTTTCCTTCACCTGCAAACACCTTCCCTAAGACGCATGAGGCACGAAAAAGTAGCAGAGGGATCTCGGAATCATCAGGCAGCCTCTGAAAGCAGTGCCAGCACCACACACCATGCAAGCCCTTGATTGAGTCATAAGAAAAGCATCTCCGAGACTGGAAAGAAATGGATTGAGCTGCAAGGAAATGAGGGCTGGGCTCTGTGAGGTCTGTTAACGGAAGAAGCTTCAGGGACAAGGGGCCACGGGGCCTATGCTACCAGGCGCTACTGCCACATCTCCTTCTCAGAGTAAAGGATCCAGTGCTCTTACAGTGAATCTCTGTGGCTGCACTTAGCTGCACTTCCAGACATCCATCAGTGTGGGCAACACCAGGCAACACTCACTCCACTGCAGTGCGGCTCATGCCGATGCTCCGGGCAGAGACCACCCCAGCTGCCTGCAGGAGGAGTCTCAGGACCGCACTGTGTCATAAACGAATGAATGATTTTGGAGCAATTCAGTCGTCTATTAATCTGTTTTATATATATCCATTTTGCTTTTCTCTTAAAAATACAGCAAAATTAACTGTGAGCTTTTAAAGAGTAGAGACCACACGTCTTTTGTTTCATATTCTTTCCCAATTTTGCTTGAAGTAATGTCAATCCTTAAATGTGAATCAGAATAACTTCTTCAGTCATCTTTACCTGTGCCTGTTTATTTCATGCCTGTTTAATATCTCGTATGGGCCAGGCTTGATTACTGCTTGAAGGAAATAAAGTTCCTCCTCGCAGTTACTGTTCTCGGGGAGGGTGTTTTGAAGGGAAGGTAGTCTATATTATAGAGGACAGGTAAGTGGGACCTTTGTTTAAGTTGTATTATATTTTGTTCATTTTTGAATAAGTCTACATATTTTATCTCATCTGATCCTAAAAAAAATAAAAATAAAAAAACAGTGAGGAAGGTAGAGAAGAAAATGTCTCTGGGCCACAATTATCTCAGTATTAACATTCCTATTTCTAAGTGTTTTGGTCGGAGCCTGGAAGCTGGTTATTGACAGGGTCAAGCCCAGAAGCCAGTGTGATTCCTGACTTCCATGGGAACCGGTGTGGGCTTGCTGGTTTTCCTGTAATATGTCTAGAATTTATGGCAAAAGTCTCCATGCATCATCATGTACCATTGACTATCATTTCCAAAGTTTAATCTGTGCTCTCTCTCTCACCCGTACATAACAATGCTTCATTTTCCAAATAAAACAACAGGAAAGCACTCGGCTCTTCCTTTGCCATCCCTGGACTATAGAAATGCCACCTGCTGGTGACAGAAAGCAATATGGCCACAGTATTGGACTTTATTTTTTAAAAGTAAATAGCAGCTTATTTGAAAAAAAATCATGGCAATTTTATGAGTTGATTGTATCCCTTCAAATTCATATGCTGAAGTCCCAATGCCCAATACCTCAGAATATGAGCTTATTTGAAGACAAGGTCTTTCCAAAGGCAACTAGGTTACCATGAGGTCACCGGTATGGCTCTAATCCAACATGCCAGTGTCTTTATGAGAAGGGGAAATGTGGACACAGACTGGCACAGAGGCTGGTGTGATTCAGGACACACTACCACAAAGATGCTACCTTGGCATACTGAATATTATAAGCTGGAAGAATGTGAGCAGTGTCAGGCGCAGGAAGGACCATCCGACTTCCCCGCCTCCCCAGAAGGAGGTCCTAGGACCCACCTGTGAGCGGCACCCTCCAAATGCCCCACTGGAGACAGCATCCCCATCTCCAAAGGCAGAGGCAGCCGGGAGGAGGCTGAGCACACAGACCTTGCTGCGGTTCCCACCGATCACCCTCAGCTCACTCCCTTTGTCCTGTCACGCTTCCCCATGACCTCTGCGTCCTCATCCAGCATACTACAGAAAGCGCTGAGGCATCACTGTCTCTTCGGGTCCCCACTGTCCCTTCAGGTCTTCACTGTCTCTTCAGGTCTCCACTGCCTTAGGAAGGCTTCCATATCACATGGGACTTATTAAGTAAATCTGTGTAATTTTCTCTTATTATTATTATTATTTTTTGCCAGTCTAGTTTATAGGGCCTGGCTAGAGAACTTAAGAAGATAGAGGTAAATTTTATTTTTACTCCTCTACAAAGCAGAATGCTGGGTGAACACAAAGACAGCCAGCTACAAGCCGAGAAGACAGGCCTGAGACAGACCCTCCCTCGCAGCCCTGGAATGAACCCAGCCGATGCTCTGACTTCAGACCTACAGGCTCCCAAGACTGTGAGCCAGTAGGTTTCCGCTGTTAAAATTGCCAGGTCTAGGTCCCTGGTTACGGCAGCTCTGGGAAAGGAATGCAGTAAGTGATCCTGGTTTGAAAGGCATCATCCACCAAATGGGACGCTTCTACTGCTAGCGAAGTACATTGGTGGCTTTCAATGGATTCCTTTGGCTAAGAGGGAGTGCAAGAGATTTTATTTTTAAACTGCTTCTGTGAAAGGGAATCACGGCACACCCTTGTGAATCATCCCCGGTGGCCTCAGGAATATCACACCGTCAGCAAAGACGGGACTGAAACTAGCTTATGGCAGCGTTAGCCACCTTGGGCTCTAGATCCGCTCCTCTTCAGCTTGGAAATTCGCATTTTATGTCGGGAAAAGTTAAACTGCTCCATGGTCAGCTCTGTCTTCACACTTGACCAAATTGCTCCCTCTGCCTAAAATTCTCCATCTTTTTGGCACAGCCAAATCGTATTTACCATCAATGTATCACTATTTCCAGAAAGTCCTCCCCACCTGGTGTGCCCATCCATATCAATTACTTCCCACTTATCCAAACTGCTATGGTACTTAATGCTCAGCTATGTCAGAGGCGTTTGAACCAAAGTGACTCCATCTTGAATAGGGGCTGGGTAAAACAAGGCTGAGACCTACTGGGCTGCATTCCCAGGAGGTTAGGTGCTCTTAGTCACAGGATGAGATAGGAGGTCAGCACAAGATACAAGTCACAAAGGTCCTGCTGATAAAATGAGATATAGTAAAGAAGCCGTCTAAAACCCATCGAAACCAAGATGTCAATGAAAGTGACCCCTCACTGCTTGAATTATAATGCATTCGCATGCTGAAAGACACTCCCACCGGCACCATGACAGTTTACAAATGCCACGCCAACATCCAGAAATTACCCTATATGGTCTAAGATGGGGAGGAACTCTCAGTTCCGTGAAATCTCTGCCCCAACCTGGAAAACTCATGAATGATCCAGCCCTTGTTTAGCATATGATCCAGAAATAACTAACTCAATTGAGCAGCCTATGCCACTGCTCTGCCTACGGAGTAGCCATTCTTTTGTTTCTTTATTTCTCTAATCAAGTTTCACTTTACTCTATAGACTTGCCCTGAATTCCTTCTTGCGTGAGGTCCAAGAACCTTCTCTTCAGGTCTGGACTGGACCCCTTTCCAGTAACAGCTGTATTCTGTGTTTTCTGCTCAGAGCTATGTTTCTTGTGTCTGTGCCTCTGATGGACGAGGCTGCAGCTTCAATGAAGGTGAAAGCCTGGCTGCTCTTGGAATCCTTCCACTTCTTTTTCATGAACCCTCAGAAGGTGGCCACACACATTCCAGTGTGCTCCACTTAGGAATTTGATCAACTGATTGAAAATCAATCGTGTTCTACGTCAATAAAAACAAAGATTTGGGGAAAATTCCATACTCAGTCAACACGGCATGCAGGTTAGACGAGGACAAGGATAACCCAAGGCCACAAAGCCCCTGGAAGCTGCTCGGCCCAAACCTTTCCAGATTCCTCCCTTTAATACCTGGGCTATTTCCTTCACACTTACTGATTCACAAAACTGCTTCTGAGAAACATAAAATTTGGCAATTTTATCCACATGAATAAGACCTTTACTTGTATCCTCAGAGGAGAATTACGATAAGAAAAAAGTAGGAAGAGCACCCTTCTGTGCCTCCAAGCGCCTCCACCGCCAACCCTGTGCCTCTTATTCTTATACGAGGTGCTCTCTAGAGACCATTTCCTCTATCCTTCTAACTTCCCAAATTTCTAGTCTCACAAGTCATCCATTTCCTCTCAAAACATACCCATCCTCTTCATTCCATCTCCACTGCCTCTATGTAGTCCAAGCAGCCATTCTTCCTGCTCTGTGATACCTCAATTCGCCTTCTGATTGGACTCCCAGCTTCTGGCTTCCATTAGAAATATATTAATTGGTAGCATGCTCTGTACCAGGCATGGCTGGGAACTTCCGTAGAGGGAAAAACTAGGGAGATGGACCTGTCTTCTCACAAAAAATACAAAAAGAGAAGAAAGCAGATGCACAATCAACAAGTAAACAGAAACAAGATCATTCCAAGCCAGGCAGCATTCTAAAAGAACACACAGAGCAGCAGTTGTTGGCACCAGCAGGGTCAAAACTCATTTACAACATGAGTGTACGCAAGGGTGGGTGACCCTTCAGAGCCTGCAGTCTGCCGGGAAGACCCTCCTGAGTCAGTTACCCTAAGCCAACACCTGTGGGAAAGAACACATCTTGGACAGGGCAAAGCACAGCGGTGCTCCCAGCAGCAGGAACAGAGAACGCAAAGCGCTTGAGGCAAAAAACAGCTTGGTTTGTTCAAAGAAGAGAAAGACAGTTCCTGTGTCTGCAGCCTCATCCTGAGTATCTTTCAAAAACAAGAAACTGAGGTCAGGAGTTTGAGACCAGCCTGGTTAACATGGTGAAACCCCATCTCTACTAAAAATACAAAAATTAGCCAGGCGTGGTGGTGTGTGCCTGTAATCCCAGCTACTCAAGAGGTTGAGGTGGGAGAATTGCTTGAACACGGGAGGCAGAGGTTGCAGTGGGCCGAAATTCTGTCTCAAAAAAAAAAAAAAAAAAAAAACCCACACAAAAATAAGAAACTGATGGTCCCTCCTAGTTATGGCCTGCAAGGCCCCGTGTGTTGTGAGGCCTCCCACCACACCCGCCTCCTCCTTGTGTGCTGGCACTACCCTCCCAGTCCACGTCACAGCAAGACTGGCTATCCCTCTAAGGAGAAGGCCACCCCTTCGAGGAAGGTGGCTGAGAAGTCACCACCGCAGTCCCCAACACGCTCTTCTCGCTGCCTTCCCATCCCTCCTGGTGTCCTCCAGAACACCGCTGCAACATCACATGACCCGGCAGGGCCCTGCTGCCTTCCTCTTTTGTCCATCTACAGGTCCAAGCACACGCCTCGGGTGAGTATATGTTCAAACAAACTGCCAAAAAAGAACTCACTCTAGTGGCGGTGAACACACATGCACAAACGCACACCCATGCAAACACCCATTAGTTGAGGGTGGGCCGGAGCACACACTGGTTGCCAAATACATGGCCAGACGGACCGAGCCCCGGCTGTGCTGGAAGGAGCGTGCTAACGAGGCTCGTGCTCCAGGGCTTTACGATGCAATCTTCCTTCAATTGATAATTCGGGGGATGATTTCACACACCAGGAGCAGCAGCCTCTATTGTGTTACTTGGACCGATTTCCATGAACACAGCAGATGCTCATTTGCCTAAGTGGGGAAACCGTGGAGCAGCTATCTGAGGAGAGAGGGAAGGAAAGAGTGAACCCTGCAGACTCCACTGGAACTGCCTTTGTTTCAGGCCGGGGCTGGATCTCATCATTCTTTTAAATTCCCTTTTGCAGAAAGAATGTAGCAGAGCATCACTCAGACTCGGGGCATAGAGATGCTTAAATATTAAACCTACATTCTCTATTACATGTTTATTAAACACTGCTAGCTTAGGGGGAGGCAAAATTGCTTTTTATAAACACTGAAGCTGGCAGACACATTTTTCTGGCAATAAGCAATGAAAAACTCTTCTCACTTCCTTGTTCATTCACACCACGGCTGGAGCTGAATGGAGCTGAGTGTGTGGCTTCCTGGGGGTGTTTGCAACTGAGATTGACACTGGAAAGGGAATGAAAACAGAGGCACGTCATTAGAAAGTAAATCACTATCTGAAGCCAGAGCGTGTCAAAGGAAATCTTGATGAAGCTTCCCAGCCCTGCCCTCCCTACTTGGGAGGAAAAACAGCTGAGCAAATGGAGAAGGACAAAAAAGAGGGCTCTACATGATTTGATGGAATTTGGACTGGAAGTCCTTTAGTGGCCCTGGTATAGGACTCAAGTACCGAATTGATCTGATGTCTGAAATTTCCAAGACAAGTCACTCTCTCGGACATATAATACATTTTGTTGATTACAAAATCAACAGATGTTTACTTCTAGAATTTGAGAGGCAAGGGAAGACCTCTGCCCGAAAATATCTCCCTAGCTGCCACATAGTGTCATGAGCTGGCCATTAGAGATTCATTCCTTTGGATCTTCAGACTTTTGTATTTCGTGCTCTAATTGATGAAATCATTGACTCTGGGTCCTTTTTAAACACCTTATTAATAAAACTTTATTAAGGGTATATTGGTATTTCCTGAAAAACAAGGCTTTTACAAAATCAGAACGGTCAAAAAGGGGATGGAAAGGCGAATCTAGGGAAAGTGTAGAGGGGGTAAAATAATGCCAGAGTGTCGCTGGGGCCAGCTGACCATTAGCATCAGGTCAACCATGCATCAGAGAGAAGTCCTTGCTGAGAATTTGTGAAGGGCCTCCCTGAGCATGGGCATTCAACAGTCAGCACCACACTCACTGTGATTGCTGGACCACGTGTTTAAATAAGCAGGCGACAGGTAAAAGTGCTGATGAGGTGGCAGGGAAGAGGCAGAATGGTAGGCAACCACAGGCAGCCGTCTCATAACTAGGTCTCCTGAACAGAGTGTGGGGCGGCCTCGTGAGCAGCCCAGGGATCCCACCTTCCTGTGCCCACTGCACAAGACACAGCCCGCTCTGGCAAGAGTGTCACACAGACAGGCCTAGATGTACATCTGAGCAGCCTGGAGCACAGCTACCTCCTGACATTACATTTTTAGTTGGGAAAATTGATTTTACAGACCGGTCTCCTGCCTCCCTTCCTGCCCTCTCTCCTCCCCATTACTGACCTCCTCTCCACCTCAGGAAGCTCCTCCGTCCATTCCTAAAGTATGCAGCATTCAGCAAAGGATCCAATTCCAGCCAATGCCTCTGAGGGCCACCTGTCCACACCCTCAAGATCTCACAGGGAACTGGCACTTACGTGTCATTGAGGATGTCATGAAGAAGCTTTCTTCCCTCTTAAGAAGGTTTTGGGTATCAACCAACAGGTGAAGTGTGCAGTTTAAATGCAAATTCTTGTAAGTCGCAAGGAGAGGAGAGGCAAAATCCAGCCCTGGGAAGGATGGCCATTGGCAGGATGCCAGGCGTGGGGTGGTGCCTGGCACACAGAAGATGCGTGATAAAAAGGCAGCGGTGAATTGAATGAGTACATAAATGTTTTGTTCCTCTTTTTAATCGAAACATGCACAACGGTGGTGCTAAATTGAATAGAGGTGGGGAATAGCAATTCCTCAGGCACCATTCCACACTGGAGCAGCTCATCCAGTATTCTCTATCCAGCATCTTTTCACAGAAGATTTAAGTTGCCATTGCAGAAACGCTTCAGAGGTGCTTGGCTTGCTACCCATTCCTTTTTTTTCCCAGCCACAGGTAAAATATGCAGCTACAAGAGCTTATGGAAATCGAACTTTCCTGGGGAAGTGTGTAGGAAAGGAGAGAGAGACAAACAGAAACAGAGAGAGGGAGAGAGGAGTGCAAGAGAGATTGTTTCTTATCTAGCATGTTCTGAAAACTCCTCTGATTATCCATGCAGAAACTCCAGTGAAAAGATTGGGACTGCATTTCTTACCTTGCTGTGTACCTGATACACCTTCAGCTCTATGGTCAATGATTTAAAACCTTATCCTTTGAATTCCCGTTTCTGAAAAAGACTCAGAGCTGCAGCATGGACCCCAGAGGCCAAGAGACAGCTGAGGCTGCTGTAGATAAATGCAGTCACCTCCTGTTTCCTGTTTCTTCCTTCCTTTTATACCAAAGGTCACCCAAGTGATGGAGTCTGTGGGGCCCTCTCTCTCCAGCAGTGTCCTGCCAGGGAATCATTCCATGGCTGTGGGATCCAGGCCTGGACTACTGGGATGAATTGTTAACCACCAAACCCCAGAGGGGCCCAGGAATCTCTGCTTCATTACAGACATCACCCAGCACCACCTCCCACCATGGACATCTGTGGTCAGGGACCTGCTGAGTTCATGTGTTTGCTTTAGAGAAAATGCCATGGCTGTGTCAGTTTGTTCACATGGCATTCGTGGGTCACAGGCAGCTCTAGCACCCCGAGGCTGTCTGGTGCCAACAGTGGCTGGTTTACAATGACAACACATTCCAACACATCAAGGGCTCATTTTTGTGCTAGCCACTGCTGTGTGTTCCATGCCTGCTATGCACGAACTCATTTAATCTTCATAAGAAACCCATTAAGCAATGCACATTTCTCTAACCCTTCCGTTAGGGACAACGCCTCACTTTAAACATTCACAGTATAAAATCAGTGTAGAACTGATTCTGTCCGCGGTTAGTTTCCTGATCTATTGAAGGCAATCAGTCACTCCTGGAAAACAGACTGTGCCCTCTCCCATGTGCAGAGATGGGAGCACCAATGTCTATGGAAGTTCCAGGTTTCGCTACAGGAGAGATTTCGGAGCTGCAATCTGGTTGAAAGAAAAGGCCAGACACCTTGTCTTGAAGCTGCGCATATGCTTGGCGAACACACCGCTTTTATTCAGATCTTACATGAATTGGGGCTTAAAGAGTAGAGACAGGAAGATTACTCCAGGTGGCAGCTGGAGTGGTAACTAAGTCCTGCTTAGTCCCCAGGTGGGCTCTCTTCTCTATGGGTCAAAGTCTTCACCTCTGGCATTTAACACATGTCAACATGAATCATCAGAGTCCTACAGGGAGATGCAAGGGGAAATAGTTCCCATGGTGCAGTCACTGCAGCTGGGGTGGGTAGACCGTGGTCCCATCCCCGTTTCTGTGTGTCATGAAACATGGAGTAAATCAGCTCACCTCTCTGGGACCTTAGTTCCCCTAGCTATAAAATTAGGGCCCACCTAGTACAACCTCATAGAGACTATTTCAGTGCAAAACCACTCACAAGTAATTCTTAGTCTATTGTTGAGACAATATTGCTACAGAGTCAAGTGACTCTGCACTTGACTTCAACACTTGACTTCAACACTTAAGTTGCGGCGTGTTTTGTCCATATCAATCCCACCAAAGCCAAAACGGAGGGTTCATATATGGGAACTCCATGTCTGTGACCCTTGGCCAATATTCAAATAGATCCTCTGGTTTGGAAGGAAGTGCTGTCATGGCTAGGTCAGCACCAGCTTTTCGGTGGACTGACAAAATGAGTTTTCCCTCTTTCCTTCTGGGTGCTTTCTGCATCCTATGTCCTGGAACTGTAAAAGCCTGTTCCCTGCAGACAGACTCAAAAGAGGGAGGAGGAAGCTAGAGGGCCACAGTGCATTGTTAGCATGATTTTACTTGTGAGAAGGAGCCATGCCATGTCTTGTCCTGGCTGGCCCAGCATACAGTCAAAACACTAACCTCCCTTTACACCTTCTGCCACTTTGATGATGCTCCTTACGATCGGGCATGTTTCTCGACTTTAGCTTAGTAAGAGAAAACTTCATGCTGTATGAACTGCCATGTTATCAACTGATCTTCTAAGATCCAGCTGGTTTATCTAATCTGTGTAGCTTCCATCTGGTTCCTCTTTCCAGGAGGCATGTCAGCATAGTATCTTTCATAGCAAAATGCAATAAAGTGATATGATGAAAGTCTGTGCAATTATTTGCTTTCATAGCTGTCTTTCATATGAGAGCATGGAGTTCCCTGAGAATCAGAATTCTGTCTTATTCACCTTCTTATCTTCTTAAATCTAGCACAAGACTTGACACATTCAAATAAATGGCAAGCAAATGAATGAAACCATTCAAAGAAACCAGTCTTTGGGGAGGAATCCCTAACCCCAGCCTGAGTGAGGTCCTTTTTTTTCAGACTCCTCACAGTGCCCCACACTCACCTTTGTGTCTCTGTCACAACTATAATTTAAGACTAATTTCAGTAATTGTTGGTTTAACGTCTGACTTTGTTGCTAGACTGGAAAGCTGTGCACTCTCTGAGCCCCGAGGCCATGTCTGTTTTGCTCCCAACTGTGGCACAGAGCAGGCACTTAACAATATTTGTTGAATAAGAGATTAATTCTTGGCAGTCAGAAGAGAAATTGCAAATGGCTGTGACTTAACGCTTGTACTTTATAGACTGTGTGTTATCTAGAACACTTTGAGCACTAAGTCAATATTAACTGATAATAACGAATTTGTACTGTATATGAAGTATGGGACTAACAGTACTATCGCTAAGGTAATGGATGATCTTAATGCACCTTCTTCGAGGCATTGAAAAATGAAAATAATATATTAAAAAATGACATCATTCTACCCTTTATGATTTTTCTGATTGTAGCAAATTGCAGTGAACACCCAGAAAAAAAATGCATTTTATTTGGGGAGGTGTGTTGTATTATAAGTGCACACAAATGAATTACAGTCTACTTCTGTATTGCCACTGATGTATTTGAAAAAGTACTTTTGTGTCTACAGCTTAAGAATTTTTAATGAAACGATTTGATCAGGCAAAATGAGCGTGTGTAACCACCACCACACTGATGAGACTCAGCCGGCCATTCCGTGCACTCTGCAATGTGACAACTCAGGCAGCTTAGCAAGGCTCCTAGCTTTAGAAACCCTTTTATGGATGTGAATTTTTCCACCATTCTTTGCTTTCCTTCTTTAAGGGATAGGTCTTGAGGAATACGAAACTAAAAATGAAGTTGCAGGGAAGGCGAGAGGAGGCCGTGTGAGAGAAGTCAGGCTAAATGGGACAGTAATGGTCTCATGGGGTTGGACGTCGATAACTTTCTACAGCAAAGCACTCACATGCATGTAATGAACGCATTAGCAATCTTGACTCGGCTGTTTTCTTTCTCAACTCATCCATTAGGCTCTTTCTAGCATCTAGTCACCTACAGGCAGAGAATCTTCATGGTTTGCTGAAAGATCTAAATGTCAACTTCTTTGCTTTGCTCTCTTTAAGACTTAGAGGTTTGGTCTCTACCCTGGAAACTCATTTTTCCTAAAAGGATTTCAGTGCCTGCCCTAGACTTCCATGTGATAAATCTGACAGATTCCTTACGCACCTTTTCAGCCAACCCAATGGCAGGACTTCCATCTAAAATGGGAAGTCCCCAATCCCCAGATCTGAAAAGCTTACCTGCTCATCTGGGGCAAACGCATGAGTAGAACGAAGATGAAAGGCAGAGGACAGAAAAGGTAATAGATCAGATTCCAGGGACAATAAAAATGCCACACTTTTCAGGTTCCACTCATTCCTTCCAACCAGGGAGGAGATCAGATTTTGCAGGGAGCTCATCATATTCTTCAGAGAGAAAGGGACTCTGAATAGGATGTAATACACTGCAGGAAGGAGCTTCTTGCCCCTGTCTCAGAGGTTCTCCTTACTAAGAGAGAACTAGGACAGCCCTCGTAGCACCTGTCATATATTTTTTTGAACCTATGTCATCCTTTCCCTCAGTTGAATGGGATCTGGCATGTGTAATTCCAACAGGCTTAACCAAAGGGTGCGTTCTTGCTTCACGTGATGCAGTGGGCCACTCTGAGGGGCAGCTCCAGGACCTGTCCTAGGGCCATCCCTGGGCAGGAATCTCCTGGTGTGCTTTCCCCAACACCAAGCTGAACATGATGAAAATGGGCATCAAAGGTAGCTCTGGGCTGGGCACAGTGGCTCATGCCTGTAATTCCAGCACTCTGGGAGGGCGAGGCAGATGGTCACTTGAGGTCAGGAGCTTGAGACCAGCCTGGCCAACATGGTGAAACCCCATCTCTATTAAAAATACAAAAATTAGTTAGGCATGGTGGCGGGCGCCTGTTATCCCAGCTACTTGGGAGGCTGAGGAAGGAGAATCACTTGAACCCGGGAGGGAGAGGTTGCAGTGGGCGAGATCGCGCCACTGTGCTCCAGCCTGGGCAACCAAGTGAGACTGTCTCAAAAAAAAAAAAAAAAAAAAAAAAAAAAAAAGTTAGCTCTGAAGAGGGAAGAAAACACAAAAGAACAAATTGAAGAAAGGAGGTGTTCTTTCTTCAATGATGATGAGCTGGACACCACAACTCATCTGTTTTGGTGATAGTTAGGAGGGAATTGAGGCTTTTATGTAATAAACTTAGTGTTTTGCGACAGCCATCAGCCAGCGTAATCTTACAGCCCCACCTCCTCACTTTTGGAAGGCTGGAAGCTGGAGGCCCACAGGGCTTTCTAGCCTTCCTCTGGCTATCCTAAGGGTGGCCCTAGAACTTGAGACCAGACTACTTTCCTGAGTCAAGGGGTTCTCCTCATAGCCGCCCTGGTTCCCCAGCTGCTTTCCTGGGATCTGAGCCTCCCCAAGGTCCTCCATGGGACCCTAAGTCCACCAGCGACCACACCTGCCTAGAGGCCAATTGCAAGTAAGTCCGTTGATCAAGATTTCTGAGTCCTGACCTTGAGTTTTTCTCTCCCTGTGGAACTCTGGTTGTGGGTGAGTCCACTCTGGCTGCCATACAAAGTCCCACAAACACTGTTGGCATAAACGACAGAAGCGTACCATCCCTGGCTCTGGAGGCAGTACTGAAGGGTCACGCGTCACTTCCTCTCACATTTCTTTTTTTTTTTGAGACGGAGTCTCACTCTGTCACCCAGGCTGGAGTGCAGTGGCTTGATCTCGGCTCACTGCAAGCTCCACCTCCCAGGTTCACGCCATTTTCCTGCCTCAGCCTCCCGAGTAGCTGGGACCACAGGCGCCCACCACCCCGCCCAGCTAATTTTTTTTTTTGTATTTTTAGTAGAGACGGGGTTTCACCGTGTTAGCCAGGATGGTCTCGATCTTCTGACCTTGTGATCCGGCTGTCTCGGCCTCCCAAAGTGCTGGGATTACAGGCATGAGCCACCACGCCCGGCTATTCCTCTCACATTTCAGTGGCATTAACTCAGTCCCAGACTCTGTCTACGTGCGGGAAGATGGGAACACCGTCTATCTATGCACTGAAAAGAGGTGGAGGCCGTGGGGTGACGAGCTCGCGGTCTCCCCAGAACAGCTGCAGGACGTTCCCCACCCCAGCCCCATCCTGGCCGCTCCAGCCATCCTGCTGGCCTGTCTTCAGTTCCTCAGCTCCTGACAGGGATCATCTGACCTCCTGGAGAACATTTCATATACTGAGAGGTGTTTTTTTCTGCATCACTGCCCTGCTTGTCCCATCCAGATATTAATGCCTTGTCTCCACCCACCAGTTTATAAGCTTCTTAGGAGACAAAACTTGCATCCTATTGCACTTTGCTGTGATTCCTACTTATTTTCTAGGGAGTATTAGAGCGCAGATGCCGGTACAGACAGAATAGCTTTACATTCCCCCTTAAGGGAACTGCACCCAGCCCCGTGCTGGACTAAGGGCTTCACGTGACATTAGATTTCTTGGAAATAAAAGAAAATTAAATAACATTTCAGACTGCTGATTAGATCATCACATGCATGTTGATGATCATGAGCACAGCTCCGGGCCAGGCCTTTGGAGAGTGATGCAACATGTAACCAGCCCCAGGTCTTAGCTACAAGTGATAACCGCCCTTAGAATATCAGGGGGCACAGGTGTGGGCTGGGGAGCCCACCAAAGCCTTGTAAAGCCGACTTTGACTGGAAGCTTGGAGTCAGGTGAACGGGAGAGCAGCGCGTGGTGGTGGGGAAGTCTGCAGATTGGGGTCTGAGCCAGGCTGTGAGCCCAGGGGCCCCTGTGCCTCTGCAACGGAGCCTGAGTCTCCTCATTTGTAGAGGGGACCAAGGTCGCACACCTCCCAGGGCTGCTGTAAAGGATAAACAAAATGACATGTACCAAGCATGATGCCATTTCTTTATGTACCATGCACTGTGCTGCCATCCACTAAGCCTGGATCATAATCGAGAGGGGCCAACGGGGCCTCGGACGGCAGGGAGACCAGCTGAGCCAGGGGCAGGTTCCACTCTGTGCGGCAGGTTAGGGAGAGAAGCCTGGGTGGGAGGTTAGGCCGGTGTACGTGGGATTTCAATGCTGGGATGTGCCACGCTGACATGAGAAGTTGTCTACTTTCCAGCTGAGGGCACATGACTAACGCTAGGGTTAGAGGAGCCCGGTGTGGTGACCGGCATCCCTCTCGGACAGGGCCCCTCATGACTCACTCCCCCTCCTACCGGGCACGTCCCCCCCCTTCTCTGGCATGCACGGGACACTGGTCCCTCTCTGTCTGCTGACCTGCAGCTCCCCTTCACTGTCTGCCCCGCAGAGCCCAGCAAGTGAGGAGTTTGTTTGGCTATCACTGTGCCCAGAGTCAGCACTGCCGTTCAGCTTCCTCAGCACCCACTGGGATGGGCACAGCGTTATGTCAGGACATTCGCCATCCCTGGGGCTGGTCCCTGAGCTCCTCCCCCGGGCCTTCTGTCCCTGCACCTCCAGCCAGGATGGCACCCTGGGCTATGACGGACCCTCCGCTACCTCAGTGCCGAAGCCTTGTTTTCATTTCCATCCAAACGTGCTGGCACTGAGCCTCCTCCCTGGTACTGGCAGTGTCGGCTCATGTGACCTGCAGACCAGGATCCATCCTGGTCACCATATGCTGAGACTGTGCAGCTCACAGACAGTCTCCCGCTGCCCTGACTCAGCAAAGCATCTGGGCAGTGTTCTGCTTCCTCGTTTCCTGCAAGTGGGTTTTGTAGCAAAACAAGGTCTGCACTGCTGTCTCTGTGGTCCTAGAAACTCTCCTCTTCCAGATGACAGCTGTGAGTGTCTGCTCGTGTTTGTATGTACGTGAGTGTGTACACACACAGGTGCAGTGATCCTTCAGATGAATATCTTGGGCATATCCCTATATTTTACAGAAATAGACACTCTAGAACTATAATAAGTTGGGAAAGAGCAGGTCAAATTTAGGGTAATGAGCTTCCAGAAGTTATGCTTATATTGTATTTACATGAGTTACCCCAAAATGTGGAAGAGAACCTCAAATGCTGGCCTTAGAACCTCAACTATCTTCCTTTACACAACTATTATTTTATTCCACACTGTTATTTTATTATCTGGTCAAAATAAACAAGAACAGCCTTGATGGAAAAAAAAAAGGAGAAGGGGCGCTTTCACACCCCTGCAGAGTACATTCCCTCGAAGGCTACATGTGGCCACAGGGAGGCCTCCCAGCACCTGGCCACAGCTCGCTCACCTGCCTGCTGCCTGCTGAGCCACAGAAGTACCCTGTCGCCAGGCCCCACAGGGAAAAACAAAAGGTGCTTCAAATTAGATGAGGGGAGCCCCTGAATCCCTCACACTTCAGGGATGGTGTCCCTGAGAGCAGTCCTTAGAGATGATGATGGCGTCACCCTACAGCAGGGCTGTCCTCTTTCATCTGCAAAGGCCCAGAAAGTAAATAGCCTAGGCTCTGCAGCAAACACATGGTTGTCCCTCACAACTGAACTCTGCTGTTGTTGCACCAGCCACTGACAAAGCATGAACACAAACAGCATCTGTGTTCCCACGCGATCCACGATACATGATTTATAAAAACACATTGGGGGCCTGCTCGGCCTGCAGGCTGTGGCTGGCCAATCCATGCCCTATGGGACTCTAAACAACCCAGGATGCGGCACAGTGTAGGCTGCACAGGACATGGCTAGGGAGAGAAATCTGCCTGCTGGGGGGGAACTAAAAGGGAAGGGGAGACGACCTGTGGTGTGTGTTTCTATGCAGGTGTGTGTGTGTGAGAGAGAGAGAGAGAGAGAGAGAATGTGGCAATGTGAAGGGCATTGCAAATATTTTAACAAAAGGTAAAGGATGGGGTGGTAGAGAGAAATCATTGCATGATCTGAAAGGCTTATAGTCTTGTTTCCTCTATGCCTATTAAAGAGCCACACAGCAGCTGGTGCAACGCCAGATAGTGAAGCATCCAGAGAAATTAACTTATTTAAGATGGCAGAAGTGTTCGTGCTGTTGATAAAGACACAGAATATTCTTGTACTGTTTTTCCTTCTAGTTATTATAAATAAACATAGACAAAGGTTTACCCAAATTGGACAGAACAAAAGGGGAGCGTCCTTCCCTTCCTGGGAGTGCCTGTACAATGTTTCCCTATTTTAGCCAGAGACAGCTTAGAGCTGTATGGAACATAAGGCAAATTTAATATAAATTTTCATGAAATCACAGAATATTAAAGCCAAATGCAATTTTAGAGATCATTGGTCAAAAAAAAAATCTTGTTTACCGTTGAGGAAACTTAGAGGTTACACAGTGTATTAGTCCATTTTCATACTGCTATGAAGAAATACTTGAGACTGGGTAATTTATAAAGAAAAAGAGGTTTAATGGACTCACAGTTTCATGTGGCTGAGGGGGCCTCAAAATCACGGCAGAAGGTGAAGGAGGAGCAAAGATACATCTTACATGGCGGCAGGCAAGAGAGCGTGTGCAGGGGAACTCCCCTTTATAAAACCATCAGATCTTGCGAGACTTATTCACTACCACAAGAATAGCATGGGAAAAATCTGCCCCCAGGATTCAAATACCTCCCGCCACGTCCCGCCCATAACACGTGGGGATTATGGGAGCTACAATTCACGATGAGATTTGGGTGGGGACACAGCCAAACTATATGACACGGGTTAAGATCATC
Organism: Homo sapiens; assembly: GCF_000001405.40. Lineage (NCBI taxonomy): Eukaryota > Metazoa > Chordata > Mammalia > Primates > Hominidae > Homo > Homo sapiens. The sequence goes on along the minus strand of NC_000007.14, from coordinate 153,932,799 downwards.
AGGAGGTGGAAACAAAGAAAGTCATGGTAGGTCCTGGATCACAGCCAAGACTTCTGGGATCCCTGTGCAAAGTTCATTGAATGTTATGCATTCTGTATTTTCTGTGGAACAGATTATCTTCTTCCCCAGGTCTGGAGGAAGTTTATCCTCTTCCCCAGGTCTGGAGGAAGTTTAATGAACAATGCCTCTTCAATGCAATCAGATTCTCAATCTTGTTTGTTCTTGCCACACATGAGAGAAGACAATACAGCTCTTGTCCTTTGGCTGTTGCTACTTCTTAGCATTTGTTCAAAAAAGAAAAGGAAGCTCTATCAATCAGAAGACATTTCCCCCTTTGTGGATGCTAGTGGCTTATAGTTCATATAAACAAAATGATAGGCTGGGCACAGTGGCCTACACCTGTAATCCCAGCACTTTGGGAGGCCGAGGAGTGGGTAGATCACCTGAGGTCAGGAGTTTGGGACCACCCTGGTCAACATGGTGAAACCCCGTGTCTACTAAAAATACAAAAATTAGCCAGGCGTGGTGGCACATGCCTATAATCCCAGCTACACAGGAGGCCGAGGCAGGAGAATTGCTTGAACCCGGGAGGTGGAGGTTGTGGTGAGCCAAGATGGCGCCATTGTACTCCAGCCTGGGTGACAGAATGAGATTCTGTTAAAAAAAAAAAAAAAAAGGCACAAAATGATAAATCAAAGCCAAGTAGCAAACAATAAGAGAATAAGATAGAAGATTTACTCTCACCTTTTACAAGTCTCACTTTCGTCATTTGTAAATGATCAAGAGTTCTTGTGCAGCTCTGATCAGAAGACAAATGAGGAGAAGCAGTTTCCTTACAAGTTGTCTAGAAAACAACTGTTCTGCCATGCTATAAATTAGCCGGTGCACGAAGATTGTTTCTGCACTCAGCAGATCCTCAGCTGATCAGGCGATGCAAATTAAGGCACCAAAAGCTGAAAAACAACTGGATGTGTGGCACTTTGATTTTCCACATCTATTATGGACACTTTTAAGAGGCTGTTGAAATACAATGCTTAGGCTACCAGCCATAATACAAGTTCAAGATAAACACATTAGAATTCAATTGTTGTCTGAGGAAAAGTCACTTGTAAAAGGAATTTGTGTACTCAGGGTATCACAGAAATAAGTGCTCAAAGAAAGGGCTGTTTCTGGCAGCCTCGGAGGCCCTCCACGGAATCTGACAGAATAATGAATTTAAATAGTTTTTTTCCCATGAAATACTTTAACTAGTTTTTTTGTTTGTTTTTTCTGTAAGGAACAATATTTTTCTTCCTAGGACATTCACCTGAAGAAAGGTTACATTTACAGCAATGAGCCTGAAATGATAGTAAAACTTGTCTCATTCACCATCATGGTAAGACTGTCAAGCTTCCAGAAGGATGAGAGCTGCCTTAGTGCTAAGACTGTCTCTTGGCAAATGCTCTGATGAATGTTATCCTTTTTTTTTTCTTCTTAAAATGGCAAATCTTTGAAGCACCTCCATTCTGATTTGAAATGCTGAATTATACTTCCCTACAGAAAGTGGGTAACATGATCTTATAGTTCTAGCCTGACTCTTATCCACAGTGATTTTAAATGCTGAGTTTCTGGTAATTAGTCAGGGTTTTTAATTCTATGGGAAAGCTGCAAGTACACAAGTGTGACCATAATCTCCCGAGACTGCTTCTGAAAGGCCAAGAAAGACAGATACATCCCAGTGAGCGTCATTTCCTATACAGGAGTCACCTTGGGATGGAACACAGCTAATCTTAATAATGCTGCTGTTCAAAATATTTTTGGAATTCCTTTTAGAGAATTGCTTTCAGAACTGTGTAAAAAAATTAGTCACATTGTTCTAAAACAAGCTGCGCCTATGAAGCAGAGTTGGCACTGTTGGCTTAGTTGAGAGCCAAGCTCAAGAGATGTTTCCCCAAACCCAGTCCCTCCAGTTGCCACTACTCATTTTTTGCAGATTCCAGATATTCAAGAGACCATGTCCTTACAACATATCCCAGGTCCTGAAAGCAATTCCAAAAGCCAAACTCTGCCTCCCTGAACTGTCTATTCCATGATTTTTGAGCCAATTGCATGAGAGGATTTAGTGAGAGCCAGCAGGTGAACCACTCATGTTTTATGCCTTTAAAAAGTCTTTCGGTAAGAACACAAAGTCTACTCTCTCAGAGATTTTCAAAATACAAAACATTGTTATTAACTGTAGTTGCCATGGTGTGCAGTATGTTAATTAGCCAGATGGAGCCATTACACAGTGTATGTATATTTCAAAACATCATGTTGTACATGAAAAATACACACAATTTTGTCAATTGAAAAATATAATACAATACAATACAATACAATAGGAGCCATATCCTGCTGAGAACATCAGAGGATGCTGGTTTCTAAGTATGGAAGTCACACCATCTTCCATGAAGACAATGACCCACCAGTGACTACCCTGACTACACACTGAGAGAAGGCTGGATATGAATAATGCTAGTGCATCCCATTTTGTTGTAGGAAGGGGTGAAATAAAGGATTGAGCTGATAATTAGCTTTAAGAAGAAAGGCAAAGAAGAGGATGGAAATCTGTCTTCTGTACTCTGTGTCTTGATTCAAGGCTGACGGATGACCCTAAGTGGTTGCTTCACACTGTAGCCAGCAAGAAATGGCAGTGGTTTCATTCCATTAATACCCAGTTAACTCATTTGCACGTGACTAATAATTATCCAAAGCTAGTTTTTCCAAACTTTTCAGAAAATTGAAGCTCTGGAGTCAGACTCACTGATGAATGAATAAAAGAGGATGCAAGGATAGGAACTTTCCCATTAATATTCCCAAATAGCCATCTGCATCATGCTGTGCTCTTTAAAAATGTTCAGTGGCTTCCACGATGTCAGAATAAAACATAATCTCTTTGACTTAGAATTATGGAAAATGAACATAATTCACTTCAAGTAATGCAAATGACTAATACCTTTATGAAAATTCACCCTGTCTGACAATCAAATAAATTACAATTCAAACAGTAATTTAGCAAGAAAAGCTTTTCTTTCAAGGTGGTCATGATTAAAAAATTAGTAATACAGAGAACAGACAAGTGTGCAGTACGGCACTCATTCCCACCCACTGCTGGTGGGAAAGTGCCCTGGGTCTTTCTTCAAAGCCATTTGCAAATATGCTATCAATAGCTTGACAAGTCTGTACTTTCCCCAGGGCTGCTCTCTCCTCTATCTGTATTCACTCCCTTTCTCAGCTCATCCATCTTAAGGCTGTAAACATCATCTAGTTGCTGATGACTCCTAAGAAGATAGCCCAACTTCTAGCCTGCTCTTAAACTCATTTATTCAACTTCCCAGGACATCAAACCCAACATCTGCAAAACAGAAAACTTCAACCCCAAACCGCTTCTCCCACAGCTTTCCCAATCACAACACGAAGCAACTGCATTCTTCCAGTTGCTCAGGCCCAGATCTTGGTCTCATCCTTGGCCCATCCTCATGTCTCATTCCCCACATCTTATCTGACCTGGAATGCTGTTTTTTCATATCTGATCACCACCTCCCTAGTGTGCAGGAACATCAGCCACTTGTTGGCTGAATTAGAGAAACAGCCTCCTGAAGGGTGTCCCTGCTTCAGCCCTTGGTCACCTGTGGTCTCTTCCCAACACAGCAGACAGGGCAGTCCCATCAAACCTTGGTCAGGCCACCTCACTCCTCGACTCAAACCTTCCAGTCACGTCATCTCTCTGGAGGTAAAGCCCAAGTATGTAGGATGCTGTAAGGTGCCAGGGTCTGGCCCTCCGCGCTCTCTCTGACCTCTCCCACCAAGATCTCCCATGTTTATTCCGTTACCTTTCTCTGAATCGACGTGCGGGGAGACTTCCCGTCCAGGGTCTCCACACGAGTTGCTCCCTCGGCATGGACTCTTGTCCACTTGGCTATCCTGTCTCTCAACTATACCCTTCTAATTAGGTTTTGAAATATATAAGTTAAAGGCCTAGGAAAAAAATACAGCACAAAATCAATGTAAGTCTGCTATGGTGCAAATGTCTGTGTCCCCCAAAATTTGTACCTTGAAATGTAATCACCAACGTGATGGTATTAAAAGGTGGGGCCTTCCAGGATGATCAGGCTGTGGAGGTGGAGATGTCATAATGGGATTGTTGCCCTGATAAAAGAGCCCAAAGGATCTTCTTCGTCCCCTGTACCATGTGAAGACATAGCAAGAAGTCACCCTCTTTGACTCAGAAAAGTGGCCCTCGTGGGCGCAATGGCTCCCACCTGTAATGCCAGTGCTTTGGGAGGCTGAGGTGGGCAGATCACCTGAGGTTGGGAGTTCAAGACCAGCCTGGCCAACATGGTGAAACTCTGTCTCTACCAAAAAAAAAAAAAAAAAAAAAAAAATGAAAGAAAAGAAAAAAATTAGCCAGGTATGGTGGTGCACGCCTGTAATCCCAGCTACTTGGGAGGCTAAGGCAGGAGAATCACTTGAACTTGGGAGACGGAGGTTGCAGTGAGCCAAGATCGTGCCACTGAACTCCAGCCTGGGCAGCAGCATGAAACTCCATCTCAAAAAAAAAAAAGAAAAAAAGAAAAGAAAACTGGCCCTCAGTAGACACCAAATCTATTGGCACCTTGATCTTGGACTTCCAGCTTCCAGAACTGTGAGAAATAAATTTCTGCTGTTTTTAAGCTACCCAGTGTATGATATCTTTTATTTAATTAATTGTTATTGTTAATGTTATACCATTCAACTGGTTGTGGCAGCATCTGGGAGACAGCGCAAGAGAAAGAGAGGCGGAGGGTCCCTTGAGTGATTTCCAAGTTTCAGACCTCTGAACCCATGGTCTTCAGAAGCTATTCTTTTGGCAATTATCATGCTTTTAAGTGTGCACTGATGTTTACTGTTTTTAATAAAGGATACTACAAAGGATACTGATGAACACCAAAGGAAGAGATGGGTAGGGCAAGGTATCCATGCCTTACCTGAAAGCCCCACCCTCCAGGAGCCCCCATCGTTTAGCTATCCAGAAGATCCATGGCATTTTAATAGCAGCCCTGAGGGACTAAGACAAAGTCTTCCTAGGGTGGTTGGATTATACTCTTAGCACCTTTTCTATCTTCTCCATATTTTCTAACTCATCCACAATAAAAATGTATAAGAACACAATCACTTTTAAGACGACATGATGTGCTTCTTGTTCATACACTGAGTAATTTAGTTGGCCATATCTTCTGGGCATCCAACCTTCCCAGTAGATGTTACAATGGATATCACTGAAGTAGAAGCCATGGTTTCATTTATGACACACACAATTCCATACAGTATATGTATATTGTAACAGAGATGAATTAAAGGGTGTCCACCAAAATATTAAAGCTGATATATCACATTTTACAAAGTATACATGTATCACAACATCACATTGTACCCCACAGATATCTACAATTATTTTTATTTTTATGATTTATTTACTCATTGATTTTAGAGAATGGGTCTTGCTCTGTCGCCCAGGCTAGAGTGCAGTGGCACGACCACAGCTCACTGCAGACTCGAACTCCGGCACTCAAGTGATCCTCCCACCTCAGCCTTCTGAGTAGTTAGAGCTACAGGAGTACAGCACCACGCCCAGCCAACTTGTCAATATTTTTTAGAGACACGGTCTAACTCTGTTGCCCAGATTGGTCTCAAACTCCTGGCCTCAAGCAATCCTCCTGCCTTCGTCTTCCAAAGTGATTACAGGCATAAGTCACCATGCCCAGCCAATTATTACTTTCAGTAAAAAAAAAAAAAAATTTAACTTAAAAAATAAATATCAGCATGACAGAATTTCAGGTAAACTTTTACTTTGGAATTTCTTACAATGAATGTGTAGGTGTGTGTATACATTTTCCACAACAATAATTTAAAATACGTAGATGTTTTCTGTAAGATAAAAGAATATACTCAGAAAACATTTTGGTAACAAGTAGTATTTTTTTTTTTCTTTTTTTTACAAATCTGTATTTTTCTGGGGGAACCAGGAGCAGCTGTCTGTTTATTTCATGGAATGCTACATAGGGAGAAATTCTAATCGGCAAGTGATTTCTCTGATCACTGTCCATGTAACAACCAGTTTTTGTTACAAAGACACATTCTTGGGTTCTTTGCATCATAGGGAGATCAGGGAGATAAAATGTGTAGCTAACCTTTTAGACTTCATTCCCCCTTCCTTCAAGTAACAGTCACCTATCAACTTCCATCACACCTCTTACCTTCTGACACCTGTACCATCTAAATAAAACACACCCATCTTCCAAAAGCACTCTCTACAAATCAAGTGGAGGAAAGTCCAGGCCCTTGGGAGACAAAGGCATGAGGGCTGACATCCTCTTTCCTGTAACGAATTCACAGCATCCCTGTCTCCTTGTAATACAGCAATTCTCTTAGGAGTTAGGCTTCAAAATTGTTTTCTCCTTTTTGCTTTCCTAATAGGATAGAAATGTGATTTCAAGAATTTTGTAATCACATTTCACAAATTAATGAGACAATTTAAACTTCGATGTGATTTACTTGTATATATGTGCAAAACAGACTCAAAGATAGAAAGGTGTACATGATCGGTGACAGGTAACAGATGAGATAAGGATGGAACAACCATGAATCAGGACTGGGAATGTCAACTACCTTAGAAGAATGACTCAGGTGCCCCATCAATTCTTGTTGAATGAACAGATCTCTGAGTTCACCTGGAGAGAGGACGTGGAAGGATGCTGTGGTGAACTGTTCCCTAACGGGTGTGAGGAGTGTCCCTGAGGAACTACAGGGACTGCAGGTACCTGCTGTGGTCGGCAGGAATCATCAAGGGATGCCATCACCCTCACCCTCCTCATGCCATCACAGGAGTTCCTACGATGTAACTGGAAATATACCAGACACTCACATTGTGGAGCCAAAGTAAAAATCAACAGTTACCCCTGGTGAGTGGGCACTTTAGAGTTTGTAGAAACAGAGGCTCAGAAAGATTAGGGAAGCCACTTTGGGTCACACTGCCAGGCTGGACCTTCCACCATGTGGGATGATCTCCGTTCATCCAAACCTTGGGGACCCTCTACCATGTGGGATGATCTCCCTTCATCAGAACCTCAGGGACCCTCCACCATGTGGGATGATCTCCCTTTATCAGAACCTCAGGGACCTTCTACCATGCAGGATGATCTCCCATTATCAGAACTGCAGAGACCCTCCACCATATGGAGTGGTCTCCCCTCATCAGAACCTCGGGGACCCTCCACCATGCAGGATGATCTCCCCTCATCAGAACCACAGGGACCCTCGATCATGCAGGATATCCCTTCATCAGAACCTCGGGGACCTTCCACCATGCAGGATGATCTCCCCTCATCAGAACCTCAGGGACCCTCCACGATGCGGGATGATCTCCCTTCATCAGAACTGCAGGGACCCTCAACCATGCAGGATGATCTCTCTTCATCAGAACCTCGGGGACCCTCCACCATGCGGGATGATCTCCCTTCATCAGAACCTTGGGGACCTTCCACCATGCAGATAGTCTCCCTTCATCAGAATCTTGGGGACCTTCTACTATGCGGATGGTCTCCCTTCATCAGAACCTCAGACTTGACTCAGAAGGTCCTGGACCAGCCTTCTTAGGGAATCAGAGTATACTCTGAGCTTGTGGTTAATGGGCTCCTTCTCTCCTCACCCTCAGCCCTGCTCCACAGCTTCCATCATCCACACTTTGGGTCGATCAGCAGGCTTCTGACCTGGCCCTGGAAGACCCACAGCCCTGAAGTACAATGTCAACAACCAGACCAAGTGTAGCTAGGTAGGTGACACTGACACCAATGTCCTCGAGTCCAGATCTTTCTTGACTGCTGCGCAACAAGCTTACAGAAACCATGCCTCCAAACACTGGCAGTCAGGACTCTGACTTCTCCATGGACCCCTGCTACCCCCTGAACCAACGGAGCACTTGGGCTGCTGCTCTAAGCCATGTAGCCTGGCTTGTGGGCACACACAACGTCCTGCAACACCTGGGACTCAGGAACCCTCTGCTCTTTCAATCTGGCCATCAATGACTCAGATCAACAACAAGGCAGATGGTCTGTTGCTTACTGGCATCAAAGACCAACCGCCACGACCACAGTTGTTCTCCTACTTCTCAAAGCACTGATCTAAAAGCAGATCCACATTCCCAGTGCTGTGATCCAGAAAGCAGAAGGAAAGCTCTAGAAAAGGGGAGAGTTAAAAGATTGAATAAGATCTCCCAGAAGGTGGGAAGGCTGGCCACAGGGAGGGAGCGATGGTTTAATAACAACTTTCATCATCATTGTCATCATCATCAAACACCAATATCAATTCATTTAAACCTCCTCAAAACCCTCAATGAGGCCGGGCACAGTGGCTCACGCCTGTAATCCCAGCACTTTGGGGAGGCTGAGGCAGGCAGATCACAAGGTCAGGAGATCGAGACCATCCTGGCCAAAATGGTGAAACCTCGTCTCTACTAAAATACAAAAAATTAGTTGAGCGTGGTGACATGTGCCTATAATCCCAGCTACTCGGGAGGCTGAGGCAGGAGAATCGCTTGAACTCAGGAGGCGGAGATCACAGGGATCGCGCCATTGCACTCCAGCCTGGTGACAGAGCAAGACTCCGTCTCGAAAAAAAAAAAAAAATCCTCAATAATACACATTACTGTTATTTTATGTTACACATATAAGGAAACTAACAGAGAGACTGCATAACCAGCTCAGGGTTACCCAGCTAGAAAATGACTGTAGACACGTATGTTCATGGATTTGAAAAGCAGTTCTTGAGTCTTGTGTGCCTGGTGATATTTAAACCATAGCATGGCTGAGTTAGTATTTATTTTCTAGTATTATCCTTTTGTATCCCATACTTGATATTTAAAGGGATCCACCGATGACTAAATGAGCATTGTGAGGGTGAGATACAAAGATGTAACCAGGGTGACTCCTTCAGATCCTCCCCGCTAAGATGAAGGAATCTTCTTTTTTTTTTTTTTTTTTTTTTGAGATGGAGTCTCGCTCTGTTGCCCAGGCTGGAGTGCAGTGGCACGATCTCAGCTCACTGCAAGCTGTGCCTCCTGGGTTCACGCCATTCTTCTGCCTCAGCCTCCCAAGTAGCTGGGACTACAGGTGCCCGCCACCATGCCCGGCTAATTTTTTGTATTTTTAGTAGAGACGAGGTTTCACCATATTAGCCAGGATGGTCTCGATCTCCTGACCTCATGATCTGCCCGCCTTGGCCTCCCAAAGTGCTGGGACTACAGGCATGAGCCACCACGCCGGGCCAAGATGAAGGAACCTTCTATTCATGAACACTGCCTCCTTGGACTTCTGAACTTCCTAAGAAAGGGGAAATTTAATCCATCACTCCACATGGTTGTCTGCAAGTTCCACTTCAAATACTTAGCATGCAGGATAGAAAATACGTGCACATACACATACCATAATAAACCTGGCATTAGGCATCTTAATGCCATGGATGTTATGTTCACCTTGCCCTTTGCCTTAGGAAACAGGTCTTTCTAACAGGCAATAATTTTCAACATAAAGAGACTGGGATTCTAAGGATGGTCTCCTAGGTGTTCAGTGCCTGCTTAATCTCAAATCCTTCTATTCCTCTTTCCCGCTAGGACGCCCACTGCCTGGCTGTTTGGCGGCAGCTGGTTTCACCATTCCATCCTTGCTTTCTGGGGATTGAAGGTCCAAGCATTGCATTTGCTTCTGCAAATCACTCACTACGTGGCTCTGGCCATTTTGAGCTGCAAACTTTGGGTTTATTAAAAATGATCAAAGAGTCCCAACCCATTTGGAATCACTGATGTCAGGGACTGCAGGTGTCTGCGTTGCCTTTTCTGAAATGGGCCAGCTTTGGATGTCCCTTTTTTGATTGTTGTCCAAAGACTGGATGTCAGACACGTCAGAGTGCTGGGGGCTCGCTAAGGCCTCTCCTTAAACCCAGCGTGGGCTATTCAGGATAGAACCCTTTCTCTCCTGATGCAAGGTGGTATTTTTGCCATGGTAAATGTTCTTTTACCACATTTCATCAAATCTAAGAGATTATTGATTGTAATATGTAACACTGTTTTATGGACCACTTTATAAAGAAAAATTACTCCCAATTAAAATATGGTATACCATTATTTATAAGATATACAATGATATCAGAGACATAAAAATATGTATAGAATTTGTTTCTCAGACCTGGAGAAATGCAGTTAAGCTGGTGACAGGTGGCTGAGATTATCATTTTGCTTCATCTTGTTTTTAGAGACAAGGTCTCACTCTGTCACCCAGGCTGGAGTACAGTGGTGCTACCACGGCTCACTGCAGCCTTGACCTCCCAGGCTCAGGTGATCCTCCTACCTTAGCCTCCCAAGCAGCTGGGAATACAAAAGCATGCCACTATGCCCAGCTAATCTGAATTTTTTATAGAGACGGGGTCTCACTATGTTGCCCAGCCTGGTCTCAGACTCCTGGACTCAAGCAATCTGCCTGCCTCAGCCTCCCAAAGTGCTAGGATTACAGGCATCAGCCACCTCACCCAGCCAATTATTCTTTTTATTTTAAACAAAGAAAAGTACACCCACTTGGGTTTACAGTTTGTATGAGCGTGGGAAGTGTTTCTACCTTGCCATCGAGTCATCATCACTGACTCTACACACCGTGTCCTTACCTCTAGACTCCCACTCAGGACCGTATCGGTTGAACCAGATCAATAGTGCCCTTGGGTTGCTGGGCCTGACGTGCAAAGCCGTCGGCTCTGATAGGCTTCCTGTTCCCATGCAGTAGGCAGAGAGGCAGGCCCTGGTGAGACTTTGCTTTGCAGCACTCTCCAAAATGCACAGCTGGGTGTGTCAGCTTGGCCAGAGCCTGCTCCTCAGACCCAGCTAACTTTCTCGCCTTGCAGATACTTTCAAGTTTGCTTGAATCAAAATTTAGACTTGGGGGTTGAGAAGAAACAGCGGAAGGTAAGACACTCTACTAAGTCTGGAGACCTAAGTGATGTGTCCTAATCCAGCATTTTATTTAAAGGGCCATTATGTACCTGTTCAGCTACTGATAAAGTAGCACACTTTAATTCTCACTCTGCTATTACTCACTGTGTGCAGAGCTTGCTGGAGATGAAAACAGTCAGGTATATTTAGGCTGTGAACAATGTGTTCCCTCTTTACAGTGGCACTGTGGCTGGCCTTGGGCAGACACGTCACACACTTTACTGGATCAAACGGTGTCAGCCTTGGCCTTGATTGATTTCTCTACCCTCATTTTCTTTTACTCAAAAATGTTATGAGTTATGTGCTTTATTCATTTTAATTCCACTGAATTGGATGTATTTTGTAAGCAGCATTTAATAGTTTTTGGAACAATGTGACAAGATAACATCATTTTAAATAAATATAAACTGAAGATCCTAATACTTAAGATGTCTGTTATCAGTCAGGCTGGGCTGAGTTATGCTGTGATAACAATCAATTCCAGAACCCTAGAGGCCTGAGGAGGAGAGGCTTGCTCCCGGCTCTTGCCGAGCATCCACCAAGGGTACCCTGCTCTGTGTCTTCTTCCCTCTGGGATCCAGGCTGACAGCACAGCCTGTACCTAAAATACATGCTGATCTAACAGCAGAAAAAGAGAGACACAGCCACAAGTGGCTCCTAACACTCGCTTTCTCCTACATATCATTGGCCAGGGAAAGTCATGTGGCCAGATCTTCTCGCTATAGAGCAAGGAATTCAATAATTGTGAAAGATAAATACAACCTCCCACAGAACTTCAGGATCGTGTGGGTAGATGCCCTTATTTAAGCCTTCTGAGACTTAGTATTTTAATCTAGGAAGTGACTTATTTGGTGCATGATGATAGTGAAATTGGTGACACATTTGTATTAATATTAATAACGTGTAAGAAAGGGCCAGGCGCGGTGGCTCACGCCTGTAATCCCAGCACTTTGGGAGGCTGAGGTGGGCAGATCATGAGGTCAGGAGTTCGAGACCAGCCTGGCCAACATGGTGAAACCCCATCTCTGCTAAAAATACAAAAATTAGCCAGGCATGGTGGCACACGTTTGTAATCCCAGCTACTCAGGAGGCTAAGGTAGGAGAACAGCTTGAACCCAGGAGGCGGAGGTTGCAGTGAGCCGAGATCCCGCCACTGCACTCCAGCCTGGGACAGAGTGAGACTCCATCTCAAAAAAAAAAAAAAAAAGAGAGAGATAAAAGAAAAAGGTTGACTACCTACACAGGAAGTAAGTGAAGGGTCCACCAGCTGGGAGTTCTACAACCCATTCTGGAACAGTACCTCCAGCAACCTTTCTCGCTGCTTTGAGGCCTCTTGTCTTTCTCTCTTTCTTCCTTTTAGATCAGTTCTATTAATGATTGCAACATTGTTGCCACACAGCATCGCAAAAGATTCTTTAGCACTTTGGATAGCAAGCCAGTTGCTTGTCGGTTCTCTCAGCCAATTCTGGGAAGACCCGGACACAGGAAAGAACTTTGCTTCAAGGGAAGTTATAAAAACAAAAACAGAAATTATTAACCCAGTGACATGTCTGCAGGTCACCCCCTCGACTTTCAGGGAAGCTAATTATCAGCAATCTACAACAGCCTGTTGGCTAGATCCTGCCTGGCATGGAACAGTTTTCTGTCAACAGCAGCAAGTATGTGGATTTCATGTTCTTTGCATTACCTCACTTGATTTCCATGAGGTACATTTGAATCATTACTACTGCAGGACATTTTGGCCTCAGGCAGAAGTAAAACTAAATCAATAAGCTCATGCTACCTCCAGGTACTATTACTATTAGTGACGTTACTTCCTGGGCAGGTGTGTCTAGGACCTGAAAAGTCAATCCATTCTCTGGCCAACTTTATAATAATCTCAATGAACAAGCAACTCACATTTGTAATAAATACAATTACATCCACCCCACTCCTATTTGATTTCCCCAATCTAAAATACATTAAACAGTAGCTCATAAATCAGACTGAATAATTTAACGGAGAAATTCATGAAACAGAGGCCGAAGCTTTCATTTTTTAGAAGTATTTGACACAATATTACATGCATGTTGTTCTCTGTGCTTATAAAACAGACCTATTGGGGCTAATTCTTATTTCCCCCTGACTCCTGGCCTCTGCAGTTCATCCACCTGAGTTTGTATTTCTTGGATTAACGTGTACTTTTTCTTATCCTCTGTAAATTACCATTTCTGCTTTCCTACATGAGGAAGTCCTCTATTAAACACATTTTTTTTCATCAAAGTAGACAACCATTCAACTTAGGCAGAGGTAGAGTTTAGTGTAGCACTGAATATGTGCAAACTGGTGTTTAAGGACTCACATGCATGAGGCCAAGAATGAGCCTGGGTTCCTCCTGGAACCAGCTTTCCTTCAGGCCCTCTGGTCTTGTCCCCAGCCAGGCATTCGGACGATGAATGCACTGGTGCCCCAGGAGGCTGCATGAGAGTTTGCTAGGGGAAAGGCATAACCCAATCTTCCACTGGTGCAAGGATGACATAGAGTCAGATCACCTAGCACCTGGATGACACCGAGTGTCCTCAGGTAGCAAATTCTCCATCTGCTGGGCTCACTGCTTTCTCACCAATTACAAACAGTTCAAGAATAAGGCCAAGGAAATCCAGCTGTGGTTTACAACCCATTCTCAAGCCATGCATTCAACTGTTTTGAATGGGGTACAGCATGAGGAACAGACATTCTTACTCCACTGTACCGAGGCACACAGGATAGTTCTGATTTTATTACTCAAATTTTCTTTTTTTTTTTTTTTTTTTGAGACAGAGTCTTGCTCTGTCACCCAGACTGGAGTGCAGTGGCATGATCTCGGCTCACTGCAACCTCTGCCTCCCAGGTTCAAGCAATTCTCATGCCTCAGCCTCCCAAGTAGCTGGAATTACAGGCATGCACCACCATGCCCAGCTAATTTTTGTATTTTAGTAGAGACGGGGTTTCACCATGTTGGCCAGGTTGATCCTGAACTCCTGGCCTCAAGTGATCTGCCCAGGTGGGCCTCTCAAAGTGCTGGGATTACAGGCTTGAGCCACCATGCCCGGCTGTAATTTCTAAGAAAAGCAATGATCTGTAGTGGTCTGCTTGGCTACACAGAGATGATATCACCAGTAGTGAGAGAGACAGAGAGAGAGAGAGAGAGAGAGAGAGAGAGAGAGAGAGAGAGAGAGAGAGAGACTGTGTGTGTGTGTGTGTGTGTGTGTGTGTGTGTGTGTGTGTTTTAATTACCTCTTCTTTTTGCCTTGGCAGAAAAAGAGAGAGAGAGAGAGAGAGAGAGTGTGTGTGTGTGTGTGTGTGTGTGTGTGTGTGTGTGTGTTTTAATTAACTCTTCTTTTTGCCTTGGCAGAAATAGTCAAACTGACTAACGTATTCAATCATTTTAAAATAGCAAAAGATATCCAACTGAAAAAGGTCTATAAACACATGATTTCTGCAGCTAATAATAAGGAATGAATAAGAAATCTTCAATGTGCAATTTTCAATTATATTTCACTCTATTTTAAGTGCCAGTTTCACAGCAGTCAAAGTGTCCTAGGGTCATGTTGTAGAGACCAATAAGACGCCATCATTTATGACTCGGTTATTTCCAGAAAATGGTATCTGACCCAATAGCTTTGGGAATAAATGTGCCATGTGGTAGTTAAAGTACCAGTTCAGCTCACGAGGTGTGCATGTGTCACATATAGCATGTTCTTATTTGTTTAAAACTAACAATCACTGTATCAGACACACATTCTACATCCCCCAGGATGACAGAAAACATCCTAAATAATCAAGTAAACCAATTATAAGGAAATCTGTAATTTTCTGAATTGGGTAGCTAAGGATATTAACACTGAGGAGATCAAATCTTTTTAGAAAAGTCTCTGAAACATTTTCTTTCATTTTCCCATGAATGGAAAGATAAAAGTAATGTATACTTTTGCTAGGACTTCAGTCTGATGCAATTTGAAATAATGGAAATACGAAATGTCAAAACAAAAATACCTTTTAAAAACAGGTACCTATCCACCCTTCGCATGTCACACTAGAATAACCACATATAATCCACGAAATTTGAATCTTCGAGAAGGTGCTGTAAACGTTTGTTTTTAAAGAAGGTCCTTCATTTCTGTCTTTCCAGAGCCTTCAGACCACTTTCAATTACTGAAAGGGAATCTTAGCGTCTGTAAGAGAGAGAAATGTGGCAGCAACTTCCTGAGAGTCTCCACGCCTTCACAAGTTTATAAACCCTCAGTGGCCAGGGAAGAGGGAACAGCGGGAGGAGGTAAACTGCCACCAGCATGGGCCAGACCCAATCTGCTTCATGGAGGATATCCAGGTTTTAACACTGCCCAAGTTCATCTGCATTTCTTGCTATCTGTACAGTCCCATACTGGATCAATTTAAATGCTGGAAAAACGTAGCAAAGAGGACATTTGTTCTCCAAGCAGGCCTCTGCTCCCAGAATATATTCCCACAAGCCAACTGTGATAGGCACTGTGTCCTAATCCCTACAGACTGAGGGGCAGGAAGTGCTCATCTCTGGGGAAACCTGCATTGCTTGGCCCTGTCTGGTTCATCACACTGTAGACCCTATAAGAACTTGCTACTTAAAGCACAGCTCACAGATGCAGCATCCACATCTCTCTGGAGTTTGTTAGAAATGCAGAATCCCAGGTCCCACCCCAGACCCACTGAATGGAATCTACATTTTCACAAGATTTTCAGATGATCCATATGAGTGTGCGAGTGTGAAAAGCAAAGCTCTGGGACACACTCGCTCAATTGTGACAACACTAATCAGCGATGCTCTATTCACAAATTACTTTTACACACAACAATCATGTTGGAACAAGCCATTGAGGTAAGTAATAGATACAAATAAGAATAGAAAACTCACCAGAAATTCTTCTTTAAAATACACACACAGAGTAATAAAATTTATAAAATAAATGGCAAAGAAATACATTAATTCCTGTTTATAGGTTTGAATGTAAGCACCAGTGTGACCCAAATGTTTCCTAGTCCTTAAGGATATGTAAAAATAAAAAAGAAGGCCGGGTGCAGTAGCTCACGCTTGTAATCCCAGCACTTTGGGAGGCCGAGGCGGGCAGATCATGAGGTCAGGAGTTCGAGACCAGCCTAGCCAACACAGTGAAACCCCGTTTCTACTAAAAATACAAAAATTAGCTGGGCGTGATGGTGGGCACCTGTAATCCTACCTACTCGGGAGGCTGAGGCAGAATTGCTTGAACCTGGGAGGCAGAGGTTGCAGTGAGCCGAGATCGTGCCACTGCACTCCAGTCTGGGTGACAGAGATAGACTTCGAAGAGGGGAGGGGAGGGGAGGAGAGAGGAGGGGAGGAGAGGGGAGGGGAGGAGAGGGGAGGAGATAGGAGGGGACAGGAGGGAAGGGGAGATAGGGGAAGAAAATGTGACTGACTGTTCAGGCCCCACTTTCTCCAAGAACATGTTATTTAAAAATCAGAGGGCCGGGCACAGTGGCTCACGCCTGTAATCCCAGCACTTTGTGAGGCCAAGGTGGGAGGATCAAGAGGTCAGGAGATCGAGACTATCCTGGCTAACATGGTGAAACCCCATCTCTACTAAAAATACAAAAAAAAAAACATTAGCCAGGCGCAGTGGCGGGCGCCTGTAGTCCCAGCTACTCGGGAGGCTGAGGCAGGAGAATGGCGTGAACCTGGGAGGCAGAGCTTGCAGTGAGCAGAGATCGCGCCACTGCACTCCAGCCTGGGCGACAGAGCGAGACTCTGTCTCGAAAATAAATAAATAAATAAATAAATAAATAAATAAATAAAAATCAGAGGAGCTATTTATCTTAGTGTGTCCACCACTGGCCCAGGTTGGGTTTACTAACTTTGCTTTCTCAGATTCTGAAGTATTAATCCTTTAAGACATGTCTAAACATATTATTTATTTTGCCTGTAGCTTGAAATGCTGATTCATTGTCTCTCTACCAAAAATACAAAGAGTAGCATCAGAACCTTTCACACCCATGCAGCATGGGATAAGCAAGTCACAGGAGCAGAAGGTGACTTTCTGTACCCCTGGTGCCATTCTAGCAACCAGCATCTCTGCCCCCAGTGGTAGGGGCCACTGCTACCCTTGGTTTGTTTTCACTTCACATGGGAGTGACTGTCCTCAAAGGCCTCCAGAGCTATCTCGTCTCTTTAATTCTGATCCTGATTCTCTCTGTTTCTACCAATTTCACTTCGGTGTTAGAAAGAAGCAAACTATTCTTAAAAAGATGATCTTGCTAAAACTATGGTCATTCAAATGTGAGTAGGACATGGCCCTAGGAAACCTCGTTCCATTTCATGAGCTTATTTGCATGTGGATCTTCTTGGAGTGGCAAGTTGCACCATGATCCAGAGGCAATGAGTGGGAGACAGCTTGGCATGGGGGTAGGAGCTAGGGACTGGGGGTGTCATCACTAGGTTCTTAGATATCCTTTAGGATGCCAGAAAATGGGTCACAAACTTGGTTTCTCTGCTCTGCTACACAGTAGAGTCACTTTGGACAAGTCTGTAGAATGTTTAGAAGGTTCTTTGTTGGGCGGATGGATTTCTGTATATGGAACTGAAATCATAGGGCCACAACTCAAGCTTTAAGCCTGATGTTCTGTGCTTTCCCCTTGACACTCACTTATAAGAAAGAATTCACTTCCTCCAAGAGAAATCACACGTACAGCAGAAAAGATTCTACTGCTGAACAATTAAATCCCTTTAAGGAAAGCTTAAAAAGGGCATTAGCAATTTTAGCTAGACAAGGACAAGATAGTTTGAAATTTTAAATAATAAATAAAAGCAAGAGTTCAGACCCAGTTATGGATGAGACTGGGAGAGATGGGAGAGGTGAGCCCCACAGCATAGACAAAAATCATCTAACACTAGTTTAACATTCGTACACTGTTTTATACTTGACCATGCATGGTCAGAGAGCTTTCTTGGGTGATGCACTCTGGGCCCTGTGGAATAAAGAACAAAGGCAGTCTCAATCTCTCCGAACGCTGATGTCTTTATCTGTAAAGAAGAGGAATCAGTTACTTTTCCAAGAAGATCCACATTCAAAATAAACTCATGAGATGAGATGAAGTTTCCTTTCCAAATGCAGTGAATGTTATAAAATTAGATTGTGGTGATGGTAGCACAACTCTAAATATGCTAAAATTTATTGAACTGTACTCTTAAATATGCTATGCAAACAATAACTCAATAAAGCTATTCCCTCAAAGATAGGGCTGTGGTCAGAAGAAAGCACTTCTGCAATTTAAAAGGGCTCCTACTGAAGAGAAAATTCTTATAAACATACAGCTCCAGGGAAGGTATGGAGAACTGGGGAATTCCTGGACTTAGGATCTGACTTAGCCATATGTATTAGTCTGTTCTCATGCTACTGAAAAAGACATATTTAAGACTGGGGTAATTATACAGAAAAAGAGGTTTTATGAACTCACAGTTCCACATGGCTGGGGAGGGCTCACAATCATGGCAGAAGGCAAAAGGCACGTCTTCCATGGTGGCAGGGAAGACAGAACTTGTGCAGGGAAACTCTGCCCTTATAAAATCATCAGACCTTGTGGGACTTATTCAGTATGACGAGAACAGCATGGGAAAGACCCACCCCCATGATTCAATTACCTCCTGCCAGGTCCCTCCCACAACACGTGGGAATTATGGGAGCTACAATTCAAGATGAGATTTGGGTGGGGATACAGCCAAACCGTTATCACCAAATAAGTCAGTTTTCAGTGAATAGTAAGTGCAAGTATTCTCTCTGGCTATTCAGACAATAGGAGAAGCAAGCAGTTTCTTGGCATTCATAAGAAAGTCCGTATTTCTACTATATAATTTTCAAATGTTAAGAGTTTGGCATTGCATTGAATGAGACCCATCCAGCACCAGCCAAGCCCTCTTCCCCCCCTTACTCAGATGGAGACGTACATGGAACATCATCATGTTCTAGAGCTTTGGAGCATATCTAGTCACACAGTTATGCCAAGGGCTCCTTTGCAAGACTTTAACATGTTTCTAAGGTCTGAAAAAGCAAAGTTTAACAATGGTCCCCAAAACTGGATTCAGTAGTCTTTTACCTTGCCAAAAGAATGCTAAAGGGAGATGTGATGATTTCCTCAAATACTGAATATTTATCAGGGGAAAAAAGGTAAGACAGACTTAGTGCTGGTCCAAACTACAGCTCTAGAACCAAGTCCCAGGGAGGTAGAAATTAAGGTCAGTCATCATATTTTTATCCAATTTTTAGACTTTATGATACTTAAATGCAGCTTACAGAAACATGAAGAAACAATGAATCTCTGTTGTAAGAGTGATTTTATTGTAAGCTAGCTCAAACCAAATAATTGATATGTTGGCCGGGTGCAGTGGCTCACGCCTGTAATCCCAGCACTTTGGGAGGTCATGGTGGGTGATGACTTGAGGTCAGGAGTTTGAGACCTGCTGGCTGACATGGTGATACCCTGTCTCTACTAAAAGTACAAAAATTAGCTGAGCATGGTGGTGCTTGCCTGTAATCCCGGCTACTTAGGAGGCTGAGGCATGAGAATTGCTTGAACCTGGGAGGCAGAGGTTGCAGTGAGTTGAGATCGTGCCACCGCACTCCAGTCTGGGCGACAGAGTGAGATTCCATCTCAAAACTAAATAAAATGTATCACAACTCCTAAACACAGTCCTAAGCATAAAAACCTTTACACACAGTTACTACTGGAGAAGAAACCTCCATCGTTGGTTACCAGCTAACATAATAGGGTTTTCAATAGACACCATGTTCAAAAGCTAGACTGAAGTGGTTTACACTCATCTTTTTTAAGGCTATTTCAGAGGTTTACTATTTTTCTTAAGTTAGAATGGCTGCAAAAGGGCTGATTAGAGTGTTAATGAGGAGGCCAAAGAGATTACCTGCTGTGTGGGGCTCTAACAGCTCAGCTATTCCTCCCTGCAAAACATAGGTGTGTGTGTCTGTGCACGTGTATGATTTGAAAACTTTCATTTTCTCCCCCTTAAGAAAAATTAGAGTGCAACTCCTTAGAGAATACTGAATTTCAGAAATTTCAACATGAGGAAGATTGCCCCTATTTTAATCCTCATCTTTTCCTCTTTCAAGTTCACCCTATTATTCTCAACAACCCACTTCTCTACCTCCATTGCTTTCCTCTTACAAATAGCTCTGTAGGAAATGCTGCAATTTTTAGTATCTCTAAATCCTTCTAAGCACCAAATTCAAAGAGCTATTTTGGCAGCTGAAATGTAATAGGAAAGAGAATTTGGATCCAGGCTGGGGAGGATTCAGCTTTTTGCAGAGGAGTCCTTCAACTAAAGTGCAACTCCAGCTGCATCTCTTTCATGAAGCTCTCGCTCCCTGGGTTCTCTCTGACCTCCCCTCTCAGCTGATGTCAGGCCACCTCCTCTGCATCCTTTGCGACGGTTCCAGTTCGTTTTATTTGAGTGTGTATATGTTTCAATGTTTCAGTAATTTCATCCAATAAAGCTCCTTAAAAACTCATTTGGAGACAAAATCTTTTCTTCTCTGAACTTCTTCAGTGGCAAAAATTACAGGAACTGATATGAAGCCACTGGTAAATTTATTGATTCTACTTAGTGTACATATTTTTTTTTGGCAGAAATTACAATGGGTTTGTGGGATGGTGCCTCAGACACCACTGGGGATGTTACCTAATACATAATAAAGACAATTTGTGTTAGCTTCTTGAATTCTGAAAAGTTCTGAATTCCTAATTTAACCCGAAGTTTTCAGATAAGTACTTCAGGACTTAAACCAGCATAGGCTATACAGCATCTGATTTGGATTATCACCTTACTAAGATTTTAATGGACAGCCATTGCACAAACTATGCTAAACTGGTGCCTTCCGCAAAAAGAAAAAGATGTAACAGGACAATTATTTAAAAATAGGTGACAAAACCTAACAGCATTGTAACTGAATTGGTGATAGTAATATAACACTATATGTATCTCTGTCCTCTCTGTCCTCCTATATTCTCTGCATGCAGAAGCAGTTTCTGTTGACCTCAATTTATTAATCTGCATGTGATAATGTTGCCACTGTGAGCCACACTGACACAGTGATTACCAAATTACCAATCTGTACTATCTTTACTTTGCAATCACTTTCCATTGCAAACTGAGAGAGGAAGGGAGTGGGGAGCCAAAAGTTTTTTATGTATTAAATCACATTCTGAACAACTCCTCCCCCACATTAATTCATTCCATCTAAATTTGGGAGAGCATCTACTAGGGATACAAAAAGTGAACAAGACAAGACAAGATCCCTGAGAGTGAAGCCTACATCCTAGCTGTGGAGACAGATAATAGTCATGCCAACCAATAAACATACACTATGATCTCAGTGAAAGGAAAGGGTGTGGACAGCGAGTGACTGAGCAGGGATCATGATACTGGGGAAGGGGCACAGAGTGTGGACAACGATTTGAGCATGAAGGTCTACAGGAAGAGCACTCTGCAAAGAGCAAGCCAACATCTGGGTGAAGACGGTTTCAGGGAAGGAGAAGCAGGTGCAAAGGAGCTGGGACTCAATAAGACTCAATGTGCCCCTGAGACCCCAGCAAGGCTAGGGGTCAGGCTGGAGGCCTCTACATCAGCCAGCCAGTGTCTCAGTAAGAAATATGGTTTTATCCTAGCAGAGTGCA
Source organism: Homo sapiens (assembly GCF_000001405.40). Classification (NCBI taxonomy): domain Eukaryota; kingdom Metazoa; phylum Chordata; class Mammalia; order Primates; family Hominidae; genus Homo; species Homo sapiens. Next base: position 153,911,057 of record NC_000007.14, on the reverse strand, counting down.
GAGCTAGTGAGTGAAGTAATCTGACCCGTGTCTAAAACGATCACTCTGGACTCATAATTTGTCTCTGAGGACACATGATGTGTCTCTGACCCAAAGTGGAAGCAGGGAAGCCAAGTAAGAGTCCACTTGCAGTCCAGGTAGGAGAGGATGATGGCACTGACTGAACTGGGACCCCTGAGGGAGGGGAGACGTGGTCAGATGTGATGCATCTGAAACCCGAGCTGCTTGTTGATGTGGGGATTGGCTGTGAGCTATGAAGTGAGAACGAAACCAAAGGTCGCTGCAAGCTTCAGAGCCTGAATATTAGGATGAACAATGGTTCTGTGCACCAAGGTCAGGAAGCCCAGGGAGAAAGGGGTGGAAGAGGTAAATCCAGTTCTGTTTTGGCTCTGCTGGTTTTTATGACCCATTAGGCACGTGAGAGGTGAAGTCTGGGGGAAATTTGGTGTAAAAGCCTAAAGCTCAGAGGCTGACATGCAAATTTAGAAGTCTTCAGAACACAGATTCTGCTTAAAGCTATGTAGATGAATGAGGCCATCTAGGAAAAGGCAGAAGAATGATGCTTGAGCCCTGGGCTGGAGAGGCAGCCAGGAAAAGGAAATAAGCAGCCCCTGAGATGGAGGGAAGGGTGACCTGGAAGCTCAATAAAGAAAGTGGTCAAAATTATCTGGGTGTGGGCTCGTGCCTATAGTCCCAGCTACTCAGGGGTCTGAGGCAGGAGAAGTGCTTGAACGCAGGAGGCAGAGGTTGCAGTGAGCCGAGATTGCACCACTGCACTCCAGCCTGTGTGACAGAGCGAGACTCCATCTCAAAAAAAAAAAAAGAAAGAAAGAAAGTGGTCAAAAAAGTGCTGCCAGGCCCTGGAAGGGTGAAAATGGCCTCCTTCCACTCTTGGAAGTTCCTTGGCTGGGCTACAAATTAAATTGACTTAAGACAGATTAACAAGAGAAAAAGTATACATGTGTATTACATTCACGGAGCATCACATGAAAGAAAAATGAATACTCGAAACCCAGAGACATCCGAAAGCTTATATACCCTCTCCATAGGAGAGAGAGGGTGGATGTAGGCAACTTAGGGGAGAGTAAATGATTTCTAGGGCGGGTGAATGGCCCCTTAGCAGGACAGAAGACAGCCTGAGACAAAACCTGTCTGGGTGCAGTGTCAGCTCCAATATCCTCTCCTGTGATATCAGCCAGCAGTCCCTGGTTGATGAAGTTCTAGGGAGGGGATTCATGACAATTGTGTCCCCTCTGGAGGATCCGTCTGGTAGGTAAAAGGTACTCAGAAAGCTCCTCTCAGAATTTGCTGTTCACCAAGTGACTGGGGAAGTTTGAAGTCCAAAGCGGTGTATTTTGGGGTGTCATTTCCTGAGCTCCTTCAGAGACTTAAGTGGGAACTGACCACTGAATATAGTGGGAAGGAGGTCGTTTGCGATGTGGACAGGTAATTCTTCCATGCAGTGGTAAGAACCAAAGTCAGATGGGAGATTTTTAAGAGGAAATGAGGAGGAGTTAAAAATAGTGGCATTATAGTATTGAGTTATTCAAGGGAAAGACTGGTAGCTGGAGGGGGACAGGGCATATCAGGGAAGTTGTCTTGTGAGTTTTTAAGTTTTTTTTAAGATAGATAAATGTAAAAGCATGTTTGTCCTCAATAAAAACAACCCAGCAGCATAAACACCAACTGCTCCAAGTGCTCTGGAATGGAAGGGCGTGGCTCTGCTCTACAACAATGCCCAGCCCCTGCTCTGCTGAACAACTGTGCCTCACTGGTGCTAACCTGGGGGTAATTTTCCGCACAAGCTGTTAGAGGTTGCTTCACACCTATCTTCCTGCCCAGAGGTAGAACCTCAGCATGCCCATTCAAGACCCAAGATCATCCAAGATCTGTAAGTAAATCTTTTGGGGACAAAAATAAAGAATTAAAATAACGATAACATAGAAGGAATGTATTTCTTGATGCTATTTACCAACACATGTATAACCCTTTTAAAGTAAATTTAGGGCTGAGCACAGTGGCTCATGCCTGTAATCCCAGCACTTTGGAAGGCTGAGGCGGGCAGATCATGAGGTTAGGAGTTCGAGACCGGCCTGGCCAATATAGTGAAACCCCATCTCTACTAAAAATACAAAAATTAGCCCGGCATGGTGGCACGTGCCTGTAGTCCCAGGTACTCAGGAGGCTGAGGCAGGAGAATCGCTTGAATCTGGGAGGCGGAGGTTGCAGTGAGCCAAGATTGCACCACTGACTCCAGCCTGGGCGACAGAGCAAGACTCTGTCTCAAAAAAGTAAAAAAATAAAAATAAATTCAACATGTGACCATTCATATTTTCATTCACAAAAAATTAAATGAGTTAACTACTCATTTTATGACAGTGTTCATAAGGAATCGTATAATGAAATCCTTGAAGATGGCAGGTTTTTAGTTCATTTGAAATACATTGAATTAATACAGAAAAATAAATGCCACATTTTCAGTAAAAGAGCTACATAAAATGAGGTCTCTCTCTTATCAGACTGTGTGCCTATAGAAATCATTTAATTACCATTCTTTTTATACTTCCAATAGGTATTTTTTGGTACTCTACTATCTGCATTTTTCTATCCATGTCTACACATGAGTAGTATTAAAATAACCAGACACTGAATCTGTCACTGTTTTCAGGATTTTGTTCCTATCCAGCTGTGGTCTGAATTTTTCCATTTAAAAGGACCATAACTATACTTTTTTGACCAAGTCTGTTGTTTCATCCTCTGTGGGATGAACACATTTCTTAGCCCTTCACAGCATGCATTACCAGAAACAATGACAGACTAGAAACTTCCAAAATTCTTTATAATTCTAATTCCCAACAGGCACATTGAATCCATTCTACAGTACCTTGCACAAGTGGTGATGCACGGAAGCTATAAAGAACTCAATGTTTTGAATTTTGCTGACTCACAATCAGCTAAAAAAGAATTGTATCAATGTATCAATTCTTGTTGTCTTCTTTCAATTAAGCAAAAAAAAAAAAAAAAAAAACTTCCAGCCTCTAAATTTCAATCCAGGGATCTGGGTCTCTCAAATTCATAGAAAACAAATCTGTGTCTATTTCCATAAAAGCCCTCCAGATATCTAAAAACACTTACCATGCCTCCATCCCACATCTCTGCTTTCCTAGTGTATCAGTCAGCGTTCCCAGGAGAAACAGAAGGAATAGGACGTACACATACGTATATAGAAAGATTTATACTAAGGAATGAGCTCATGTGATTATAGGAGCTGGCAAGTCCAAAATGTGGACAGACCAGCAGGCTGGAAACCCAGAGAAAAGTCAATGCTGCAGTTCAAGTCCAGAGGCCATTTGCTGCAGAATTCCCCATTACTCTGGGGAGGTCAGCCTCTTGTTCTATCCAGACCTCCAACTGATTGGACAAGGCCCACTGCACCAGGGAAGGCAATCTGCTTTACTCAAAGTCCACTGATTTAAATGTTCATCTCATCCAAAACACCCTCATGGAAATATCCAGAATGATGTCTCACAACGTACCTGGGCACTGCAGCCCAGCCAAGTGGACACATAAATTTAGCTATCACACCTAGATTAGATAATATCATTTATTCAAATTCCCTTTACCAATACAACTTCTAATCTCTCGTGATCCTGATTCCTCTCTTCTGGATGAATGCCAGTTTGTCTGTCCCTCTTTATATTTGGCATCCAAAACTGAACAATCCAGCTGTGATTTGATCCACACGAAGCCATCAGAATGCTTAGCTCTTGGCCAACAAACACAGGAAAAAATGCTCATCATCACTCATCATCAGAGAAGTGCAAATTAAAGCCACAATGAGATACCATCTTACAGCACTCAGAAAGCCATTATTTGAAAGTCAAAAAAACAACAGATGTTGGCAAGGATGCAGAGAAAAGGGAATGGTTATATACTATTGGTAGAAATGTAAATTAATACAACCTCTATGGGAAACAGTATGGAAATTTCTCAAAGAACTAAAAATGGAACTACACTTTGATCTACCAATAACACTACTGGGTATCTATGCAAAGGAAAATAACTTATTTTATCAAAAAGACATCTGACTTACATGTTTATTGCAGCACTATTCACAACAGCAAAGTCACAGAAGCAATCTAAGCGTCTATTAATGGATGACTGGATTTTTAAAATGTGGTACGTATACACGATGGAATACTACTCGGCCATATGAAAGAATGAAAACTTGTCTTTTCCAGGAGGGGTAGAAATGGAGGCTATTATCCTTAGTGAAATTGCTCGACAACAAAAAGTTAAAAACTGGGGTTGGGAGCAATGGCTCACGCCTGTAATCCTCACACCCTAGCTGCCTGAAGCGGGTGGATTGCTTGAGTCTGAGAGTTTGAGACCAGCCTGGGCAACATGGAGAAACCCTGTCTCTACAAAAAAATACAAAAATTAACTAGACATGGTAAGATGTGCCTGTGGTCCCAGCTACTCAGGAGGCTGAGGTGGGAGGATTACCTGAGCCTGGGAGGCCGAGGCTGCAGCGAGCCAAGATCATGCAAGTGCACCCCAGCCTGGGAGACAGAGTGAGACCCTAACTCAGAAATTAAAAACTTAAAAGCCACACATCCTCACTTATAACTGGGAGTTAAACAATGGATACACAGCAACGTATAGAGTGCAATAATAGACACTGTAGATTCCAAAGATTGGAGGGTGGGAGGAGTGTGGGGTGTCACATACTACCCAGTGGGTACAATGTACAGTCTATGAGCGATGAGCACACAAAAAGCCCAGACTTCACCACCACACACTATATCCGCGTAACACAACTGCACTTGTACCCCTAAATCCATAAGAATAAACTAATTAAAATAAAGAATGCTTAGCTCTTAAGCACTAGCTTTGTCTTAGCTAGTGGTATTTGCCATTAATTTAACAGAAACCTACAATATATCTCTTCTATCTTGAAACAGATTTCTTCATAAAAGCTGAGCTCAAAGGCCCTTTAGTGCTCTTAAAATATATTTCTCTTATAAAGAAAAATACCTGTGTAACACTTCCGTTTGTCTCCTTGGTTTATTTTGTTCCAACTTTTATGTATTCGAAGTCCTTCCACCCAAGCTTCTCTGTTGCTGCTCTTCCTATGGCTTCGCTATTATTAGCTCTAAGTTCTTTGGTGTTTGCTCCCAGGATCAAACCGCAATTCAGTCTCCACTTTTCAAAGCAGATGCTGCTCGTGTGTTGGTCCTCCCCATTGCTCCCACGGACTTCCTTGTTCCCAGCATCTCAAGAGCACATCCTTACACCTAGTCAAGGGAGTCCTCTGCCTTTTCTCAGTGAAGTATCTTCTATTCCTCAGCCTTCACAAGTTATAGATACCCAGGTTTCATTTTACATTTCATTTAATTTTTTTTCTCTTTTTAAACACCTCACTGTAGTAGCAAATTGCCAATACATACTCATTTTATCCCCTTTAAGAAATATTTTTAATTATGACTTTTTTATTCTGCCTTGGATTGACAATGTGAGAGAACCATCTTTCTCACCCATTGTATCTTTCACTGAGTCATTCGCTTCGAAACACCTTGTAGAAACATCCAAACCTAGACCACAATGCTTATGTTAATATAATAATAATCTCAATCTGCTTTTGCTGAGGCCCAGAAAATGATAACCCAAAATGAAGGCCTCAGAAGCAAACATTTCTCCCCACTCCCCCTCCTGCTCTTCTGTTTCTGGCCCCTCATTTTCTCCCGAGGCTGGCCAGAGAAACTAGGATCCTCTCTCCCAACATAATCATACGAACCAGATCCTCTGTTCCCAAAAGCCAGCCATAAAACCTAAAACTACTACTCCAACTTTCCCCACCTTTCTGTGTAAAAACTGACCATAACGAAATCACCTGACCTGCCTTGTTCGACTGTGGGTCATAAGACCTCCCATTACAGAGAGGGTGCTGCCCCATGCCCAGAAGGAAGGAATTCTGCAGAGAGGCCAAGAAGAATCTAGATGGGCAGATCTTACTGGGCTTTCCCCCTCACTGTATTGGCATTAGATCAGACCCTTTGTGCCAATCCTATTTCCACACAGCTGTCCACAGTTTGTTGAACCTAAGCATAAAAATGGACAGCTTCCTGTCTATCTTTGCGTCTTCATTCCGAAAGCTCCTGTGTAAAACTGTGATCAAATTTGTAAGCCTCTTCTCCTGTTCACCTGTCTTTCATCAGTTGATTTTCAGTGAACCTTCAGAAGGCAAAGGAGAAGCTTTCCCTTGGCCCTTACAATGTTTTTGCAGAATGCATCAGACTTGTAATTAAATAATTAGCTGTGTAATCACTGTCTATTTCTGCCACTAGAATGGAAGCCCCAAGAAGGAAGGCGAGGACTATATTTTATTCACTGAGGTGTCTCAGTGCCTGCGTATGAGACGTTCAATCAATAGTGAGAATTTAGGAGTAAGGAATAAGGAGGGTCCCATTACTCCTTCAATCATTCAAGAAATGATTAGGGTAAGTGAGATTCAAAGTGCTCACTGTTACCACTATACCCTTTCTGCCCTCCCCCTCAAGCCTTTTAATAAAGTCATTAGAGTTGGAGGAATTCAGGTTTACCCTCTCCCGTTGTCCTGGTCCACACTGATGAGGGTGCTGAGAACAGGGAAAATGCCCCAAGTGTAAAAAATTGAAAGATGGTGCAGGAGAATCAAAGAATAACTGGCCAGGTGTGGTGACTCACGCCTGTAATCCCAGCATTTTGGGAGGCTGAGGCGGGCATATCACTTGAGCTCAGGAGTTCGAGACCAGCCTGGCCAACACAGTGAAACCCCGTCTTTACTAAGAATACAAAAATTAGCCAGGCATAGTGGTGCGTGCCTGTAGTCCCAGCTACTTGGGAGGCTGAGGCAGGAGAATTGCTTGAGCTTGGGAGGTGGAAGCTGCAGTGAGTCAAGATCATGCCACTGCCGTCCAGCTTAGGCAACACAGTGAGAGTCCATCTCAAAAATGACAACAACAACAACAAAAACCTCATCTTAGATCGCTAGTTAGCAAAATACTTTCCCACCTGCTCCTTTGCTTAGGCAACAGAGATACAGGAAACTCTCTGCTTGTCACACATAGGATGATTGACAGTTTTAGAAAACCACCAAAAGTCCCTCAACCCTCAGTCCTCTTCCTGCTTCTGTAGGAGACAGGGCCCAGTTGCTGACTTCCTGGGATACAGAAAGAGAACAAAGTACTGAAAACAATAGCAACACAACCCTTAATCATGGAACCTAAATCCAACAACTGAAAAGACAAAAGATGAGGTGCTTTCCAGCACTTCCAGCACAGAAGAGAAAATAAAAAGCAAAGTCACAAGTAGAGACCAGAGAATGGAAACATCGGATAAGCTTCCACATGCTCTTAATGCAACCTCAGTCAACAGGGCATTAATAAGATTTTATTGAATAAGATTGTTTATATGTTGAAGAGTATCCTTGTTGTCTAGCAAGCCCAATGCTTAATCTCTTCTCTTCAGATGACACAGTGACACACATCTAAGTGGGATACTAATTTTCTACCTACTACCTAGGTGACCCTGGGCAGTTTTCTCATTGAACTTCTTTGAGCCTCATTTGAAAACTAAAGATATTAGTACCTTCATCCAGGGTTGTCAGAGGGCTTTGTGAGATGCAGCAGGCAAAGTGCTGATCTCATTGCTAAGCAGTGAATAAACAACTCTTGGAAGAAAGGCTTCTGAGTGGCAGGCTTTTCAGGCCTGATCACCCCTGTGGCCACTCCGATCACCCCTATGGCTGCTCCTTAGCCATGCCTCCATCCCACATCCTGCAGAACCCAAATGCTCCTAGTCCTGAATATGAAAGCCACTGCTCCAAGTATATGGCTGAGTTTTTTTCTTGCTCTTAAATTCTTGGAAGAGGGAATAGTTCCATCAAGCACCGGTGTCCTTGGCAGTCTCCTGATCCTCAATTTTGGCTAAATTGTGTCAACATCTCGAGCACTCAGCATCTGCAAGCCTGGGACAGGCTCCAGTTCCTCTTACTGGGTGTCTGTAGCTTTGCTGGCTATTGTAGCGGTTACTCATTTGAATGCTCTGGCTTGTAAGGACTAATACAAGCTAGAAATAAGACACTTACTTCTTCCTGTTGAAAATCAGGAGGAAAGTGTTTTCTTCTCCTTTTTCTTAGAGCTTTACCTAAGAAAACTTGTAATTATAAGCACTTTTTTTTTTGACGGGGTTTCACTCTTGTTACCCAGGCTGGAGTGCAATGGTGTAAGCTCGGCTCACTGCAACCTCCCCTTCCCAGGTTCAAGCGATACTCCTGCCTCAACCTCCCAAACAGCTGGGATTACAGGCACCTGCCACCACACCCAGCTAATTTTTTGTATTTTTAGTAGAGACAGGGTTTCACCATGTTGGCCAGGCTGGTCTCGAACTCCTGACCTCAGGTGATCCACCCGCCTCAGCCTCCCAAAGTGCTGGGATTACAGGTGTGAGCCACCACGCCCGGCCTATAAGCACTTTTTCATCTCTTGGAAGTGCATCCTTGTGAAGACTAGATAGGGAGGGCTTTTGTTAGCTTTATGACCCGGGGATCTTGTTCCCAAAGATCTGGAACCATCTTTTTAAAATGCAAACATCAAGGGAGACAGAACCCCTGTCTCCCAGTTTCTGGAGCCTAACATCGGTGGACACTTTGCTCTAATATGCAAAACTACCTTCTATCATGAAGATATGAGAGGCTTTTCCCCCCTCTAAATAAAGCCAGTAAGCAGCTAGTAAAGTTAGGATGAACTATTTGACAAATGATGCTGTCAAATCCTCTTACTTCAGGGTGAGCTACTGTTTATCTTGAAAACATGTATTTAATGGGTTGCATCTGCCTGGCTATATAAGAGAATTCTGTCTTTGTGATCTTTTAGCATCTTGTCTGTGATGTGCATCACCATTCTGGTTTAATGCTTATTCAAATAAGAAAAGTGTTCTCTTTCTCTACTACCTTTGTGGAGAGGATTTCTAGGTTGGAAGAAGATTTTGTTTTCAATTATATTTCCCCAATAGGCTTTACTATAAAGATTCCACAAGGGAATTTCCAGTAGGTGCACAAAGCACATTTTTGCTACAACTAAACCTTAGTGTAACTTCAACACGCCTCCCCTCATTTGCATTTAATATTAAGGAGCTCAAGGAAGAAAGAAGGAAAGAAATGCATGTTGAAGTAGTCAGACAACTTCTAGAATAAGATGCACTTGTGGCAAGACCATGTAACAACCTGAATTCACCTAAATAAAGCTGTCTGTAAAGAGTCAGCATCTTCATTCTTCATATTTCTGCTTTGCAGAATTCCCTAGGTCAGCAAAGAAACAACGAGGGTCTGTCTTCTGTCATCCCACCTGAGGGTATAACCCTATTGAACAGCAATGCCATTCCTGTGCTCACTGAAGTTAGTCCTGGTAGAAGCTGACATCACCGTCAGCAAGAGAAAGTTTCTTCATTATCATTAGTTGACCTATCAATCTAATACCACTTTCTCCTTACCTTCTTCTGTGTTGCTTTATGAAGGGCAATTTCCTCTTCTAACCAAACTGCAGTGATTATCTGAGATTCTGTACCTACCCACTATGGTGGTCTGGGAAAAGAGGGTTTCGACCTTTATCCGCAGAAGACTCTATATTGCACTACACTGACTTTTCAGCTCTTCTTCATCTCTTAAACTTGGCACTGAATCTATTTTCAAGGAACTAATTTCCATGAACAAAATTCCACTTCCCATATATTTGCAGGGTGGACCTAAAACATTTCTAAGCATTTTGAATATTTTGGATCACACAGAAGCTTCAGGAATGCATTAACTGTCATTAGCATTGTTAATGTACTAGGGAATTTTAAAATTTGCATAAGAGCATTTTAGCATTATCTCCTTTATATATATATAGAAGAAGAAGAAGAAAAGCCTTTGTGGTTGGCTTCTGAATTGGGAATCTTATCTGCAGTAATTAACATTTCCTAGATGTCTATAAAAAATGAACCACTGTAAGTAATCATAGCCAAAAATAAACTTTAAAAAGTATGAAAATACCCAATTCTTCCTTAATAACAAAACTCTAAAATGAAAGACTTCTCTTTGACCCAGTTCTACCCATGGAAATGCTCTACAGTGAATCAAATTTAAAATGGAAAGGTTACAGTAAGAAAGTTAAATTATTTTGGGGCCACAGCTTGTAGACCTCTTTGCTACCATAAAGCGTGCTACGGATAAGGCTGAAAATAAAAAATAAGACATGGCACTTTCAGCTTTTGGGTGCTGCTATAGTTTGGATGTTTATCCACCCCCCAAACCTCATGTTCAAATTTGATCCCCAAGGTTGGAGGTGGAGGTGGAATCTACTGAGAGGTATTTGGGTCATGGAGGCAGACGCCTCATGAATGGCTTGGTGTTACCCTCGAGATAATGAGTTAGTCATCCCGTTACTCATTCCCTGGGTAACTGATTGTTAAAAAGAGCTTGGCACCTCCTTCCTCTCTCTCTTGTTCCCTCTATGGCCATGTGATTTCTACACACTGGCTCCCCTCCACCTTCTGCCATGAGTGGAAACAGCTTGAGGACTTCACCAGAAGCAGATGCTGGTGCCTGTGCTTCTTGTACAGCTTGCAGAACCGTGAGCAAAATAAACCTCTTTTCCTTAAAGATTACCCAGCCTCAGGTATGCCTTTATAGCAACACATACCAAGGAATGGGGCATTGCTACAAAGATACCTGAAAATCTGAAAGCAGCTTTAGGGCAGAGGTTGAAAAAGTTTGTAGGGCTCAGAAAAAAAAAAAAAACAGAAAGATGGGAGAAAGTACTGAGCCACGAAATTTTAAAAACAAAAATGAAATCACTGGCACTTCACCACAAAGAGTTTGCGAATGGGTACACTTAGAACTAAATTTTAATGCAGATCAGAATCACCCACCCTCTGAGCTTCTGATTCAGTAGGTCTGGGTGGGCTCAAGATTTTGTTCTTCTAAAGCTCCCAGCTGATGCTGATAACGCAGGTCCAGCGTCACATCATGTTGGGAACCACTCTCTAGAATACGTTAATATTTCAGAGTAGAGATGACTCTGGTTTATCTTCAGAAATCAAACTGAGAGTCAACATCAAGTTAATTCCATCAGAGTTTTTATTTTCATGATTAGATAATAGCCTTCAACTCTTAATGAGAAAGAAGCAAAGTTCAGCTTCCTAAGCGTTAATACGCATGTGAGTACACACCTGCACCTGCCTGTGCACACACATTCACACTCACCTACACACTCACATGGAGTCAGTGGGCGCTGACAATTTCAGTGCTCTCAATTTTAATTAATGCTTGAACACTTTGAGCACAACACATTTCTCAGAAGCTAAGCAGCAGTGAGAGATCAAATTATATTAAACTATTGTGTTTGGCAAGCAGCTATTTGCAAGGTCCTTGGAGAACTTTAATGATATTCAAAGTCCAAGACTAAGATAGATCAGTTTTTCAAGTAAGTCCACATATAAAAACAGCATTTACCACCATTCCGGCCAAGTTGACGAGAAGAAAACACATTGCAGGAAAAAATCAAACAAATGGCAAAAGGTGGATGAGCGAGACGATCCATTGCATTCCTCTGTCAGCTATCTCCCCAGCTCTCTTTAGTGCCAATGAATGATTTCCTTCAGCCTGAGATTATGGCTGGATGGTATGATTAGAGGCGACCAAACTGTCCTGGGAGCTGGGCTCAGCTTCCTCACGTTTCCCAACATAAAGGCAAGGGTAGACATATCACAAACCTGGGTAAGAATACACATCTGGCTTAAGATAATCAAAGGAGGAGGAGGAGAAGGAGGAGGAGGAGGAGGAGAAGGAAGAGGAAGAGGAGAAGGAAGAAGAGGAGGAGGATAAATAAGAGAAGGAGAAAAAGGAGGAGGAGGAGAGAGAGTGAAGAGGAGGTGGGGAGGAATACCAGCAGCAGCTACAGGAGGGCATTTGTTTTCATTCACCCTTAATTTGTGTGTGGCTGTAATTCCAAACACTAATGGAAGCCGAATGCCTTTGTCTCTCGCCTTTCCCTTCTTGAATAATGGTGACTTATTTCATAAAGCCAACTAATCAGAATGCAAAGAACTACTTATTAGAGTGAAAGATATCTGAATAAAAGTTATATACAAACCAGCAAAGCACAGAAAAGATGCTCACACTTTTAGAGGTGACTATGCAAACTTAGATGGTGGTAAGTCAGGTAAGACCTGAGATTCCAGTAGAAATAAGGCTGGTTTTCATCACTTGTGTGTTTCTCATAGCCCCTGTTTGCCAATTAACACTGCTTATTGTGGAAGGCCTCTGATACCGCAACTGAAGACGGCCATTTTCCTCCCATGTCCAGTGACTAGCATTTCCCAAAGGCTCTATATGAATATCTTTCCACCTGTTTCAACATTCTCGTTTTCATTTTCTTGTTGATACATAATAATTATACATATTTATGAGGTACATGTGATATTTTGATGTATGTTTACTTAGGATATTCATCACCTCAAACAGTGATCATTTTTTCACGTTGGGAACATTTCAAATCTTCTCTTCTAATTATTATTATTTTTTTACAGACAAGGTCTCACTCTGTCACCCAGGCTGGAGTGCCGTGGCACCATCACAGCTCACTTTAACCTTGAACTCCTGGCCTCAAGCAATCCTTGCACCTAAGCCTCCCAAGTAGCTGGGACTACAGGTGGATGCCACCAAGCCTGGCATATTTTAAATTTTTTTTAGAGATGGCGTCTTGTTGTGTGGCCCAGGCTGGTCTTAAACTCCTAGACTCAAGTAATTCTCCCACCTCGACCTCCCAAAGTGCTGAGATTACAGGTGTGAGCCACTGCACCCAGACTCTTTTAGCTGTTTTGAAATATACAATAAATTATTAGTAATTGCAGTCACCCTACTGTGCTATTGAACATGAGAACTTATTCCTTCTATCTGTCTGTTTGTACCCACTAACCAACCTCTTGATGGTTCCTTTTCTCCTCTGATGCTCTTGGCTTCACATCCTCCAGGTATTTGCCTTGGTATTATCTTTCTTTCATTGCTCCTTATCCACACAGCTTTTGGAGACAATCTACTTTTTCGGTCCAGAATGCTGTTTTCTATCAGTTCACTAATGGCTCAAAAACAAGTAGCATTTATTGGTGAGGATGTGGAGAAAGGGGAACACTTGTGCACTGCTGGTGGGAATTAAATTAGTACAGCCACTGTGGAAAACAGTATGAAGACTATCAAATCAACAACAATAAATAGGAAGAAATTTGTGGAAGCTAAGAAACAGATAACGATGGCAATGATTGAATAAAAAATATGGTGTCTTGTTGTTAAATTCACAGTTACCCTGATCAAACTTTCATATATAAGTTGAAAGAAATAGAGACATTTTCCCTAGAAAAGAGACTATGAAGGGGTCACATGGCAACTGTTGGAACTTACTTGAAAGGTTGTCATGTGAAGTAGGGATAAGAAAATTTTTGTAGTTAAAAGGCTTCAAGCTAAAACTGTAGGTGAAAGTTCAATGGAGGTATGTATATGTATCTTCCGAACTTAAGAAATACCATTTTAACAAACAGAACTTGTCAACAATGGCACAAGTTTCCAGTCCTTGGATGTGTTCCAGCAGAGGCTAGAAATCCTATGAGGATAGAGCAGAAGACATACTCTCCCACTTGATCTCTTATTTTTCTCCCCCATCTTCCAGGCACTATGTTTCTTTTCAGTTGCAACTGGAAAGAAGATAATTTCTGAAAGAATACATTGTGGTGTGCAAAGAACCTGGGCTGGAAATGGGTCAGCACCTCAGCTCCTCCTCAAATAACCAGCCCCACTATATACTCTCTCAAAATCTTAGCTCTTTCAACCATAAAAAAAGAACTAATATCTGTCTTTCCAACACAATGGGTTGTTCTAACATAATAACATAGCACAGACAAAATTATTTTGGAAGCTGTGTAAGTTCTCTACAACTATAAGTTATCAATATAATTAAGTTTGAAATGAAAGGGTGGAGATCTTAAAAAAATAGATGCACAATTTACAGAGTCATAGGAAGAAAAATAACAAAACAGAACCCTCTTATAAAAAGTTTGCTCAAGATATGATTTGGTCTGATAAATGCAATTTTCTAGAAAACTACCATTTAACAAGATAATCTTTGATTTTCTGTTATAAATAAGTATATTTATTTATGTATTACTTTTTAAAGAAACGGGGTCTTGCTTTGCCACCCAGGCTGAAGTGCATTGGCACAATCTTGGCCCACGGCAGCCTCAATCTCATGGGCTCAAAAGATCCTCCTGCCTCAGCCTCCTCAGTAGCTAGGATGACAGCCACATAATATAATATCAACTTCTGGATAATTATTTTTAAAAATTTTTTTGTAGAGATGCTGTCTATGTTGCACAGGCTGGTATCAAATTCCTGGCCTCAAGTGATCCTCCCACCTCAGCCTCCCAAAGTGCTGAGATTACAGGTGTGAGCCACTGTGCCCAGCCTGTTAAAGATAAATTGTTCATGTGTTAATTCATTTTTACCTCATCATAGAAAATGTAGTCCACAATCAAAATAATTTTTATAAGAATGAAAAAAAAATTTGGCCTTTAGGCTTGAAAATTATTAATTCTCACTTCCCAAAAATATAGGACAAGAAGGTATAGAATATTAAGCTGAATGTATAATGAAGTCAGAACATACCCTAGAAGTACCATTTTTTAGATTAATGTAATGAAACGTATGAGACTGTTAGTCCAGTTTGCTCAAGTTTGTAGTTGAGTTTCTGTCAGTGGAGGTTTTACTAAAAGTTGTTTATATAGGACCAATACCATAAAATGAGAATTATTTAAAATAAAACTATGTGTGGCTTAATAGGGGCATTAGTCCAGTAGGAGAGGGAAAAAGAGAAGAAAATCCCACTTTTCAAATACCAATATCAGTGAAGAAAATGTGCTCAGCCTTAGACCTCTCGTAGTGAGACCCAGTGCAGTCCCATCCCATCCAATTGGTGCCTTGCAAAACAGGCCTTGTGGCCGGCCTGGCTAGCCAGCAATTCACTTTTATTTTCACAGACGAGTAACACCACACTGGAAACCAGAACATCCTTGGCACTCCTGTTTTATTACAGTGTGGTTATTTTTTTAATATCCAAGAAAGCCAAGCAGTCAAAGTGATTGCACCCACAGGAGCTCTTATCCAACAGATCTTCAGCTATGCTGGACAATGGTGCCAGTATTTTACATCTGAGATGTATGAACATTGTGTGTGTGTGTGTGTGTGTGTGTGTGTGTGTGTGCACGCATGCACATGCATGTATATGGTGTGCTACACACACACATATACAGTCTTCCTGGGTCATCAAGGCTGGTGCATGAATGCTCTAGATTTTGTGTCCAATAGGACTATACATTGATGCCATCTATTTGTTTTCCCCGTATACAGTGGCATGCTTGCTGAGACAAGACTGGCGAGCTGAGAGATGCCACATAAGTCAATGCAGAAGAAATCATGATGCCAACAAAATATTTGTTCTGGCATGGAAGGTGACTTCTAAAGCATGTCCTAAGAGCAATGTTGAGGAGACAGTAATGAGGCTACCCTTAACTGGGAGAGGGAGTTGAAAGGGACTTCAAGAATAATCAATCTATTCAAATTTCCTTATTCGACACATGAGGAAACAGCAGTCCAGGGAGCTGCCTGCAGAGGCCCCTCAGAGGCCATTGCAAATCCCAGAACAACTTCTGCTGGTCGAGGGCAGCCTTCAGCTTTCTTCTATCACCCTCCTTGTTTCTACTTGCCCTGTTGGGTTTGTAATAACTTTTCGGGGGGACCTCAGACACATAATAGAGTATCTTTCAGTCAAGAAGATTAATTTTTTCTGGGCGTGAAGAAAAAGGAAAGGAGGACAATTGAATTTCTTTAAAGATTCTTGTTTTTCCCCAAATTCAGTCTATAACTGAGGTTAGAAAACTTAAAAACACAGCATGTTTCCTCATCTTTTCCCTGGTGACTATTTACTTTTCTCTCTCATGCATGTTTCACTTCATTTTTCTCCTTATTCTGTGTTCTCTGCCCATCTTTCCATGTATTTGGCGGCCTCCACAACCCAGGGAACAAGACTTGATTGCATATTTTTCAAGAAGCTCCCTTATAAATGTTATAATTATTTCCTTAGGCTTTGATGGCAATATTTATTCAAAAAATTTGCCTCTGATCCACTGGTTCTGCATCTTGGCTGCACAACAGAAGCACTATTAAACATATGAGTGCACAGACTGCATTTTGAAGCAGTGGAATCAGAATCCCCTGGGTATCTCTAGGCCAGGGGTGGGTACTGGGGAAGAGGTCGGGGGCAGGAGGAACCAGTGGCTCCAGGCAATGTTGAGAACCTCTACACTTAACCAAACATTCCCAACTCCACAACACCCATAGATGACTGGGTTTTTCAAAACATTCCAGCTGATTCTACTGTTCAGCCATTGCCAAGAGCCACTGTCCAAGATGGGTTTTTGAAACTTCTACTTCCCGAATGGAACCCTTTCTCCCATCATCCCAGGAAGCCACAATGGTAAAGGGGGAATTCTGCTTGGTTCTGCCTGCCTGTCTGTTCTGAGCTTAGTATGTTCAAGGGACCTAGAAGATCTGAGGCACGCTCTTGAGTTCTAAAATGTGGTCTTGCTATCAAATAAAATTGGCTCCCACAACCAAAAGAGGTCATGGAATTCTTCTATGTTGCTGAATTTATTTTAGTTTAATAAACAGAAAATTTTAAAATGATCTGGACTAAATGTATTTACCTCTGCAAAAGCTGATTATACAAATTGGGTCATTCTTGTCATACCCAATAAAATCCTTGTGGTCCTTGGAAACCAAGGGTCACAGGGCAGTCCCCAAGAAGTTTAGTCTGTAGTCTTTACTCCATTTTCATTAAGCAACTCAATGTGTGAGTTGCGGGGCCAGGGAAAAAGTACTGGGGACACATAGCACCTGCTCCAAGAATTAAATTTCCCACAAGCTCAGCTGCTGAAACAGCCTGCTGTACCTCTAAGACCAGTTTTACCTAGTAACTGCTGAAACAACCTGCAGTGACTCTAGCTTTACCTACCACAGTCAACTCACCAATCAGAGCTTGCCAGCTCTCAAAAGCTTCTCCAGGGCCAATGAGTTTTCTTCCAAAACAGTAAGTAACATTTCCTTTCCTAATAAAATCCACAATCTCGTCTTTGTTCTTCAGACATACTGAAGACCACTGGTCTGTGTATGCCTCAGATTGCAATTCTTGCTTCCCAAGTAAAACATTTTAAGTTGAGAGATTGCTCTCTATATTTTATTTGACTTCTACGCCTCCTCAAATAAAGAAGATTGATGCATCAGCTGTTTACAATCTAAACTGAGCCTAAGTTTCCATTTGTAGCTGAAAGTGGAAAATACTCTATGCAGGGAATTCTCTCTCCTGTTACCTGATGTATTAGGACTTGAAGGAGTTCTTAAACGTTCAACTAAAACCATGAGCCTTTCTCACAAATGCACAGCCTATGCTAAGCAGTCCTAAGCAAGGAACAAATATCCATTCATTTAACGAATTCATCCGCTCAAATGCTTCCTGTGCAAAGCCCTTGTCCATGGGGACGAATGAATACTAGATGTTCATATTTCAATAAGCACCACACCTCTTGGTAATAGCACAGAGGGTTCAAAGTCCAAATGATGATCAAGTTAGCAGTATTGTGATTACTGACCAGGACAGGTTACAGAAAAGGAGATGATGGCTGTGCAACAGGGAAGAGCCAATTTAGTACATTTATATGTTGAAAAACTCAGACCCAGTGGATATATGAACTAAAGAACTAAACAGAGCTCTGTGAAAAAACAGCACAGCCCTCTTCACTACAGTTTTATTGAAGAAATTTTATAAAACATCCTGTGCTGATCACCTCTGGCTTTGGGATCTTCTTTCTGGAAATCTGCATTTTTTAATGGGCCATAAACATGTTTAAAGTATCCCCATTCCTATAAATCCTGCAAGGAGGATTATGAAACAGACCCATGCCTAGCTACTGTTTCCTGCACAGATGGGATTAATCAATATTTCAAGAAACGTCTAGTTATAAGGGTGATGATTTTATGAAGGGATGTTGAACAACTAGCAAGCAGAGAAAGACCAACCTAAGTATCACACCACTGGGACACATGGTGACAACTCTCAGAAAACTGTGACCTTAGAATTTTTGGAACCCATTTTGAGAAGGCAAATTCCCTCAAAATCTGTGCTACACTGCTCCCATTTAGAACCAGCACCAAGCATTTTGTTACCAAGTGACCAATCTGATACCAAGTACCCTCAGACAGAGGAAAAATATTGCATTACTGAAGGCCACACTCCTAGAAATGCTGTCCCCACAGACTTCAATAATAGAAGATTTGGCAGGGAGAGGTGGCTCACAGCACTTTGGGGGGCCGAGACGGGCAGACCACCTGACGTCAGGAGTTTGAGACCAGCCTGACCAACGTGGCAAAACCTCGTCTCTACTAAAAATACAAAAATTAACTGGGTGTGGTGGCACATGCCTGTAATCCTAGCTACTTGGGAGGCTGAGGTAAGAGGATTGCTTGAACCTGGGAGGTGAAGGCTGCAGTGAGCTGAGACTGTGCCACTGCATTCCAGCCTGGGAGACAGAGTGAGACTCCATCTCAGAAAAAAAAAAATAATAGAAGCTTTGTGTCCCACACGAGCTCTCATGACTTATCTAAAAACCTCAACGAGCCTCTGCTCACCTGGGCTAATTACAAGTACAGCATCATCGCTGGAATGCCATTCTGCTTTATTTAACTGAATCAGCAAAACGGTCAAATGCCCGAAAGAGAACTCTTACTGTGGAAAGTTCACATTCAGATGTTTTATCCAACATAGAAAAGAGAAGACAATAGTTCTGAAAAGATCCTAGGCTCGTCATGCCATAGATACATCAACCAGTGACCAAAGGCCTAAAACCAGTGTCAGTGAGCACAAGGAAGAACTCCAGCTTTCCCTATACAGGGAACTCAAGACAGCCACTTTCATTTAAAACCAACAACAATCAACAGTGGGATTCTCAAGGATCAACATGGCTTGCAGACCTCTGATGCTTTGTGTCCTAGGTCTGAACCTCCTCTGATACTGCTGTAGTCACCATGGGCCTGCACAGCCCTCACTTACCCACCACATACTGGTGGAGCCACCAATGCACACACCAAGGAAGGGGGAGACGCCAAGGGTCACAGGACAGTCCCCAAGATGTTTAGTCTTTAATCTTTACTCCAACTTCATTAAGCAACTCAATGTCTGAAAAAAGCTCATATGGACAGAGTAGGGGAATTCAGCACGAAGCAACACCCTTCTGATGACATTTCCCATTAACCTCAGAACCTATTGCAAGAGTATATACCTCTGTTAAACAAGCAGAATATCAACCAAACAGCAATAAAGGAAGATTAGGTTGAAAAAGTGCACATCAGCCTCCCTTGGAACTCTGAAATGTAGATTTTATGGAAAAAATAACAGCTATTTTTAAAAAAATAATTTTTGTTTCGAGCAAGTAAAAAATATTTATCTCTTAGTATATTAAATTACAGATTGAATATGGCATGGTTAGTCTGTGAATTCTCACAGTATTATAAGTTTATGAAATAGACTCTTCTCAAGAATTAAAATAGAAGTTCTAGGGGCCAGGCAAGGTGGCTCACGCCTGTAATCCCAGCACTTTGGGAGGCCGAGGCGGGTGGATCATGAGGTCAAGAGATCGAGACCATCCTGGCTAACATGGCGAAACCCCGTCTCTACGAAAAATACAAAAAAATTAGCCGGGCATGGTGGTGGGCGCCTGTAGTCCTAGCTACTGGGGAGGCTGAGGCAGGAGAATGGCATGAACCCGGGAGGCGGAGCTTGCAGTGAGCCGAGATAGCACCACTGCACTCCAGCCTGGGTGACAGAGTGAGACTCCATCTCAAAAAAAAAAAAAAAAAAAAATTAAAATAGAAGTTCTAAACTGGCCAGTCATGGTGGCTCACACCTGTAATCCCAGCACTTTGGGAGGCCGAGACAGGCAGATTACCTGAGGTCAGGGGTTCAAGACCAGCCTGGCCAACATGATGAAACCCCGTCTCTACTAAAAATGCAAAAAAAAAAAAAAGCCAGGCATGGTGGTGCACGCCTGTAGTCCCCAGCTACTCGAGAGGCTGAGGCAGGAGAATGGCTTGAACCCTGGGGGAGGAGTGAACTGAGATTGCGCTACTGCACTGCACTCCAGCCTGGGTGACAGAGTGAGACTCTGTCTCCAAAAAAAAAAAAAAAAAAAAAAAAAAGTTCTAAACTGATTCCACCTGTGGTATTTCTTTTACCCATTTACTAAAACAAAACAAGATCAGATAGTATGCTGGTGCATCTGCCTTCTCTTAATCCTCTAGCTGTACTCAGAAATAAATTCCTAAAGCAATATGTGAGGAATAAAACATTTTTTAAAGATTTTATAAGAACATACTTTCAACTAAGCAATGTGGCATGGCAAGGACCAGCCGGGAGGCTATTGTCACCATTCTTGTAGAACTCCCGGTGAAACAACAGGCTGCAGGTCCAGAACAATCATACAATGTGGATGTCAGCGAGCAGGGGCTGGATTAGAAAGCAGTTTACAGGCATGGCTGAACTGGATTTGACATTTCCGTGACCATTTGGGCAGTGCAAAGTGTCTTTCTCTTTTTTAAATATCAAACCTCAAATGCGAGTCCAGACAGCTCAGAGATCTTTGAGTCCCCTGAACTGAGATCTGGTCTCTGTGTGTATGTGGGTTCACTGTTACTGCAAAGTAGAAAACATTCTGCCACTTTTTGTAGCTGTCAGATGTGCGGCAGCTCAGCTGTCAGTAATAGGAGTAAATCATTCAGTCCTCATCTTGAATGTAAAATATCACCTGAATTTCAATCAAGTTGTGAGTGCAAAGAATTTGCCAGTCATCTAATCCAAGAGAGGCTGTGATTAGCAAGAGTCTTCCAAAGCAACTTGAGAGATTAGGCATGGGTAAGTCCTAAATGATCACTCAACTGAAGCCACGTGGATTTCCTTGGAACATGAAAATTCAAATAAGTTACACAGCAGGCTGTGGAGCCATAATTATCAATTCAAGAATTGATAAGAACATTCAAAGTTTGAGTAAGTGTGCATCTCATTGTTTTCTTGGGCCCACAAATAACTCTGAAAATATGGGTTGCTGTAGAATTCTCTAGGCTCAGGTTCACCTTGCTCCGATGACACTTCTTAACATTAGACACAGGGGAAGGGATGCAATGAGTATCACATGGAATATCCTTATTCAGAGCAGAAGAGAGAAATGTAATTAGCAATCCTTTCATTCTTTATTTTCTGAAGTAAAACGCAGAGAGGGGTTAGGGGGAGGGCAAAGACCATAAGGTTTCTAATAAAGGTGTAATATGAAGATTTGGCTCTTTCATGCCATGCAAGTTATAAGTAGAAACTTATTTGGCGGTAGATTGATGTAATGAGTCAATAATGTTGCCTTATCAGTATAATTAACCTCAATCCTTAACTTCAGCCTCAGCCCTAAATATACAGGTTTCCCTAGCACATGATGGCATCACGTAAGTTAGGAATGATGGATGTGGTTGGGCATTTAATGAAAAAGCATTACTCCATACACGTTTCTATCCTGTTTATGCAAGAAATTATGCTGAACAACACAATGGCTAAAAAAGAAAAAGAGTGGGAAAAATGAGGGAAGCAGATGCATTTTCATAAACAAGCAATTAGGTCAGTCAGAGAACCCACGGACCGAGGACTGCGAACCGCCCCTAGATGGGGGCTTGTCGTCTCGGGAGTGGGGAGGGTCCTGAAGAGTAAGCCCCTCCATGCGGCGATTACTTCCCTGCGAGGTGTCTTGAACCCAGAGACTCACACCTCCGTCCAGAGTCAAGTTCTGAACCCACGGCGCTTCTCTCTGCCAGGCAACAGGTGTCTGCCGTGGGTGTGGTTAAGCCAGCTGGGTATTTGTTCAATTAATGTAGAATTTTTCACTTATTGCCTGTTTTGCTTAAAGCGAGATCTCAAAATGCACCACTGCCTGGGTTCCCGCAAAGGTGCCTCTGCACCCCCATCACTTGGACCCAACCCACTTCTGTAAACAACTCTGGACCTTGCCCCTGAAAGAATTTCTTCAATTCTTACGGAACCCTCAAAAGTAGCATCTGCAAATCTGCAGAACCTTCAAAAGTAGCAAGGCAATCCCCATCTCCTTGTCTGTCGCCAAAAAAAAAAAAAAAAAAAAAAAAAGTGCCAGCCAGCAACTTAAAATAAGGGACCGTCAGAGGATTCTTCTCAGACCATGACCTAATGGGTTAAAATAAACACACGAAGGCACACAAACAATTTCAACAGAACAAGATGGCAACTCTCTCGTCCTCGCCAGAGACTCCAGCGCCCTGACCCCTCGGCCCCGTGCCCCGGACTAACGTGAGCCCGAGAGCAGGCGCGCCCAGGCCGCGCGGGTCAGCGGGGAGCGGCGAGGCGGGTGGGCTCGCTGGGGAGGCGGATCGCCGGGTCCTCCACTTAGAAAGTTATCCGTGCAGAACTGTCCCCTGGCCAGCTGCCCGGAGCCTTCCGCGGACCAGCCGCGTTTCCAGGCACGCGGCCCTCCTGGGGGACGAAGTGCCCCTGACCTCCTCCGGCACAGTCAAGCTTTTGGGGGAGTCAGCGTCCCCAATCCAGGGAGCAGGGTCCCGCCCGGCGGCGGCGTCTGGAACGGAGCGGAGCGACTGGCGCCTGCCCCGAGAGCACCGAAGGCTCCGCAGACCCAACAGGTCTCGAGTTCCGGGGACTCGGAGCACCGAGGCCGGCGCGGGCGCCAGGGCCCAGTGGCCCTTCCCTGGCCGAAGTGACCACCTCTCCCCGCGTTTCCCCAGAAGAGCCCTGGGGGTCTGCTTGGGGCTCGGACCGACCCGCGGTCAGCGAGGGCTCCCCGCAGCCCCTTCCTCCCATCCCGCGCCCAAAACACAAAGCCACATGCCCGAAGGAGAGGGGCCGCGGAGCCGCAAAGTTGCAATTTGCAAAGAAATGCCTGCTCCTCCGCATCCCCCTGCCGCTGGGTGGGCTCGGGTGGGAAGTGGGAGAAGCGCCGCCGCGCGCGGGCATGGGGTCGCTGTCCTTCCAGGGAGGTTCGGGACTGAGAAGGACAGACCTCCCCCAGCATCGCTCCTCACGGTGGGTCCCCCCGACCCAGCGCGCGCCCTGTCCGTGGCACTCACCATCACGTTCCCCTGCATCTTAGCGGTCTTGATCATGGCCTTTTCCTTCATTTTGCCCCAAGTCCGAACCCGACTTCTGGTCCAGGGAAGAGAAACTTAATCCATTGTCCTGGTGAGGATTAAAGTAGACTGGACTGGCTGAAGACTGGATGGAAACGGGTTTTTGAAGGAAAAAAAAATCTTCCAGGTCTTCAGTTTTCTCACCTCCGCGCACCCCTGCCCGTGTCTTTACTCAGCGGATCCCAATAGCAATCAACTCTTTTTGGCCGCTACCAATAAAGAAAGAAAGAAAAAAAGCCTGGATGGAGGGTGGGTGTTGCTTTAAACAAAAAGCCAGGAGCCAGGGAGGGAGGAAGAGGCTGCGAGCCCAGCTAGCGAGGGCGAGAGGCAGCTCTGACTGCGCGCGTGTCCACCGAGCTCGGCGCCAGCACACTGCGAGCAACAGCGCGGCGGCACGCACAGGGGGCGCACTCGGGGACGCCGGCGGCTCGGCCCCGGCTCCGGGGGCTCCTCCAGCAGGCGGTGCGGGGTGCAGCGGTCGCCGCTCTGGTCCCTAAGGGCAGGGACCCGGCCGGGCGGCGACGCCAGGGGAGGCGTGTGTGTGTGCGCGCGCGCGCGCCAGGTTTTCTGTCTGAACTGAGCTGGACTGGGAAGCCTCGAGCTGCATCAAGGTTAAGCGAGCGCAAACTGTTTGGGTAACGAGGGCAGCCCCTCCCCAGACACCCCTCCTCGGGTAGACGCCCACTCCGCGCTGGACTGGGTGCGCGCGCGGCGCACGCACGCTCGGCTTCCACAAACAAGCACTACGGTGATTGCCGCGGATGGAGCCGCCGTCCGCAGCCGGGTGTTAACTATTGATCGGCTGCGCCCGCGAGAGAAGGGAGAGGCCGGGAAGAGCCAGACGCGGCTGTGCCCGTCGCCCGCAAGTCTGGCGAGGGAGCGGAGGGGAAGCGGGGGAAGGCTAGGGATGGCAGCTTATAAATAATGTTGTAACAGGTTACTATGGGACACACGTCGCGTCTCCATGGTTGCACTCTGGGTTGGCCTCTGCATCCGCCGCCGCGGCAATTCCAGGGCGCAGAGGACCTTGCAGTGAATGGCAGCGCCCGGCTACCAGCGCGGGTGGCAGGGGCCGCTCTCCCCGCCGCACACCTGGCTTCCCGGCCTCCACTTCCCTCCGGGCCTCCGCCCCAGCCGCGTCCCTCGGCGGCTTTGTTTCTTTGGCTCGCTCTTGGCTGCCTGCGGGATCTGACCCCGAAGACCTCCCGCAGCCCAGTCTGGCGCCCACGGCTCTCCCTACCCTGGAACCCCAGCACTGGCCGGGGCCAAATCCCAGCGCCCATTTCTCTAACCTCCACCCCAAGAGGCGGGTTGACCAGTGACCGCGACCTGGGTTCCCGTCTCCACCTGCTGCCCCTGGGCGCTGTTCCCATCAATCATCCATTCACAAACGCGGTTGGCTCCCTGGACCACACACAGATGCGCGCTCCCAGGAGCGCGCGCAGAGGTTGGTCAAATTCATATGCAGACCCACCCAAGCCACTTGAAAAACCAGATTCAGAGCTGATAGACACATCAGGCTGTGTGTGTGTGTGTGTGTGTGTGTGTGTGTGTGTGTGTGTAAGGGCGTGCCAGCGCCTGAGGGGAAGGGCATGGCGGGAGCTGGAGTCTGGGAGGGGTTTGGGAAGCTTTTCCATTATTTACATTCACAAAAAAATCTCCGTTTGTAAAAAAGAATAAGAGGTCACTTTCGAGCTCATGAAGAAGTAGATGATTCTAAGTAATTGCAACTGTAATTACATGTAAGTTATCCACAATGCCCACATGCAAACACGAATGATACATTATGTATTAATATATGTATATTCAAAAACATTAGGACATGTGCACGAGCAATTGGTTACAAGTGTAAACTAATGATTTGGGCTTGAGAGAGGTAAGTGGAAGAAATAGGTAAACCAAAGCAAAATGCTTGAAAAGTCACTTTTAAAGTAATGTGGATCAGGCTTTGCTAGAAAGTGGTAGGTGCACTTTAGGTTCTAGAAGCACTCTTCTCTGTTGGGATTTGTCTTACTGTCTTCTGGCTGTGATAACAAAATAGTGTAAAATGCGTGGGTTATAAACAACAGGAATTTATTTCTCACAGTTCTGGAGGCTGGAAGTCCAAGACCAAGGTGCAAGCAGATGCTTTGTGTGGTGAGAATCTGATTTCTGGTTCACAGATGGCGCCTTCTCAGTGTGCATCACATGGTGTGAGGAAAGGCACCTCTCTGGGGTCCCTTTTATCAGGGTGATGGCTCCTCCCTCATCACCTCATCACCTCCCAAAGTCCTCAGCCCCTAACACCATCACCCTGGGGTTAGGTTTCACATATGAATTCTGGAAAAGGGAGAGACAAAAATTCAGACAACAGCAGGCTGCTCAATCACACCTTTTCTCAAGAAGGGAACACTTAGAGTACAGGTCACTTACACTGTTGAATGTCAGGATAAACCCAGTTGAGTGTGGACAGAATATATCACCAATCTAAATCCGATTGTAAGCAGGGTTAATATGGTTCTTTTGCTTCTTCCTTTGAAGCGGCATTCGTTCATCTAGAATTTTCCTCCCTCTCTTTCCCACCAAGCATGGGCCTCCAAACTGCTCCCCACAACCTGCCTTTTCCCATCCCATCACCACATGATGGAGGAGAGGAAAAATCAAGAAGACAAACATATATATATATATATATATATATATATATATATTTTTGTTTTGAGACGGAGTCTTGCTTTGTCACTAGGCTGGAGTCCAGTGGCGTGATCTCGGCTCACTGCAACCTCCGCCTCCCAGGTTCAAGTGATTCTCCTGCCTCAGCCTCCCAAGTAGCTGGGACTACAGGTGCCCACCACCACGCCCAGCTAATTTTTGTATTTTTAATAGAGACGGGGTTTCACCATATTGGTCATGCTGGTCCCAAACTCCTGACCTCAGAGGACCTGCCCACCTCGGCCTCCCCAAAGTGCTGGAATTACAGGCGTGAGCCACTGCGCCCGGCCGACAAACATATTTTTTAACCTTCTATTTTTATAGTTTCCTTCAAATTATCCCTGGAAATCAGAAGTGGAATCATACGGATTAAACCTTTATGTTAAGAAACAACCACAATAAACATATGTGTGCATGTGTCTTTATAGCAGCATGATTTATATTCCTTTGGGTATATACCCAGTAATGGGATGGCTGGGTCAAATGGTATTTCTAGTTCTAGATCCCTGAGGAATCGCCATACTGTCTTCCACAATGGTTGAACTAGTTTACAGTCCCACAACCCAAATGTCCAACATGATAGACTGGATTAAGAAAATGTGGCACATATACACCATGGAATACTATGCAGCCATAAAAAACGATGAGTTCATGTCCTTTGTAGGGACATGGATGAAGCTGGAAACCATCATTCTCAGCAAACTATTGCGAGGACAAAAAACCAAACAACGCATGTTTTCACTCATAGGTGGGAACTGAACAATGAGAACACTTGGTCACAGGAAGGGGAACATCACACACTGGGGCCTGTTGTGGGGTGCGGGAATTGGGGAGGGATAGCATTAGGAGATATACCTAATGTAAATGACGAGTTAATGGGTGCAGTACACCAACATGGCACATGTGTACATATGTAACAAACCTGCACGTTGTGCACATGTACCCTAGAACTTAAAGTTTATATATAAAAAATAAAAAATAAAAATTCCCCCAAAAAAAGAAACAAATAACCCTATTAGCAGACACATTTTCTCCTAACACTTAACCAACAGCGTCCAGTCCTGCTACTTGTTAGAGGCGCTGTGTTCTGCTCCTCCTGCCCAGCTTGTGACCCAGAGCCCTGCAGAAAGGATAGGGCTGAAAAGCAGGCATAAAAGGAAACACTGCACAGAATAAAACAGCAAAGCAATCCTGAATATCCAGGTAATGCCTGTTCATTCTTTGCAACGTGTCTACCTTGAGCCACTGCCATATGGAATACTGGAGAGGAAAAGAATGAGGCTAAGAGGTCTCTGTAAGAAAGACAGGTCCAGGTGCGGTGGCTCACGCCTATAATCCCAGCACTTTGGGAGGCCGAGGCGGGTGGACCACCTGAGGTCAGGAGTTCAAGACCAGCCTGGCCAACATGGTAAAATCCCGTCTCTACTAAAATTACAAAAATTAGCTGGGCATGGTGGTGGACACCTGTAATCCAAGCTACTCAGGAGGCTGAGGCAGAATTGCTTGAACCCGGGAGGCGGAGGTTGTGGTGAGCCGAGATTGTGCCATTGCACTCCGGCCTGGGCAACAAGAGCGAAACTCTGTCTCAAAAAAAAAGAACAAAAAAAAGGAAAAGAAGGAAAGTAAGTGTAAGGAAAAAGTGCTTAACATAAGATGGTTCTCAATTTCTATATTAATTTTGGGTATTTAAATTTCTGATAAAATTCAATTCGGAACCATTTGAAGACAGCATTACCATCAGAAGTTCATTCCCTATCCCATCCTCAAAATGACTTTTTCTTGTGCTATTGCATTCACAAACAGGGATGTGAAGGTGGTCCTATATTTATCAACAGTTTCACAAACAGGGATGCGAAGGTGGTCCTATATTTATCAACATTTTCGCAAACGGGGATGCGAAGGTGGTCCTATATTTATCAACAGTTTTGGCTCTTCTCTGTCTAGGTTTTGCAGTTGTATTTCCTGTTTTTGTTTGTTTGTTCACCCAGATCACAGGAATAGCATGTTTATCTTACGATTCTCACCGCACTGTTTCTGTTAGGTTTGGTCACATAGAATCTGCCCTGTTCCATAGCACCTAAGCCCCATGGAATCTTCCGTGTTTCACAGCACCTAAATCCCATAGAAGCTGCCATGTTTCACAGCACCTAAGCCCCATAGAATCTGCCGTGTTTTTCAGCACCTAAGCCCCATAGGGTCTGCCATGTTTGGGAGCACCTAAGTCCCATAGGATCTGCCATGTTTCACAGCACCTATCCCATTTACCTTTGCCTAGTGTTGACTCCTGGCATGTGTTTAATTCTGGCAGGCTCTGTCCACACCTATCACAATGCAGCCATTGGTGGTGTCGATCCTTTTGCTCCATCCTCAATTTATGTACTGCTGGCATTAGCAACTGCTTTGATTAAAGTGGCTTTGATTTAAGTTGAGACTTTTGGCAAAATGTTCAGTTTCACATTTGACATCAGGAAATAGTTACAGCACAGGAGCAGATTCCTCATGTCACTTTATCAGTGTTATTTTCTTGTTGCTTATTACTAGAAGTTTAACTGCATGAATACCTTTACCTAGAGGAACCCCAACATAAGGCAACTCAACCTGTAAAATTCCCAATTTGTAAAAGCGACAGTCAACGTGACATAAGAAAAGAGACTAAAACTATTCTTTTACACAGATTAGTTCATTACTGATGTTCTTTAAAATGTGAGCTGTCCTATTTCACTGAAGACATTATTCATTTCACATGATTTAATTTACCCATAAATTTTCAGGAAGATATCTACTAGAAAAAGTATGAGATGGGTCGGCATTTATTTTACAAATCACACAGGTATGATAATAATCGTTTGGAGAAAGCATATAACCAATGTTTTTAGCTTCTCTCAATCATTCAGAAATTAGACAAATTAACTTAAAATATGTTGAGAGACTAATGATATGCCAAGCTTGATGACATGTGATAGATTTTATTATAGAAAACAGTCCCTGTCCTTGAGGATCTCACGGTGTCTGGTGGGTGATATGCAAATTAACAATATGGACAACAACAAAAATAATTGTACAAATATGATACAGGAATACAGATGGCAGGGCTCCTGGGGTCTTTAGGCAAATATGAAAGAAAGCTAAAGCAAGTGATGACAGCTGAAATACATTTTATAGGAGCAATACAAATTTAGCCATTAGGACCTGGAGCCAGGGAAAATGAATGCCTGCAGAGGGATGGCCTGAGTAGTTCAGTACACTATCACCTGGAAGCAGAGCTGGGTGATGGAAATGAGGGTGGAAGGACATGTGGAGACCAGCAGTGAGAGCCATGTGAGCCGTGTCCTACAAAAACAGGAATGTCGCAGCCAAGGCCCCCAGGTAGACATTGATATAGCATGATCCATACTTTAAAATCAAATCCACCCTCCAAAGCAGGGAGACAGGGACAGGCAAGGCAGCTAGGAAGCTCCTGCACTAATTTTGGGTTGGAATAATAAGGATATCATTTGGGTAGGTAGTAAGGATTAGAGAAGAGCCATTTATAGATCATCCATGCAAAACTATTAAGTCCAATATCAACCCTGCTCACAGATGACCCATTTCCCCACTGACCCTTTGCAACCAAGAGATGGAAACGGAATTTAATCTCACCTCAGTGCTAATGTTATATTACAAGGGCTATGTTGGCCATTAAATCAATCATCTTATAGCTAGAATTGCACATCTAACAACTTATCACACATATTTACTTATTGGCACGGCTGCCTTTGCATCCCAACTTGAAGGCCTATGCCTGCATGTTCTTCTTTGAGTCCTCCTACTTTCACACTGACTGATGAGTAGTAGGTTGTTCAATTCATGTTTCTCGAACAAACGAAGCAATAAATGAGAGGATATTTATGCTGCTGCCTCTTCCACTATACTTTCAACTAAGAATCGACATATTAAATTTTAAAATAAATATCTTCTTTAAACCTAGGCATATTGGCCTATTAATGAAGCATGTATCCAAGAAATTCCAAGGGTATACATAAACCAACCTCCAAAATTAATTAAAAGACTGTTATCTTTGGCAATGTTTCACTTTGCCAGAGTAGACTAAGAGTGAAAGAAATGATTTATGTTCATCTCTATCTCGCACTTGCTCAATTTAACAGGAACCTCCCAGGAATGAGATAATTCAGACTAAATTCATTACAACACGTTGGTCTTCTATTTCAGGTAATAGACTGTATTTCAGGTTCATCTCAGGTATGAACCAAAATACACAGGTATCCAGCTCAGTGTGTCTTTTCTCCCCACATACTTGTCTCTGTGCATTAACAAATGTGTTAGGCTACAGACCGAATTTCCAAGAGGAGGAACAGAGGATGGAGCCTGGATGTCATATCCACAGCCATGTCTCACGTCACATGTCGGTGTAGGCCAATACCACAACTATTTTAACTCTTCAGTTTCCTACTCTAACAAATTGATTAAGGCCTCCTGACTCAAGCAGTATTTTGTTGGTATTAAATACTATCTTAAGGAAGTGTAAGAAGTACAAAACAATTGTTGGGCTCTTTTATACATGAGAATATCTTTATACAGAAACTTTGTAACTAAGCAAAGTATTGGAAAATATAAGCAGTTAAGTGTATGTGATTCCTAGTATCTTTGAACAATGTGAAATTACTTTACATATCTATTTTACAGAATCAGTGAAGCACAGTATATATTTTAGAGTTCTTGTAGAGTCTTTTATAGAAGAGCAATGGTCAAACACTTATAAACTGAAAGCAATAGACTTACTAAACACATTTAAACAAAGGGAGTGATTTTAGTTTGCTTATGATAGAACTTATATGTAACAAATGCTCATATCACAGATGGCATAAAATTATAATATTCAAACATCAGCAGTTCAAGAAAAGCAGTTTTGTGACACATTCATAAATGAACCTTGTTAATTTTCCTATAAGATGGCACAATTGTTGATAAATAAGTCAAAAATCTGTATATATTTATTTCAAAAGAAAGAAAAATTTAGAAGGCCATAGCTTTTTAAAATTTAATTATTATGTGTCTACCAACATAGCGGGGACTTTTGGGCCCACCTCTATAAAATATGTATAAAACTCTTCCTCCAATGAGGTAATAAATAAAACTATATCGACTAGGAAATTCCTATTAAAACAATTAACCCATGAAATAGTGTTATTAAACTAGAATACAAAAAGGACATCACTATTAAATATAGGAATTCATTGTTTACAACGAGTTATAGAAAAGAGAAACACGTGGTTAAATGACTTTTTAAGAGATATTTTGGACCAGGCACAGTGACTCATGCCTGTAATCCCAGCACTTTGAGGGCCGACGCAGGTGGTTCACCTGAGGTCAGGAGTTCAAGACCAGCCTGACCAATGTGGTGAAACCCTGCCTCTACTTAAAATACAAAAATTAGCCAGCTGTGGTGGCGTGCACCTGCAGTCCCAGCTACTCGGGAGGCTGAGACAGGAGAATTGCTTGAACCTAGGAGGCAGAGGTTGCAGTGAGCTGAGATGGCACTGCTGCACTCCAGCCTGGGTGGCACAGCGAGACTCCATCTCAAAATAAAAAAAGAAAGAAAGAAAGAAACAAATAAATAAAAGATATTTTGGAGTTAGAAAAGCTTGGGCTGGTATTTTAAGCATAGCTCCCTCTCCCTCTACCCCCAGCATCCACACAATTATACATTCCTGCAGCTTCCCTACCACCAACACTCAGACCCAGGTAACGAACACTTCTCTCTGCTGGACAACTGCTGTTCATTCTTTTTTCATCCACTCACATCTACTTTTTTCCCTTCTCCAGTGCATTCATCTAGAGATATCTGAAGTACAAATCTCATCACATCACCACACTCTCC
This sequence comes from Homo sapiens, assembly GCF_000001405.40. Taxonomy (NCBI): domain Eukaryota; kingdom Metazoa; phylum Chordata; class Mammalia; order Primates; family Hominidae; genus Homo; species Homo sapiens. Next base: position 153,879,108 of record NC_000007.14, on the reverse strand, counting down.
ACAGCTAAACCCCTTCTCTGGCGTTCACTGCTATTAGGGAAGTATCCAAGTTTCTGGACCTTGGAGAGGGGCCGCCATTACTTACTTTTCCAGCTTCATTTTTTTTCTTTTTCTGTTGTCTTTTCTTTCTCCTTTCCTCCTTCCTTTTTTCCCATCTCCCCTCCTCCTCTCTTTATCTTTATTTCTTTACCTCTGTACTCCATTCACATGGCTTTATTCAATCTTGGTACACACTTAATTCCTGCACAGAGATTTTTTCGTGCTATTTTCTTTACCTTAAATACTCTCCTCTTCCTTCTGTCTTTTAATGTAAAAACAAACCAAAACATCTTGTTGAAGTACGACATTTAGAGAGAAGTGCCTAAGTCATAAGTCTACAACTTAATAACTTATCTCAAAGTGCATACATCCATGTAATCACAACCAGATGAAGACATACAAGATAAGCGGTGTCTCAAAAGATTTCTTGGTGCATTCTTCTAGTTACAATCCCATTTCTCCCCTGAGAAAATCACTATCCTGACTTCTAACGCTAGTTAGCTGGGGAGACTTCTGAACTCCATATAAATGGAATCAATGTGAATGGCTTCTTTCACTCTGTCTCCCTTGGGAGACTCGGAGATATTGTATGTAGCTGTAGTCAGCTTCCATCACTGCATGGCATTCCATGGTATGAACATTTCATAATCAATCCATGCTATTGTTGAGTCAATTTGGATTTTTTTTTTTTGCTTGGATAGGCACTAACATAAATAATGATGTTATGACCATTCTCATTACAGTCTTGATTTACACATGTAAGAATTTCTGAAGGCTATATATCTAGAAACTTGATAGATTTATTAGAAGGTATATGTTTAGCCTTAGTAGATTTATTAGAATGTGTGTATTCAGCCTTGTGTAACCTGATAAACAGAGGCTGCACAAAATTACTCCCACACAAGTAGGATGTGAGTGACCTGTTGCTTCACATTCTTCTTACCATTTGATATTGTCAGGTTATATTTTGTTTTATTTCACTTTTGAGTAACATTTCTGATGACGGTATACGGGTATCTTGCATTGCCTCAAAAACTAATGACAGTGAAAAGGAAAGCTTTTATATGTTTCTTAGTAATTTGGATATTTTCTTTTGTGACGTGCGTGTTAATGTTTTTGCCCATTTGTCATTTGTAGTGTCCAGGACTTTTAATATCTTTATTTGTCAAACCTTTTAATATATCCAGGATATGAGTCCTTTGTCAGTTAATAAGCATTGCAAATACTTCTTCTTTTTGGTTTCCATTAAAATGATGTTCTTTTTCATTTGGAATAGGGTAATACTTGATTTTTAAAAATTCAATCTTCCCTGGTGTTTACCTATTTAATTATTTGCTTGAAAAACAACTTTTAGCTTTTTGAGTTGTGTCATGCACTTTTTATCAATTTAATTAATAAGATTGGTCATACGTACTATTTTTTCCTACTTTCTTTATGCAATCATGCATGACATAACATTTCAGTCAACATATGACAGACCACATATACCACAGTAGTCCCAGATTATAATGAAGCCGAAAAATTCCTGTTCCTAGTGACATCATCATTGTCCTAACACCATAGCACAATGCAGTTCTCACGAGTTTTTGGTGATGCTGGTGTGAACAAACCTATTGCACTACCGCTTGTTTAAAAGTATAGCGATACAATTATGTATGGTACATAATGTTTGATAATAATAAACACAAAATTGTGTGTGTGTCTTAATTTTTAGCAAAAAGTTTAAAAAGTAACAAATGAAATAAGAAATTTGAAAATAGATAAAAGCATATAGATAAGAATATAAAGAAAATATCTGTATGATTGTATTATTTGTGTCTTAAGGTAAGTGTGATTGCAAAAGAATCAAATAATTTTTTAAAAACTCAAAATGTTAGAAAGTAAAAAAGTTACAGTAGGCTAACGTTAACATATTATTGAAAAAAGAAAAGGGTTTTTTTTGTTTTAGTTTTAGTTTTTGTTTTTACAAATTTAGTATAGCCTAAGTGTAAAGTGTTGGGAAAGTCTACAGTAGTGTACAGTAATGTCCTAGACCTTCACATTCACTCACCACTCACTCCCAGACTCACTCAGAGCAACTCTAAGTTACAGAAGCTCCATTTATGGTAAGTTCCCTGTACAGATGTAACATTATTTATTTCTTATGCCATAATTTTACTTTACCTTTTCTATGTTTAGATATACAACTACTTACCATGGCATATCTAAACATAGAAAAGGTACAGTAAAATTAGGTATTCAGTCCAGCAACATGCTGTACAGGTTTGTAGTATAGGAGCTATGCCATATAGGCTAAGTGTGTAGGAGGCTGTACCCTCTATATTCATGTAAGTACACTCTTTGATGTTTACACAATGACTAACATCACTGAATGTTGGGTTCATAAAGTATCCTGTCATTAAGCAATGTGTGACTGTGTGTTATTTGCTGTTCTATTGGGTAAATTATTGAGATGTTAGGTTATAAAATTGGCACTTTTAATTTCCTTTGTAATTTTTATTTTTGGCCAATGAGTTGTTTAGAAATAATTTACAAATATTTAAAGATGTTTGAGGTATATTTTTAATATTAACTTTTAGCTTAATCTCACTATAGTTAGAGAAAAAATACTCAGAATTTCAATCCCTATACTTGGTGATACTGTGTGTGTGTGTGTGTGTGTGTGATTTGTTTTCAAACATACGGTCAATTTGGGCAATGCATATACATATTGGATAGAATATGATGTATATTCTGAAATGACAGATGTAGTATTTCTGTATTTTTCAACTAGATCAAGTTAGCTCATTGTGATTTTCAAATCTACTACATCCTTATTGATTTTTTTTCTTGGATGTTCTTTCAGTTTCTCAGAGAGGTATGGTAAAATCTAAGATTGTAGATTTGTCTATTTTCCTCCTTAATTCTGTTAATTTTTGCTTTATATATTTTGAAGCTATATTATTAGGTGCATACCAGTCTAAGATTATAAATTCTTGTCAGATAGACCCTTTAATCCTAATGCAATGACACTATTTATATTTAGAAATGTGTCATTTCTTGCCTTTCAGTGTCATTTGCAAAATTATATATGCCAATTTTATTTTGCCTACTGCTTGCATGTATTCAACTTACTCTCTTTTTTTCAGGGTTTTTTTTTTTTTTTGGTCCTCATATTTTAGGCAGCTTTTTTTGTGAGCTGCCTGTCTTTATTTGCTAATTCAGTCTGACAATTTTGCCTTTTAATCTGAGTATTCAATCCATTTGCATTAATGCAATCACTGACACATTGGCATTCCAATCAATCTTACTAATTCTGTTTGTCCCGTTTTTCCTCTTTTGAGTTAATTATGTTTATTGATAAATCTTCTTCAAATTAGCCTGTTATTAAACAATTATTATTCTTTCAGTGTTTACCCCATAAATTCAAAATATATTCTTAATTAGAATCTTATATTGATAATCATATTAATTTCAATTAGTTGATAGTTGCATTAATTAATATATCTACAATTCTCCAGGTAATAAGGAACTTTGAGTAATCAAATATTATTTAACAAAGTCCTGTCTTTTGTGCTATTATTTATCAAGATTTATATAGGTATTTTTTTCTAATCATTGTTTTGTACAATCAATATTCCCTTGGACATAGCCACACATTTATCTTTTCCATTCTTCTCTTCTTAAGTCATCTATTTTCATCTGTGATTATGTTTTTTTGCATGAAGAGTTCTCTCAGTCATTCCTTTACTGGAAGTTTGACAAATTTCCTAGGTTTTTGTTTTTCAAAAAAATGTCCTTATATTTTTCCTTTGTTTTGAAGAAGAACTTTAGAGCATATGGAGTTCTATTTTGGCATTTATTTTCATTCCGCACTTGACAATGTCATGTCTCCATCTTCTGACTTGCACTCTTATACAGTCATTATTAGTATTTCTATTTCCCCTTAAAGATAACATATGTTTTGTCTCTGACTGCTTTTTAGACTTCCTCTTGTCTTCAGTTTTCAGAAATTTTATTATGATATCCTTAGGTACATTTTGTCTGTTTGTTGTAATCTATCTGAAGTTCATACAGCAGCTAATATCTGTTGGATTTTTCCGTTACTTTTGAAATGATCTCATCTGTAACAGTTCCCTTTCTATTCTCTCCGTCTTCTCCTTCTGCAACTTTAATTACACCTATACTAGAGGTTTCCAACATCTATTATGCATGTTACACTGTTTTCTACATTTTTCTACTTGTAACCAGATATTGAATTTTTTTGTTTGCTCCCTTTTCTTCTGTTCAGCTGTGTTAAATGGTTGTTAAATCCATTCATTGAGTTCTTAATTTCATATCTTATTTTGTTTCCATTCTAATATGCCCATTTGATTTTAAATGGTTTCCATTTCATGGTATAATTCTACATTTTGGGCCAGACACAGTGGCTCACACCTGTAATCCCAGCACTCTGGGAGGCCTAGGTGGGTGGATCACTTGAGGTCAGCAGTTTGAGACAAGCCTGGCCAACGCAGTGAAATGCTGTCTTTACTAAAAATACAAAAATTAGCTGGGCACAGTGGCACACACCTGCAATCCCAGCTACTTGGGAGGCTGAGACAGGAGAATCGCTTGAACCCGGCAGGTGGAGGTTGCAGCAAGCTGAGATCCTACCACTGCACTCCAGCCTGGGCCACAGAGCAAGACTCCCTCTCAAAAATAAATAAATAATAATAACTCTGTATTTTATGATTTAGTTTTACAAACATGCTAAAGTCCATATCTAATAAGTTCTTTCTGGTTCTTCTGTTATTCTGGTGTGTGTGTCTGTGTGTGTGTGTGTGTGTGTGTGTGTGCATGTGCGCACGCGCGCTTATGTGTTGCTGTTGCTCTTTGTTCAATTATTTTGTTCTTTCTTGGTAATTTTTGGCTCAATACTTCATATTTCCAATACTAGGTGTGCAGATAATTTGAAGCTCTAGATGCTTTGTCTTCCTCCAGAGTGGATTCACTTTTGCTTCTGGCAGGTAGTTAGGAAGAAGGCAAATATTCTTAATTTAGACAAGGGTTAACATCTTTACAGTCTGGGCTTTCGTCCTGAGGAAAATTCCATCTCTAATTCTTTTTTTCTAGTGTGTAGCCTTTGGGGATTCCAATTCAAACTCTAGTGTGTTTCTCAGGACTTCTACTTTTAGACCCCAAGTCTATAGAAATCCACAACCTGTCAGCTGCCTTGTGCAAATGAGTGAATGCCACCCCTATATTTCTCTACCTCTCTGTTCTTCCATCTTTTGGACATGAAGACACAAGTCCTCACTTCCTTGGCAGCTCTGCAGTGCCTTTGACCTTTTCTGGATGTTCCTGATAGCGGATTTGTTCTGTAACAGCAGTCTTCCATTTCCGAAGGCAGAGCTCCCCATCACTGGTCCCTGCTTTACCAGGTTAATGACTGTTCATCCATTCACCTGTTCACAAGGAAGCCCCTCCAGACTTTCCTGTCGAGAATAAACCATCTTTTAAAAGCTCTCACAATTCTGTGTAATTCTATTTTGTATTATTTGCCAAAGTTGCAAAGTTATGTTTATTTATGGAACGGTTAGAATTTTTTTTAAATCTCCGCAACTAGATTTTAGGCATTATAAGGGTAGAATTATTGTCTATTTTCATTCGTTTTAAATTAGGTAGGCCTCAAACGTAGTTTTAAGTGGCCAAATATAGTTTAAATATATTGTTTAAATGCCAGAGACATTGCTATCTTTTGGTTTGTTTTGGCCCCTCCAAATCTCATGTTGCAATTTGATCTCCAGTGTTGGAGGTGGGGCTTAATGAGAGGTGTTTGTGTCATGAGGGCAGATGCCTGGTGAAAAGATTGATGCCCTCCTTGGTGGGGGGCAGTGAGTGAGTTCTCACACATGATTCCCATGGGAGCCGGTTGTTAAAAAGAGCCTGGCACCTCCCCCTCTGCTTTGTGTTCTTCCTCACCACGTGATTGCCACACACCAGCTTCCCTCCACCTTTCACCATGAGTGGAAGCAGCCTGAGGCCTCACCAGAAGCAGATGCTGGCTCCATGCTACTTGTACAGCCTGGGCACTGTGAGCCCAATAAAACTCTTTTCCTTATAAATTGCCCAGCTTCAGGTATTTCTTTGTAGCAGTGCAAAATGGACTAAAGACAGCCATCTAGCTGTAGAGTATGATAAGGTACAATAAAAGTTCAATTGTAGTTGGTTATTCTATACATAGGTATATGGAAATCTGTTCAAAATAGCATTTAAAGACCTACACTTTCTTTACAAATAGAGAGACAGTACAGGTATAATTGCTAAGGACCAGAGCTTTGGTACTGGATTATTTACTGCTGAATCATGGCTCTGCCACTTAGTGCTGTGGGGCCCCCATGCCTCAGTTTCCCCATCTAAGATGATAATGATAATAATGATAGCACCTTGTCGCTCATCATGCTGTATAAATGAGTAAATGTAAAATACTTATATACATGGATTAATTTATGAAAAACAGGGCATGGCTAATAGTAAGCATTCAGTATATGTTATCTATCATTTTAAAATTATAAATATATATAAATGTGAAAACTGCTACATCAATGAGAATTCTTCTGGCAACCAGTGGTATATTTAATAAAAATTACATATTTAATACTTGTCCTGATAATTTAACAGTATTTAAATGAGCCAGTTCTTACTGCCATGGCCCACAGTATTATTTATTATGCTATGAGGCTTACTCTATTACATACTTGTTTGATTAATTAGAGCAGAGCACCTTCCATAGCAGTATATACAAGATATAAGTGCACCTGTGAGGTACCTGGATGCTTATGAAAATACACATTACCAGGCCATACCCTGATCCAGCAGGTCTAGCTTCAGGCCTATGAATTTGCATTCTGTACATGTACCCAGTTGATGCTAATACAAATGGTTCTTGAAGACACTTGGGAAAAAAACTGCTCTTTTAAGGCAAAACATTACAGATGGAACGATTGTGGATCCATTACAAAGAGAATGAAGGGCAAGTGTGAGAAATAAAACAGCATGAGTTTTGAAGGCTGAAGAATATTAGTACTGTTAATGTGGATATTTGCAAGAGAAATTCAGAAAGCGTAAAAATTGTGACGATGATTTTGTCACCCTGCAGTCCATATTCGCAGCGGTGTTTGCTGCAGGGATGAAATTCTTGTTCCTGATGAAGTCACAGTGACGAAAAGGTACAAACAGTAGCAAAAAGAAGGTTCATACTGAACCATGGAATAATGACTCTCTAAACTGTCTAAAATACACTATTTTTGGGGTGGAGCCAAGATGGCCGAATAGGAAGAGCTCCAGTCTATAGCTCCCAGCGTGAGCGACGCAGAAGGTGGGTGATTTCTGCATTTCCAACTGAGGTACTGGGTTCATCTCACTGGGGAGTGCCAGACAGTGGGTGCAGGACAGTGGGTGCAGCGCACTGTGCGTAAGCCGAAGCAGGGCAAGGCATCGCCTCACCCAGGAAGTGCAAGGGGTCAGGGAACTCCCTTTCCTAGTCAAAGAAAGGGGTGACAGACGGCACCTGGAAAATTGGGTCACTCCCACCCTAATACTGCGCTTTTCCAAACGGGCTTAACAAACCATACACCAGGAGATTATATCCCGCACTTGGCTCGGAGGGTCCTATGCCCACGGAGCCTCGCTCATTACTAGCACAGCAGTCTGAGATCAAACTGCAAGGTGGCAGTGAGGCTGGGGGAGGGGCGCCCACCATTGCCAAGGCTTGAGTAGGTAAACAAAGCAGCCGGGAAGCTCAAACTGCGTGGAGCCCACCACAGCTCAAGGAGGCCTGCCTGCCTCTACAGGCTCCACCTCTGGGGGCAGGGCACAGACAAACAAAAGGCAACAGTAACCTCTGCAGACTTAAATGTCGCTGTCTGACAGCTTTGAAAGAGAGTAGTGGTTCTCCCAGCACGCAGCTTGGGATCTGAGAATGGGCAGACTGCCTCCTCACGTGGGTTCCTGACCCCCGAATAGCCTAACTGGGAGGCATCCCCTAGGAGGGGCAGACTGACACCTCACACGGCCGGGTACTCCTCTGAGACAAAACTTCCAGAGGAATGATCAGGCAGCAGCATTTGAGGTTCACCAATATCTGCTGTTCTGCAGCCACTGCTGCTGATACCCAAGCAAACAAGGTCTGGAGTGGACCTCTAGCAAACTCCAACAGACCTGCAGCTGAGGGTCCTGTCTGTTAGAACGAAAACTAACAAACAGAAAGGACATCCACACCAAAAACCCATCTGTACGTCACCATCATCAAAGACTAAAGGTAGATAAAACCACAAAGATGGGCAAAAAACAGAGCAGAAAAACCAGAAACTCTAAAAATCAGAGAGCCTCTCCTCCTCCAAAGGAACGCAGCACCTCACCAGCAACGGAACAGAGCTGGATGGAGAATGACTTTGACAAGTTGAGAGAAGAAGGCTTCAGAAGATCAAACTACTCTGAGCTAAAGGAGGAAGTTTGAACCAATGGCAAAGAAGTTAAAAACCTTGGGAAAAATTAGATGAATGGCTAACTAGAATAACTAATGCAGAGAAGTCCTTAAAGGACCTGATGGAGCTGAAAACCACAGCACGAGAATTATGTGATGAATGCAGAAGCCTCAGTAGCTGATTCGATCAACTGCAAGAAAGAGTATCAGCGATGGAAGACAAAATGAATGAAATGAAGCGAGAAGAGAAGTTTAGAGAAAAAAGAATAAAAAGAAACAAACAAGTCCTCCAAGAAATATGGGACTATGTGAAAAGACCAAATCTACATCTGATTGGTGTACCTGAAAGTGACAGGGAGAATGGAATCAAGTTGGAAAATGCTCTGCAGGATATTATCCAGGAGAACTTCCCCAATCTAGCAAGGCAGGCCAACATTCAGATTCAGGAAGTACAGAGAACACCACAAAGATGCTCCTCGAGAAGAGCAACTCCAAGACACATAATTGTCAGATTCACCAAAGTTGAAATGAAGGAAAAAATGTTAAGGGCAGCCAGAGAGAAAGGTAGGGTTACCCACAAAGGGAAGCCCATCAGACTAACAGTTGATCTCTCAGCAGAAACTCTACAAGCCAGAAGAGAATAGGGGCCAATATTCAACATTCTTAAAGAAAAGAATTTTCAACCCAGAATTTCATATCCAGCCAAACTAAGCTTCATAAGTGAAGGAGAAATAAAATACTTTACAGACAAGCAAATGCTGAGAGATTTTGTCACCACCAGGCCTGCCCTAAAAGAGCTCCTGAAGGAAGCACTAAAAATGGAAAGGAACAACCAGTACCAGCCACTGCAAAAACATGCCAAATTGTAAAGACCATCAAGGCTAGGAAGAAACTGCATCAACTAATGAGCAAAATCACCAGCTAACATCATAATGACAGGATCAAATTCACATATAACAATATTAACCTTAAATGTAAATGGGCTAAATGCTCCGATTAAAAGACACAGACTAGCAAATTGAATAGAGTCAAGACCCATCAGTGTGCTGTATTCAGGAAACCCATCTCATGTGCAGAGACACACATAGGCTCCAAATAAAGGGATGGAGGAAGATCTACCAAGCAAATGGAAAACAAAAAAAGGCAGGGGTTGCAATCTTAGTCTCTGATAAAGCAGACTTTAAACCAACAAAGATCAAAAGAGACAAACAAGGCCATTACATAATGGTGAGGGGATTAATTCAACAAGAAGAGCTAACTATCCTAAATACATATGCACCCAATACAGGAGCACCCAGATTAATAAAGCAAGTCCTTAGTGACCTACAAAGAGACTTAGACTCCCACACAATAATAATGGGAGACTTTAACACCCCACTGTCAACATTAGACAGATCAATGAGACAGAAAGTTAACAAGGATATCCAGGAATTGAACTCAGCTCTGCACCAAGCGGACCTAATAGACATCTACAGAACTCTCCACCCCAAATCAACAGAATATACATTCTTTTCAGCACCACACCACACCTATTCCAAAATTGACCACATAGTTGGAAGTAAAGCACTCCTCAGCAAATGTAAAAGAACAGAAATTATAACAAACTGTCTCTCAGACCACAGTGCAATCAAACTAGAACTCAGGATTAAGAAACTCACTCAAAATCACTCAACTACATGGAAACTGAACAACCTGCTCCTGAATGACTACTGGGTACATAACGAAATGAAAGCAGAAATAAAGATGTTCTTTGAAACCAACGAGAACAAAGACAAAACATACTAGAATCTCTGGGACACATTCAAAGCAGTGTGTAGAGGGAAATTTATAGCACTAAATGCCCACAAGAGAAAGCAGGAAAGATCTAAAATTGACACCCTAACATCACAATTAAAAGAACTAGAGAAGCAAGAGCATACACATTCAAAAGCTAGCAGAAGGTAAGAAATAACTAAGATCAGAGCAGAACTGAAGGAAATAGAGACACACAAAACCCTTCAAAAAATCAATGAATCCAGGAGCTGGTTTTTTTAAAAGATCAACAAAATTGATAGACTGCTAGCAAGACTAATAAAGAAGAAAAGAGAGAAGAATCAAATAGATGCAATAAAAAATGACAAAGGTTATATCACCACCGATCCCACAGAAATACAAACTACCATCAGAGAATACCATAAACACCTCTACGCAAATAAACTAGAAAATCTAGAAGAAATGGATAAATTCCTAGACACATACACCCTCCCAAGACTAAACCAGGAAGAATTTGAATCTCTGAATAGACCAATAACAGGCTCTGAAATTGAGGCAATAATTAATAGCTTACCAACCAAAAAAAGTCCATGACCAGATGGATTCACAGCCAAATTCTACCAGAGGTACAAGGAGGAGCTGGTACCATTCCTTCTGAAACTATTCCAATCAATAGAAAAAGAGGGAATCCTCCCTAACTCATTTTATGAGGCCAGCATCATCCTGATACCAAAGCCGGGCAGAGACACAACCAAAAAAGAGAATTTTAGACCAATATCCTTGATGAACATTGATGCAAAAATCCTCAATAAAATACTGGCAAACTGAATCCAGCAGCACATCAAAAAGCTTATCCACCATGATCAAGTCGGCTTCATCCCTGGGATGCAAGGCTGGTTCAACATACGAAAATCAATAAACGTAATCCAGCATATAAACAGAACCAAAGACAAAAACCACATGATTATCTCAATAGATGCATAAAAGGCCTTTGATAAAATTCAACAACCCTTCATGCTAAAAATTCGCAATAAATTAGGTATTGATGGGACGTATCTCAAAATAATAAGAGCTATCTATGTCAAACCCACAGCCAATATCATACTGAATGGACAAAAACTGGAAGCATTCCCTTTGAAAACCGGCACAAGACAGGGATGCCCTCTCTCACCACTCCTATTCAACATAGTGTTGGAAGTTCTGGCCAGGGCAATCAGGCAGGAGAAGGAAATAAAGGGTATTCAATTAGGAAAAGAGGAAGTCAAATTGTCCCTGTTTGCAAATGACATGATTGTATATCTAGAAAACCCCATTGTCTCAGCCCAAAATCTCCTTAAGCTGATAAGCAACTTCAGCAAAGTCTCAGGATACAAAATCAATGTGCAAATATCACAAGCATTCTTATACACCAATAACAGACAAACAGAGGGCCAAATCATGAGTGAACTCCCATTCACAATTGCTTCAAAGAGAATAAAATACTTAGGAATCCAATTTACAAGGGATATGAAGGACCTCTTCAAGGAGAACTACAAACCACTACTCAATGAAATAAAAGAGGATATGAACAAATGGAAGAACATTCCACGCTCATGGGTAGGAAGAATCAATATCGTGAAAATGGCCATACTGCCCAAGGTAATTTATAGATTCAATGCCATCCCCCTCAAGCTACCAATTACTTTCTTCACAGAATTGGAAAAAGCTACCTTAATGTTCATATGGAACCAAAAAAGAGCCCGCATTGCCAAGTCAATCGTAAGCCAAAAGAACAAAGCTGGAGGCATCACGCTACCTGACTTCAAACTATACTACAAGGCTACAGTAACAAAAACAGCGTGGTACTGGTACCAAAACAGAGATATCGACCAATGGAACAGAACAGAGCCCTCAGAAATAATGCCACATATCTACAACTATCTGATCTTTGACAAACCTGAGAAAAACAAGCAATGGGGAAAGGATTCCCTATTTAATAAATGGTGCTGGGAAAACTGGCTAGCCATATGTAGAAAGCTGAAACTGGATCCCTTCCTTACACCTTATACAAAAATTAATTCAAGATGGATTAAAGACTTACATGTTAGACCTAAAACCATAAAAACCCTAGAAGGAAACCTAGGCAATACCATTCAAGACATAGGCATGGGCAAGGACTTCATGTCTAAAACACCAAAAGCAATGGCAACAAAAGCCAAAATTGACAAATGGGATCTAATTAAACTAAAGAGCTTCTGCACAGCAAAAGAAACTACCATCAGAGCGAACAGGCAACCTACAGAATGGGAGAAAATTTTTGCAACCTACTCATCTGACAAAGGGTGAATATCCAGAATCTACAATGAACTCAAACAAATTTACAAGAAAAAAACAACCCCATCAAAAAGTGGGCAAAGGATATGAACAGACACTTCTCAAGAGAAGACATTTATGCAGACAAAAAACACATGAAAAAATGCTCATCATCACTGGCCATCAGAGAAATGCAAATCAAAACCACAATGAGATACCATCTCACACTAGGTAGAACGGCGATCATTAAAAAGTCAGGAAACAACAGGTGCTGGAGAGGATGTAGAGAAATAGGAACACTTTTACACTGTTGGTGGGACTGTAAACTAGTTCAACCATTGTGGAAGTCAGTGTGGCGATTCCTCGGGGATCTAGAACTAGAAATACCATTTGACCCAGCCATCCCATTACTGGGTAAATACCCTAAGGATTGTAAATCATGCTGCTATAAAGACACATGCACACGTATGTTTATTGTGGCACTATTCACAACAGCAAAGACTTGGAACCAACCCAAATGTCCAACAATGATAGACTGGATTAAGAAAATGTGGCACATATACACCATGAAATACTATGCAGCCATAAAAAATGATGGGTTCATGTCCTTTATAGGGACATGGATGAAGCTGGAAACCATCATTCTCAGCAAACTATCGCAAGGACAAAAAACTAAACACCACATGTTCTCACTCATAGGTGGGAAATGGAGAATGAGAACACATGGACACAGGAAGTGGAATATCACTCTCTGGGGCCTGTTGTGGGGTGGGGGGAGGGGGGAAGGATAGCATTAGGAGATATACCTAATGCTAAATGACGAGTTAATGGTTGCAGCACACAAACATGGCACATGTATACATATGTAACAAACGTGCACGTTGTGCACATGTACCCTAAAACTTAAATATAGTAATAATAAAATTTAAAAAATACACTATTTTTGAATAGAAGTCTTATTGACCACTTTATATATTGGCAAAGAAGTAAAAGTTAAATAAGAGGTACTTGTGATATATTTTTATATGTAATTTAATTATGGCCAAATTTTATTAATTAAAATGTCATTTGGACTGTAGCTAAAACCCCAAGCTGTAGTTATGAGGTGACAACGATATTACAAAAAGGGGAAAGAAACTAGAGCCCCTTTTATTCACATTCTGAAAGCCAAGATTATGGTCTCCTGCCAAGAAGGTTATCAATTAACCTACCATCTTCATTAAAATCTAAAAAATAAATCCCAAACCTAACAATATCAACAAAAAATATCTGTGGTTGTTGTTTTGAATGAGTAACCTTACTTTTCTGTATACTCCATCTTATTCTGTAACATTTTGCCAGAAAATACTGCTATTGCTGTCGTCTCTGCCATTTTCCTACCCAAAAAATGTTTTTCTTTATTCTTTCGGTCCTGTATATATAATATAATAGATATGTGTGTGTGTAAAATACATTTACTACATGTAAGATGCTGGTAAATCGCTTTAAGTTTTTCATAGTTGATTCGTGTTAATCAGTTTGCTTTACCTTCACATCACCACTGTCAAATATTGGAGACAAGTTATCTTCTACTGCTGATGAGTTTCAGAGGCTGAAAGTTCTTACAGACAGTTTGGGGACAGGGCTGGGGACACACAGATCTCCTGTCTTCTCCCTGGGCTCTTTTCACTGATCCTGAGATTTAAATTGACAGAAAGGAGCAAAAACCTGAATAAGTGTCGATAAACTGCCATCCATCTCAGTAATCAAGAAGAGTAAAGCCTGCATGTTTACAGTTGTAAGCTTCATCATGTATCTGTGGCTGAAGCCTACATAACACATACATTATATTTTCCCTGTTAAAAGTTCCCCAAGCACGTGTGTGTGTGTGTGTGTGTGTGTGTGTGTGTGTGTGTGTGTGTGTGTGTATTATTATTATTTTTTGAGACAGAGTCTTGCTCTGTTGCCCAGGCTGGAGTGTAGTGGTGCAATCTTGGCTCACTGCCACTTCTGCCTCCTGGGTTCAAGCAATTGTCCCTGCCTCAGCCTCCTGAGTAGCTGGGATTAGAGGCGCCCACCACCATGCCCAGCTAATTTTTGGTATTTTTAGTAGAGACGGGGTTTTGCCATGTTGGCCAGTCTGGTCTTGAACTCATGACCTCAGGTGATCCACCTGCCTCAGCCTCTCAAAGTGCTGGGATTAGAAGTGTGAGCCACCACGCCCGGCCCCAAGCATATATTTTTTAAAACGTAAGTTTGACTCTTGTTTTTCTACAAGGGAGTATCAACTCAAAGCCACAATGAGTTGCCATTTCACAACCACTAAAATTGCTATAATAAAAAAGTCAGATAATAACAAGTGATGCAAAGGATGTGGAGAAATTCGAACCCATACATTACCGGTGGGACTGTTAAAATGGTGAAGTTGTTGTGAAACACAGTCTGGCGTTCCTCAAAATGTTAGACATGGAGTTACCATTTGACTCAGCAATTTCAATCCTGAGTATATACCCAAGAGAAATGAAAACACATGCCCAGATAAACACTTGCACACCCACAAATGTTCAGAGCAGCATTATTTACAATAGTCAAAAAGGGTAAGTAGCCCAAATGACCACTGACTAATGAACGGATAAACAAAATGTGGTACATCCATACAGTGGAAGATTATTCAGCCACTAAAGGGAATAAAGTACTGATACATGCCACAACGTGGATGAACTTTGAAAACATTTCATCCTAAATGAAAGAAGCCAGTCATGAAAGACCACGTAGTTCATGATTCCTTTTATACGAAACGTGCAGAATAGGGAAATGAAAATCTACACAGACAGGAAGCAGCAGCTGCTTGGTCTGGGGAGTAGGAGGAAGGGGTGTGGGGAGTGACTGCTAATATGCATAAGGTTTCTTCCTGGAGTGACAAAAATGTTCTAAAATTAAATTCAGTCGATGGGTGTACAATTCTGTAAGCATACTAAAAAAATCATTGATTTCCACGTCGTATTTATTTTTTCATTTAAATTTCTTTAGAGATGGGAGTCTTAACCAATTGCTCAGGCTGGATGATTATACATTTTGAATGAGTGAAATTTATGCTATGAAAACTATACCTCAGCAAAGCTGTTAAAAAAAAAGACTGAGGGGAAAAAAGGAAAAATCTACAGAGATTTTGCACTTGGAAGGTTTGTTGTTGTTGTTGTTTACTACAAGTCCTGGCATACATGTTCACAACAGCAAAGACTTGGAACCAACCCCAATGCCCATCAATGATAGACCGGATAAAGAAAATGTGGTACATATATACCATGGAATACTATGCAGCCATAAAAAAGGATGAGTTCATGTCCTTTGCAGGGACATGGGTAAAGCTGGAAACCATCATTGTCAGTGCTTACAAGGTTTTTATGTTTTGCTATGCTTTGATGAAATCAAAATTGGAAATAAAAGGCAATACATGATGGGTAGAGTTATATAATAAGAGAAACATGAAAAACTATGTCAAAAGATCGGTTAGCAAGTATACATTTATATGGTTTAAGTAGAAATAAAATGTTTAAGATAGGATATTATTCAACCAATATATTTTAAGATATATGCATCTTCTTATATATCATTTTTCCTGTAAACTGTCTGCTCATAATATTTATCTATTTTTCCCTGTTGGTCTATTTCTTTTCTCACGTATTGATTTGCATGATTTTTTTTGCATTAAGGAAATTGACCCTTGATGATATTTGCTTTAAATAGTATTATATGTTACCGATTTGTTGTTTAGTTCTAAATTACTTAACGCATAATTTTTATAAATATATTTCAAATATTTCAATGTATTAAAATGGACTTTTATTGAGATAATGGAGAAACCTAAAATACTAAAAAAAATACTGTGAAGGCCACCAAATCTAGCTTGTTCTTTTCTTGGCAAGCACAAACACAGCCTGAGTTTGTATCTTTAATTACATTTAGAAGGAAAAAATAATCTGCCTACTAGGAGAAAGATGTTTAGGCATTATTTAGGTA
Organism: Homo sapiens; assembly: GCF_000001405.40. Classification (NCBI taxonomy): domain Eukaryota; kingdom Metazoa; phylum Chordata; class Mammalia; order Primates; family Hominidae; genus Homo; species Homo sapiens. The sequence continues at coordinate 153,862,580 of NC_000007.14, read as the reverse complement.
TGATGCCTGAAACAAAATAAAACAAAACAAAAACTAGAAAACTAAACCCAGAGTTTAGATGAGAGTTGGCTGAGGCTGTTCTGTAACATCAGCCCGCTCTGGGTGATGTGAAGGTGACAGTTAATAATTAACTGCAGTAGGTGTTTTTCAAGGTGAGAGGCAAATAACCCTAAAATATGGAGCTGAGATGTCAGAGTGGAACCTGCCATCAGACCTGACTTTGCTGCTAACAGGCCAGTCCATGGCGGTGGCCAAATGATTACAGCCATTTGCAATCCCTGAACTTTGGTAGCACAGTAGGAGGTATTAACGGGAACAGAGGCTCTTTTTCGCTATCTTTTCTTGTATTTTAAAAATCTCATTTCCTCTTTTCCAGCTGTATTTGTTACAACTACATCCTGGTTTTAAAATAACTTTTGTGCCTCCTCGTCATTCTTTTCCCCTGCTTTTCTGAAGTCCAAATGGAGCCACATGTTGCCTCTGGGAGCCTGGAGTCAGGCCCCACAGGCTCAGGCTCTCATCTTCCACATGTAAATTCTCAAGGACGGTTTGCTGTTTTTGTCCTTAGGACTTTCATATTCTCTGCCATTGCAACAAAAATGTGGGAGTATCAGTTAATTGACAGCTGCAATCATTAGAGCCATCATCGAGATGTTTACCTGGATTGCAACATTCTCAGCTTTTTCCCCCCAAAGAATTGCTACCACTAAATTGCCGTTTGGGTTACTCCATCTGTCTACATTGAGGAGCTCAATAAATAAAATAGTCTTAGGAAATCAGATGAATGCTCCTGTGGAGCTTGGTTTTCCTTCCGTTGCCACAGTGTCTCATTAATGAGTAAACATCTCTTTATCTTGGTGCTGGGAAGAAATCTGCATTACCTGACTAGGTGGTTATTTTCATCTTCTAGATAATAAACATAGGGTAGCCAATTGCATTTCCCTCATATCTTTCCAAAAATTGTACCATTGAATATGATAAAAAAGGGAGGATGCATAGCTCATTGTAGAGGCCTTCAGGACATGGACATTACTTTCAAACCCAATTCCTGGCTTCTTTGTTCTCCCACTCCTATTTACCCTTCATCATAACTTCCTTTCTTATCACATTTGATGGTATAATTTTTGGAAACATATGCATCTTTTGAATATGCTACATGCATTAGAAAATAATGGTATGTCTGAATAAAGAATTGCCATTCATTTATATTAAGTCATTGGCCAAATATGTCTTACTTAGAGAGTGTAGCTATGCAGAAAGTTTTCATTTTGAGGCTGAAAGCTGTGTTATCTTAATTTTCAATATTTTAACAGCAGACTCTATTTTCATGCATATAAATTATAAATATGTTTATGGTTTGTGATAACTGTTATTATTTACAATATTAAACCCGTTGCCTTAAATTTATATTAAAGTCCTGTCTTCTAATATGCAAAATTAATTAACCCAAAAGTTTCTAATTGCCTAAATATGATTTTAAAAAAAAGCATTATCTGTGCTAACTGACTGGGAACATTTAGCAAATGGTAAAATAGCTGAAGAGACCATAACTTTCTTGCCTGATATGGGGAAGGGTAATAAAAATGCAATTTCACAACACCTGCTACTTTACTAAGCATCTCAGTAATGCTTTTAAAAATTAACATATTCGTAGGCACAGAGGATTAACTTGCCTCTCCTCTGCTTTGTTTAGGTACTAGGTGTGTATTTGTGTGTCTCTATGACAAAGGTTAAAATATAAGCTATTTTAGTTGGTGAGAACAGAAAGGGATGAGGTAAAGTATGCTATAAATAGTTTTGAAGTCATGGAAACAATTATATAGGTGTGATTTAAAGGACAACAGGAAGTACCCACGGCAGGAGGCAGGAAGCACACTCACACTGGGAAGTGAAGGAAAGTTTAATACAGGGCCCCTTTTTTTTTTTTTTGAAGGCATGGGCAAGATTTAGGGAAACCACCCAAGGATAGTGCAGTACCTGGGGCTTGTCATTGGGAAGGCATTCCCCCTTCTAGGCTTGAGGAAGATGCAGAAGGAGAGCAGGCCCTGCAACCCGGGAAGGGTGGCCGAACGGCAAGGCTGCCTGGTGGAAGTTCTAGCTCTGGTTCAGGGAATGGGTGGGCAGGGAGTTGGGTGCAAACGCTCTGGCCTCACTTCCCTTCCATCCTGCAACTCCTTCCAGTGCCTCCCACTGGCCAAACACAGTCAAACACCAAAGGGCAATGGAGCTTCTGCCAGTCAGCCTCCTGGGGCACTGAGCAGGGTGGAGAGGCACCAGAAGGGTACAATGAGGGGCCTTGTACCCCCTGCAGCCCCAACATGGTGGAGATTCCCCTAGGTGTCAAAGTACTTGAAATTTAAATCTTGGCAAGTCATTCCTTTAGAATGAAATAGTGGTGTACTTTTAAATCTCGAAATATGCTGGAATAGATGGTGCAGGCTTTGGCTGTTCTGGAATAATAATAATAACTCTATCATGAAAATGATAATAATAACAGCAACCTAAATTGAGTGATAGCTATGTTATAGACATTGCCCTGAACCCTTTCTACACATTAGTTAAGCGAACCTTAGTGATATGGTTTGGCTCCGTGTTCCCACCCAAATCTCACCATGAGTTCTAATTATCCCCCTGTGTCAAGGGCAGGACCAGGTGGAGGTAATTGAACCATGGGGGTGGTTTTCCCCACGCTGTTCTCATGATATTGAGTGAGTTCTCACGAGATCTGATGGTTTTATAAGCATCTGGCATTTCCTCTGCCTACACTCATTCTCTCTCCTGCCACCCTGTGAAGAGGTGCCTTCTGCCATGATCATAAGTTTCCTGAGGCCTCTCCAGCCATGCAGAACTGTGAGTCAATTAAACCTCTTTTCTTTATAAATTACCCAGTCTGGGTATTTCTTCATAGCAGCGTAGGAACGGAATAATACACTTAGCCACAGCCATATCCAGTGGGTACCATCATGTCTCCATGCAACAGGCAGTAAACAGGATGATGCCCACACTAGTTGCTCTGGCAAAGCCAGCACTCAAATGCCCCTTGGTTGTCTTAGAGGTTCTGTCCTGTCCAGCTCAGAACACTGATTTCAGCTCCCATGTCTCACTCAAGTTTTTTTCTGCACAACATGGTCTAGACAGCCACGTCTCATGGAACACGTGGTTCTTCACCACCGTCATTGGCATGTGATAACTAGCCTTACATTGTCCTCTTTGTATGCCAGCCTCCCGACTCCAGCTTGAGAGAAAGTTAGAATGTGTGTCTTGAGTTTTAGTTGCATGTGTCGCTCAGCCAAGCCCGTATCCTTTCTTGAAATGAGTGTGCCTCTTCTGCAATGCATGGTGCAATGCAGCCCTCTCCATCTTATCCAGCCCTGCCTCAGGGTCCTGGCCTATCACCAGACGGGCCCCAGGCCTTTTACCAATAGATCCCAACACCCTTATTGCACAGGTGAAGGTTTTGTTCATCATTGCTGTTGAACAGCTTTTTACTTTCTGATCTATTCTATGAGCTTATTCTCATTTCATGGGCCACATTCTCAATGTAAAGACCCAGCCTAATAGGGAAGTGCTGAAGACATATGCTCTATAGCCACAGAATGCATTTATAGAGTTATGGATTTCTGAATGGCAAGGCAGTCATGGGGGTATAAATATCACTTTACTGCATCCCCACACACCACAATAAACTGTCACAAGACAGCGTGATGCTGCCTTAATTGTAGCAGATAATGATAATTATATACTGCCTCCATTACTTTCACCATATTAAGCCATGTTCTTTCTCCCTTACATTCAGTAGCTCCTATATATGGAAAAGGAAATAAAAATCTCATCTTCATTAAACATCTCTGTTTAAAGCCAAAGGGAAAAAAAGGTCTGTGAAGCAGCATGTGGAGAGTTTTTACTGTGGATGACAGCAGTGGATTTAATTGCTCACACAGTAAGCTGAAAACATACTTGTGAATCAGCTTTCACAGGAAGCCACTGGTTCTTGGAAATGCCCAGCACATGAGGTACACAAGCATTCACAGCCTTGTGTGTGATCTAGGGAATGCAGAGTGGGAGGACAGCGTCATCACTGGGCTGAGAATCTGAGAAGACACAGGAAGGAGGAAAGTCAAGAACAAGAGTCCCGTCTTGAGCCAGGTCCAGATATTTCCCTGGAGAAACAAGTGTTTACACCGTTACTAGCGTCTCTGTTTTTACCTGACACCCTGAAAACTGTTCCCTTCACCCTGCCCCAGCAGAACCAATCCCCTGGGTGATTGAATCAGGGAATAAGAAACTTGTTTCTGGTGGATACAGTCATCTGTGTCATGCCTTCCTCAAAAATTAGTTATGGTTACCACAAATCTACAATTAATGAGCTCACTCTAACTCAACTGAGCCACTTTCAAATGACTGCAAAGAAAACTCTCTTGTCATTTTGAAGAAAGAAGGGGAAAGAGAAACAAGAAAAAGCAAAAAACTCATAACAAATTCTGGTAAGAGAATGCTTCCTCAACTGTCCTTAGAAGACATATGTTAATGACTAATTAGAATGAAATGTAACAAGTACATCAGTATGTAAATGGTGCTTGCAAAAAGATCACATCATCACAAATTTAGAGCTAGAGGAAAGTGGAGTCAACTGAGAACTCCACTTATAACATTTTTATACAATTGATTTCTTCAACCTGTTCTTCATTTACGGAAAGGACAACCTAACCCTGATCATATCCAAATAATCACAAAACCCAAGTATGTGGTGGTGTTCTTAAAGAGGTTTTAGCACTATGCAGATCAAATCTAAATTCTATCAGGAAAACCAAACATTACTAAAATATTCATAGCCTTATCTTTATAAAAAAGCACTGTAGATATGTGTTTATATTCTAAGCATGATACTTAGTCTAGATATAATATCTATTTTGCATCTGCTTTAGTTTAACTGATATCTCAATTCTGCATGAACAGTGGCAGCTGGCATCAAATGACAAAAAACATCATCCCAAATAACTTAACATTCAAAGTATATCCCCAAACCTTCTCCGGTAAAAGAATCATGGCTTTGTTCCTAAGTCACATGCCAGAAAGCTGTAAGCAGTGTCTGCGCAGAGAGGAAATTTTTCAAGTGGTAGAAATAGCTTCTTTCTGACAGAATTTTAGATTTCGTGTTGTGCTTAGCACTTTAAATGTTGACCATAGCAACTAGCACCAGCAATTTTATATACACATGCTGAGAGAGAGAGAGAGAGAGAGAGAGAGAGAGAGAGAGAAAACCTTTGAGTTCTAAGGACACATATTAATAAGTATAGATTAGGGTTATGGCCAATGTTTTCTAAATAACTATTAAAAATTGTGCTTAACTATTTTGCAAAGATAAATGCTTAAAAATTTTAGATAAAATCTTTAGTCCAGATTGTGACCTAAAAATGTGGCCTTGTGAAGATACAAGTTATTTCCACTTGTAAAGGTTTCTTTGTCATAGAAAAAAGGTATTAATTTGGAGCATTTTACTTTCATATTGATGATCATTTTCATCAATATTTTCTATACTTGCAAAGTAAACAGAGACAATGAATTAGAGGCGATAGGAAATCCAACATTATTCAGACGTTTTGAAAAAAGTAACATTCTGGCATTTTCAGTGAAAAACATTTCAACTCCACAAATCACCCTGACTTGTCTTAGGCTAAGTGTCTGGTTCAGAGCTCATTCTATGTAAGAGAGATTGATCTTCTTAAGGAGCCAATAATCCCCACATTGCTTATTATTTTGGATTAAGATACAGAAGCCCTTGGCGATCCTGAAAATGTGATTTGGATGATTACATATTATGCCATTATGAGTCATTAGCACTTGACCCTAAATTAATTACCTGGTAAGTTAGCAAACAGATCCCTTGAGAATGGGATATGGGGCAGGTGTGTTTATAGAAAGGCTCAGAGGTAAGTAAACTCACAGTAAACTGCCCCATAGGGCAGGACCAGATATGAAATCCCACAGTAAAGAATTCCTCTTAACTTATGGTTATGTTTAGGACTAAGCTATTCTCTTGATCATAGCCAATACCCCAGATGTGTACTAAATATTTTTTGTACATAATATTATGAATTAAATAAAAGTAAATAGGATGTCAATGAAAATGGCAGAGGAAGAACCTCTGAATATTTTCTCCTCTTAAATGTCATGGAAAAACTGACAAAAATTGTGAGAATCAACTTTTCAGAAACACGGAATTTAACCAAAGCCTCATACAAATCTGGAGAACATTTACTCCAGGAAAATGGCCAAATTTTGGTAAGACCAGTGACCTTGTAGTGTTTTAACTTTTCCTGTTCCCATCCTCAACCGTACCCCTAGCTCTGTGGTAGTCTTTGTAACCAGTTGTCTGCAAACACAGTGAAAACCACCAACCTAGCTGCCACTGGAGTGGCAGGAACAGGGTGAGGTACCTTCAGTGAGGTGCCTCATTTCCAGAGAATTGTCATGATCTGACCTGCCTGATAGTTCTCTGAAAGGGCCTGCTCACAAAGCTGTGCTTATATGATGTGATTTGGTGCTTGCCCAGTACAGAAAGCCTTTGACTTGGGGGACACTGTTGGATGTATTGAGGCAATTGTTTAACTTCTGAGTCACCTATGGCACTACATAATAGTTGGGAGAAACCCTAGACTAACCAAAAAGCTTAAAAGGTAAGACTGGGAAATGCAGTTTCCACAGGAATGTTGAAAAGTTACATCATATTTTTTTTTGAATCTAGAAGGCCAAGTACATATGCAGAGATGTAGGTATGGTAAAGAATGACTGAAGACTCTAAGCTCTCACCTCTGTCTGACCTTGAGGCACTTCCTAAGCAGGAAGGGAGAGCTAAGGCAGAGTTGTCCAATGTCTGGCTGAGTGTTGAGGTGTGCCCAAACACACACAGAAGTACACTGGTAGATTTGGGAGCCCTATTGGTTCCAGATCAATAAGACTAGAAATCTCTGTCTAATCATCAGCTGATCACTAAGCTAACCAAAGCCTTCATGACCACATGTGAAAAAGAATAGAGAATTTCCAAAATTAATGCATGAAGTTTCTAAACAAAGAACAACAACAGCAGCAAACAGTAAAAAGTAGGGGGAAATCTGATTTCCAAAGTTCACGCAGTGGATTATTTTAAATGTCCAATTTTCAAGGGAGAAAATGGAGACACACAAATAAATAAGAACAGGAAAGAATCCCCGCTCCCTTGTTTGTATAAGTTAATGAGTGGATCCTAAAATCCATATGGAAAAGCAAGGAACTTAATAAACAAAATAATATTGAAAAAGAATATTTTTTTTATAGGTATTATTTTTATTATTTCTTTTTTTTTATTATACTTTAAGTTTTAGGGTACATGTGCACATTGTGCAGGTTAGTTACATATGTATACATGTGCCATGCTGGTGCGCTGCACCCACTAACTTGTCATCTAGCATTAGGTATATCTCCCAATGCTATCCCTCCCCCCTCCCCCCAACCCACAACAGTCCCCAGAGTGTGATATTCCCCTTCCTGTGTCCATGTGATCTCATTGTTCAATTCCCACCTATGAGTGAGAATATGCGGTGTTTGGTTTTTTGTTCTTGTGATAGTTTACTGAGAATGATGATTTCCAATTTCATCCATGTCCCTACAAAGGACATGAACTCATCATGTTTTATGGCTGCATAGTATTCCATGGTGTATATGTGCCACATTTTCTTAATCCAGTCTATCATTGTTGGACATTTGGGTTGGTTCCAAGTCTTTGCTATTGTGAATAATGCCGCAATAAACATACATGTGCATGTGTCTTTATAGCAGCATGATTTATAGTCATTTGGGTATATACCCAGTAATGGGATGGCTGGGTCAAATGGTATTTCTAGTTCTAGATCCCTGAGGAATCGCCACACTGACTTCCACAATGGATGAACTAGTTTACAGTCCCACCAACAGTGTAAAAGTGTTCCTATTTCTCCACATCCTCTCCAGCACCTGTTGTTTCCTGACTTTTTAATGATTGCCATTCTAACTGGTGTGAGATGGTATCTCATTGTGGTTTTGATTTGCATTTCTCTGATGGCCAGTGATGATGAGCATTTTTTCATGTGTCTTTTGGCTGCATAAATGTCTTCTTTTGAGAAGTGTCTGTTCATGTCCTTCGCCCACTTTTTGATGGGGTTGTTTGTTTTTTTCTTGTAAATTTGTTGGAGTTCATTGTAGATTCTGGATATTAGCCCTTTGTCAGATGAGTAGGTTGCGATCACCAAGTCAATCCTAAGCCAAAAGAACAAAGCTGGAGGCATCACACTACCTGACTTCAAACTATACTACAAGGCTACAGTAACCAAAACAGCATGGTACTTGTACCAAAACAGAGATATAGATCAATGGAACAGAACAGAGCCCTCAGAAATAATGCCGCATATCTACAACTATCTGATCTTTGACAAACCTGAGAAAAACAAGCAATGGGGAAAGGATTCCCTATTTAATAAATGGTGCTGGGAAAACTGGCTAGCCATATGTAGGAAGCTGAAACTGGATCCCTTCCTTACACCTTATACAAAAATCAATTCAAGATGGATTAAAGATTTAAACGTTAGACCTAAAACCATAAAAACCCTAGAAGAAAACCTAGGCATGACCATTCAGGACATAGGCATGGGCAAGGACTTCATGTCCAAAACACCAAAAGCAATGGCAACAAAAGCCAAAATTGACAAATGGGATCTAATTAAACTAAAGAGCTTCTGCACAGCAAAAGAAACTACCATCAGAGTGAACAGGCAACCTACAAAATGGGAGAAAAGAATAACTATTTTTTTAAAGTTAGCAAACAATGTTTTCTTGTTAAGTTGAATTTGAATTGCATGATTCTGCCATGTCCACTGAGACCCATAGATCCAGGAGTTCCTTTCCTGAGCAGCACTTTCACTCTGTCTATCAGCACTGTCTCACGGCGTACTTCCAAGCTCTGATGGGATGGCCTTCCATCCAGGCCTAGTACAAGTCACAGAGGTATTTCCTTAATAGAAGCTTCCATTAGTTATATCATAAAAGACTAGCATACTCCTTAAATCAGCAAAAATTCTGGTTGACAACAATGTTTCTTGGCAAAGATAGCCCAGGTTTCTAGTTCAAGGGAGTAAACCAAACACATTATAGCTACCCATCCTGCCTCAAGCCCCAGAAATGACATAACAGACATAAATAAATACAGTTTAACACTGTAAAATCCAAGGGAGAATTCTTGGTAGAACAGACATTACTAGTAGCTTCTGAAACAGAAGTGAACGAGATCAGGTTGAAGATGCAATGATATCAAACGTGCACAGGCAGAACAGCTATAGACATGGGAGCAAGCCTGAAATGCTTCACTTCCTGATGAGACAGACAGAGAAGAGGGGTCAAGGGTAAATTGAAAGATGTTAGTGAGGACATTATAGCCATGCATTTGATTCCTCTGTGATTCCTCTTTTCCTTTTGTGCCTAGGCTGAAACAACAGAGCTGTATCTCTTTTAAGTAAAATTAGCCTGGGTGTTATGCAGAGAGATGGGGCATTGTGTACAAATGGCTGGGGTTGACCAGGAGATAGAGGGGTGCCCACATGTTGAAAATTAGCTCTTGATACTCCTCACTTCATAGCTTGTCCGTTCTCTTCCTTAATTTTACTGAAAATGGCCTAAAATAGTATTTATCAACCACAGTCGAGATGCATTTTGGTGTGTGAAAATCAAAAAAGTACTTAACTCGTGTGTGAAAAAAGTGCAATGCGATTGAGCAGAATAGAAAATACCAGAGTTCATTTCACAAGAGGATTAATACTAACTTTCACAAGAGGATAAATAAGTGTTTGGTAAGTAAACTATTTTTTTCATAAATAAGCACAGACATAAACCTGTGTTTGTCATGGCTCACAATGTGTACTGTATGTCCTTCGTGTGCATCTGATATGGTTTGGAACTGTGTCCCTGCCAAAATCTCCTGTTGAATTGTGATCCCCAGTGTTGGAGGTGGGGCCTGGTGGGAGTTGATTGAATCATGAGGGTAGTTTCTCATGAATGGTTTAACACCATTCCCCCTTGGTACTGTCCTCGTGATAGTGAGTCAGTTCTCATGAGATCTGGTGGTTTAAAAGTGTATGGCAGCTCCCACTCTCTTGCTCCTGCTCCGGCCATATGAGATGCCTGCTCCCCCTTTGCCTTCCATCATGACTAAGTTCCCTGAGGCCTCCCCAGAAGCCAAGCAGATGCCAGCACCACACATCCTATAGAACTCGGGGACAATTAAACCTCTTTTCTTTATAAATTACCCAGTCTCAGGTGTTTCTTTAGAGCAACGCAACAGTCTAGTACAGCATGATTGCCGGAAGAGAGAATGAACCACTCCAGCACATCTCACTGCTCCTCCCAGCCAGGCTGTGCTGACATCGAGCCTAACAGAAAATGCTGCTGAATGCATTACCAAGATTCATCTAGCACTGAAAGGGAGAAGCCACCATGAAATAACAAACTCCAAAGGCTGAATAACACACAATCAAAGAACAAAGCAGAGTGTAAGGATAAGTAGCATCACAGAGAGATGGGAGGGAGAATAATAGATGTAAAAAATCAAATAGAAATCATGCAGAGTAAAAATTTTATTGAGAGAAAACCTTAGTGTATCAGCCAAATACCATTTGATATACGTAAAATGTAAATTACAGAGCAATGAAATTACCCTTTGGAATTCCTCAAGAACTTAGTCAAACAATGAAAAAGTTCAGAAAGCATGAAAAACATAGAAGATAGATCTGGGATTTGTGATATTAGTACTATATGAAAGAATGTCTAGAAAAAGCAAATAAAGATGGAGGAGAATATTCAAAGAATAACCAAAGAAACTTCTCTAGATCTTGGAGAATAAATCTACTTATATTGAAATTATTCTTTATAAATGGACAGGACACCAAGATATAAGTAATATAAAACAAAAACTTAAAATATCAAATTGTCAAATTTCAGAAAGCCAAAGATAAAAAGAAAATGCTTGAAAGTTACAAAAGTGAAAAATATCCGATTAAGTACAAAGGAACAAAAATCAGATTGGCATATGGAGTAGGTTAGACATAATGTTTCAGACAAAAGGTGAAGGGAGTAATATTTCAAAAATTCAAAAAGAAAAAATAACCTTGAATCAAGAATTCTATACTTAATCAGGGTACCATCCAGGAATGAGAGGAGGACAGCAATATTTTGAAATGTACAAAGTAAACCCAAGAGAAAATGAGTGGGTTTAATGAAAAGTCAGCAAGTAATTTAGTAAAATGTAGTTTTAAGGCAAATAATTGCTGATTGTTTATGTTTACATTTTTTAAATTCTCAGCTTAGAATTCCAAATACCAAATAGTCAAAGGGCAAATGGCGAAAGTGGGAGTAGGTGAGAAAGAAACTCCACGCTTGCTAAGGTTATATGGTTTATTCAAGGGAAGAATATATAATCTGATCAGCACTAGACATTGTCGGGAAAATATAGGTGTAAATAGAAATGTTAACAAGTAAATAACCTTCAAACCATTAAAGAATGTGACAGGAAAAAAATGATATCTGTCCTAAAAAGGATATAAGAAATGTGGTAGATGGACTTGAAGGTAGCCCCAGGATTCTTACCTCCTGGGACATATGCACTTGTGTGATGTCTTCTGATATGCTTTGGCTGTGTCTCCACCCAAATCTCACCTTGAATTCTAATAAGCCCCATGTGTCAAGGGCTGGGCCAGGTGGAAATAACCAAATCATGGAGGCAGTTTCCCCCATACTCTTCTTGTGATAGTGAATAAGTCTCACTAAATCTGATGGTTTTATTATAACTGGGAGTTCCCCTACAGAAGCTCTTGCCTGCCACCATGTAAGACACAACTTTGCTCCTCATTCACCTTCTGCCATGATTGTGAGGACTCCCCAGCCATGTGGAACTGTGAGTCAATGAAACCTCTTTCCTTTATAAATTACACAATCTAGGGTATGTCTTTATTAGCAGCATGAGAACAGACTAATATACCTTCTCCTTGAGAATGAATAGGACCTATGGTTTCCTTCTAACCAATAGAATATGGAAGATGTTACAGATGTATGTATGCTTGCATTACATGAAGTTGTAGCATTAGTCTTGGCAGTAGACTCGCTCCCTTGCTGGCTCTGCAGAAGCAAGCTACCATGTTGTGTAATGTCATACAGAGAGCCCACATGGGAAAGAAGGTGACCCCCCAGCCAATAAGAGATGGAGCCCCTCAGCCCAACAAACCACCAGGAAGTGAATGCCACCATTAGCCATAGGAGTGTGGAAGCAGATCTCTCCCCAGCCAGGCCTAAGATAAGGCCACAGTCCTGGCTGGCATCTTGATTGCAGCCTTGTGAGGCCCTGAAGCAGCAAAGCCACCTAAGCTGTGTCTGGACTCCCGACCACAGAAACTGAGAAAACTAATGTGTGTTGTTGTAAGGCAATAAGTTTGGCAATATTATTATACGGCAACAGGTAATAATATAAAAGTGAAAAATGAGTAACTGGAAAGCATGAGAAGGAGGCACAAAATAATGGAACAAGAATATGATGCAAAATATTAATATTCTCAATAATTATGAATGGGTCCAAATTTATCTATTAAATAATAGAGGGATTCTTGTGCACAGAATACAAATTAATTGATTTTTTAACTCAATAAAAGACACTTAAAATGATACAGGAGGAATGAAAATGTTTGTAAAGAAAATACTAAGAAAATGTTAACAAAAAGAAGATAGGTTTGCCAAAATGTATATGAAACAAAGTGGAATACAAGTAAATAGCAATGTAATGCACAAGGAAGAATACTGCATGTTGGTGATGTAAGAATTCTCAAAGAACATTTTCAAAAGTCAAAATTTGTATGTACTTAAAAACCCAGCCTTGAAACACATGGAACAAAAGCCAGTAGGAAAACTTCCATTTCCAGAAAAATTGCTAAATAGACTTTTGGAATAACTTAGTTTTTATGGCATTTCAAAAAAAAGATGGATAAAATATTAACCGGTTCTTCTTTCTTAAATAGGTGGCTTAATGGGAGTTAATATGGGAGAATTACCTAGGGTTTTATGGAGCATCAGGAAATGAGACAAATCCTGGTTCCAAGCAATAAGGGGGGCTGGCTGGAAGATAAGGGCCCAAGTTAGAACCCAGCAAGGACGACATCTTCAGCAGGTGAACCAGGAAAGCACCTCTGCAGAGGGAGTTGTGGGTATAATTGTCTGCTTCAGTCTCAATAAGCTACAGAGTATTCAAAAAAAAAAAAAGAAAACATATATGTCTCTGGTAATTATTTCTAACCACCTCTGGGTTTAGGGTCTCCATTTGTACTAACTGTGTGGCCTATAAAACATCAAGTCAAACATTAATGCAAGGCAATCCAATTTTGGATACGTCCCCCATATTTCAGTAGAAGAAAATAAGTTTTTCTCTGTAGGCAAGCACTTTAAGGTCTATGCTCAATGAATTCCTACAGATTAATTTCCCTAGGGGTAGGGAACTTACAATAAAAATATCTCAAATAAACATAAAGACATAAACCATCATAAATTAAAGTTAAAAAACCCTTTTATGTATTAGACCTAAGATATGGAAAACAATGGGATTATTGAATAAAATGGCTGTTTAATGTATTTAAAGAAAAAAGAAATAATGGAAAGTATGACAATAGAACAAGAGACTATCAAAACTCCTGAGCCAAATTAGTAGTAACCCAGTAGAATGCATAGAAATAAAAAGATAAAAAGCAAAAGCAAAAATTAAACCTTAAAGGATTGATATAACAACACATAAAACACAGCTTAAGAGAGATTTTGTGAACTATAATAATGATTTGAATCGTTCTGGGTTTCATAATGATAAAGTAGCCTACATCAAACTAAACTTATAATCTCTGGGAAATTTTTTAAAAAGAAAACCATTTGACAGTTGTAGAGAATTGCTAAAAGTATAGTTAAGCTGAACCCTTGAAAAGACAGAAATGCACTAAGTTAGACCCATATTTATACAGATTCCCAATAGTGTTCTGTAGGAGATTGGTCAGGGTGGTGGGAAAAATTATAGATAGAGAATGCAGACCTTCTCAGAAGGCCAGGGGTTTGCAGAACTTCAGAAGAAAATTATGGCAAAAGGCAGCTGAATTCTCTAAGAGCAGATAACAAGGAAGTGTAAGGGAATTGATCCAGATAAGTTAGTTTACTTAGGCCTTAGAACCTGGCCTTTAATCATCCACGTGCAGGACTGCTCTCTCGGGGAGCGGGGTGAGGACTGGGGTGGGGGTAGGGGTTGGGGGATTGGTGGGGGGGCGACCATGTTAATTACCCACAAGTGTGTTGACTCAAAGCCTTTGTTATTAAATCTGTACTAAATAAATGCCCTCAGCGCTAGCTTGTCAGGGCCTCAGCCGCTGTGACTCTTTATGGCATCCTTGATGTCTGAGTGGCCCGGTCCCCTATCCGCCCGACCAGGCAAAAAACCTGTGTCTGCGTACATTTTTTCATCCGTCGCTTGACCAGTGTCTGCGGGTTGGGCCTGGCAAGGTTCCCAGTACACGTGAGGCAGGCAGCTACTGAGAAAGTAGAAAACCACAGGCCTGTTGGCTTTAGGTAACAGAGAAGAGAGTGTGACATTGCCAACGTGGCTGTGAATTGAGATGGGAAATCCCAGAAATGGGAGGGGACAAAAGTCTGCATATAAAGTCCCCATAAATATTTAGTTAAACTGAACTGCAGACGCATGCAAAAAACACCAAACAGCCCTATAGAAGGCGATAGATGGATGAAAAAAACTGGACATAGATTTCAATTGCTGCCCATCAGAGGAAGACAATTTAGATTTTAACTCCATTCAAATTAAAGGGGCTTAGTAGACACTTTGGAGTGTCTGCTAAAATTCTATAAGGTCCATACTTACAGCCTGCCCCAATAAAGTACAAAACCAAATCTCCATAAATTCAGGGTGATCAGCCCTGAATGTAACTGTTAACTAAAACAAAAATGAATAATCTGCAAAAGATAACAAAATCCACTCTCTTTTCAGAATGCATCATCCCCAAAGTATAGCATACAATACAAAAATGCTATATATGCAAAGAAATGTAAAATATTATGCATAGTCAAGAGAACAAACATCAATAGAAACCAATACTGAGATCATCAACATGTTGGAATTAGCAGACAAAGAATCAAACACCACTATTATAAATATGGTCAAAGATGTAAAAGGGAAAATAGCCATAAGTGAGTGAAGAGAGGGATAATCCCAGCAGGGAAATATACAGTATAAAAATAAACTAGGCTGCTCTGCCTATGGAGTAGCCATTCTTTCATTCCTTTGCTTTCTTAATAAACCTGCTTTCACTTAAAAAAATAAAAATAAAAACAAACTAATGGAAATTCTAACATTAGAAACTATCTGAATTTTTTAAAAAATCACAGATATTCTTAACATCAGTTGGAGATGGCTAAATCAATAGTCTATAGACTTGAAGATAAAGCAACAAGTCAAATTGTCAAATCTGAAAAATAGAGAGGAAAAAATATTTTTAAAAAAGAACCAGCCAGGCACGGTGGCTCATGCCTGTAACTCCAGCACTTTGGGAGGCCGAGGCGGGCGGATCACGAGGGTAGCCATCCTGGCTAACAGGGTGAAACCCCATCTCTACTAAAAAAAAATACAAAGAAATTAGCCAGGCGTGGTGGCAGGTGCCTGTAGTCCCAGCTACTTGGGAGGCTGAGGCAGGAGAATGGCGTGAACCCAGGAGGCGGAGCTTGCAGTAAGTGGAGATTGCGCCACTGCACTCCAGCCTGGGTAACAGAGCGAGACTCTGTCTCAAAAAAAAAAAAAAAAAAAAAAAGAACCAAGCCACCTTGAGCTCTAGAACAGTGTCAAGTGTAAAACACACATATAATTGGAATTGCAGAAGAAGAATAGAGATTGGATGAGGCAGAAAAAAAAATGACATACATGAAATTTCACCAAGGTAGAATGTGTGCCGGGCCATAAAATAAGTTTAAATACATTTCCCAGAAAGGACACATAAAGAAGGAAATACAAAAAAAAATTAATAAGTTGAATTCATCAATGTAAAAAACCTTTGTCCATCAAAAACACCATTAAGAGAAAGAAGAATAAAGAGCAGACTGGGAGAACACATTGCATATATCTGACAAAGGACTTGTATCCAGAATACATAAATAATTTCTACAAATCAATAGCCAAAAGATAAATCAACCAATAAGGAAATGGTAAAGAACTTGAACAGACACTTCTGGGAATAATTAATTTGAAAAGCCAGTAGTACAGGAGAAAAAGAAGCTGCTTGACATTATAAGTTATCAGAGAAAATAATTAAAACTCATTAGAATGGCTAAAATTAAAATGGACAACACCAAATGTTGACGAAGATGTGGGGCACCTGACACTCTCCTACATTGCTGTGCTAGTGGGGAAAAGTACAAATAAAACTAATTTGGAAAGATGTTAGGTATTATGTCATAAAGTTAAACATACACTAACTTATGAGCAAGGTTTCTACTTTTATGTATTTATCAGAGAGACAGAAAACAGTAAATCATTAGATGAAATTATTTAATCAAAATAATTAAATAATCCAAAATAATGAAAGTATAATTAAATCAAGGTGCATTCAAACCTGGGCATTACAGAAATATATTTAGGGCAAAGAGAGGGATGAATATGATTAGAGTTAAAATAGTCTAAAGTCATGGTTAATTTGAAAAAGAAATTGATTATATTTTAACTTATTACATTAAATATGTATATCAAAATGCCTACCGTAACCACAAGAGAACAGAAATAGAATATTTCACCTTATACTAGTGGAGAAAAGAAAATGATTTGGTTTATAAAGTAAAGCAAAAGAAGAAACACTTAGCCTAGTATGACAGATAAATGAAAAGCACAAAAATAGAAGAATTCCAGTGTATCAGTAATTACAGTCATGGTTAAATATAAACTTAAAAGATTGAAATTTTTAGATGAAATGTAAAAAAAATCTAGATTTATGCTGTTTAAGAGAGGCATATCTAAAATATAAGAGAAAAATTGAAGATATGGAATAAAAATAATAGGATAAACTGATCAAAAGTTTAGCAGTATATTAATGTCAGACAAAAGAGTTATTATAGCAGTATATTAATGTCAGACAAAAGAGTTATTAAGACAATAAGCTTTATTTATGAAACGAGGGCTTCAATATATGGTAACATGAATTCAGTCCTTTAAACCTAATAATCTAGCTTAAAATATGTTGACCGAAATATTAATGAAAAAACTACTATAATTATTAAACATTAGGTTATAGCTAAAGTAAAAGCGAGGTTGACCTATAAGCATTCTTAATATAAGATTTCCAATATAGTACATTTTAATAAAAAGTTGTAAAATAAAATCATTCACAATACATTGTCTATTACATTGATGATCATTCCCAAAACAGAATCCATCTGTTAAAGCCAATTCTTCTTAAAGTTTTCCTTCTAAATTATGTTTCCTCTGGTGAATGTCCTACTTTTTAATTCAAAAATGAAAGCTAAATACCTCCTTGTATTGCTCCTGGTGCCTGGATGGCCAAATATTTCACAGCAACATTGAAGGATGCATAAATTTATTTACATGGGTGACAAATACTCAAACATTTTTTGTTTACTTCTACCACACTCAAGAGCCTATATTTTTATTTAGAGTTCAGTTGTTTATATAACTTGATAGTAAGTCACATCAAATAATTTGTGCCCATTCCAATTCAAAACATTATATTTAAAAAGTGCATTAATTTCCAACTACAGATTATAGAAAGTCTATCATAAGAGTCTTCCAATATTTGAAGTGCAAACGATGTCCCACCGGATGAATCTGGCCCACCATTTGTTTTGTATGACCCATGAACTAAGAATGCTTTTTACATCTTTAAATTGTTGAAAAAAATATCAGAAAAAGAAAAGGCTTTTCCTGACATGTTAAAATCATCAATGGTTCTAATTGTAATGTACAAAAATCAAGGTTGATTAGAACAGAATGGTTCATTGGGTGTCACCCAGAGTTTTGTATCTCTGAGGGGTTATCTAATCTCAACCCCATTCAATGGGTAAAATCTTTGGGAGGATCCACTATTGTTAATTTTGTTCTGTGTATAATTTGTGCTATTGGTTTATTGTTCATGTGTAAAATTGGAAAAAAATATTCTTCAATCCAATCAGGATCAGCGCCAAGCCATGATTGCTATGGTTCATTTAAATCAGAGTAAAGGGGGAGTTGTAGGGAGACCTGAAACTACTGCTACAGAATAAAAGATGAAATGCTCCTGATTATTGTAAATACAAAATTGCATGCAGGATTGTGTAAAGACAATGCCAGGTTGGACTGCCAGAATGAGCCAACAGCGGGTGATGTGCTTCCCCCTGAAGAGAGCCTATGAACAGACGTGCAGTCAGGGAGGTTTCACATCACCAAGATTCCTATCCCAGAAAAGCAGATGTTCATAGCTCTGGGAATGGAATGCGACCCTTGTGGAGAGCCTATAAACGGATGCATGGGGGGCACCTGTCCATATGGATAAGATAGGGCTATAAACGCCCTCATCTTGCCGCAGCTCTTCTAGGCCTCTTTAGGGTTAAGGCATACTCCCTTCCGAGAATTTCTGGTCTGACCGGTTGTCTAGCTTCACGTCCTGTTTCTATGGATTGTTTGTAACCAGCTTTTGCTGCAACTGTTCCTGCTGATTAATGTCTTGCTAATCATAGGTTATGGAAAGACTGTGTTTCTGTTTTAAGGCTCTGTTAGAAATTGCTAATGCACACACTATATTGTAAGTTCTTATCTCTGCATACTGTACTTCTGAATACAGATGTTATGTTAAAGAATTACTTCATCCCCATGTGACCATCTCACCTCATAATCAAATGACCCTAAATCCCTCACTAACCTACCCCCACCCTCACTAAACTTAATAATAAATGCTGGTATATCCAGTGCATTGGTGGCATCTCAGGTCCAGGAGGTGGTGACCCCCCGGACCCAGTTTTCACTATCTTGTGTGTCTATTATTTCTCGACCTGCCGATCCACCTGGGAACAAAGAGAGAGCCCCGTTGCATTGTGGGGTGCTGGCGAGATCCCACAATAGCAACCTCAGAGTTCAGTAGTTGTGAGAGAGGCTGGGACCACAAAGCCTGAAACATTTACAGAAACTCTTTGTTAGCTTTTGGTATAGAGAAGTAAGAAGTGTGTGTGTGTGTGTGTGCGCGCGCGCATGCGTGTGTGTCTGTATGCACATGTATGTGCGTGTGTATGTGCGTGTATGCATTTGTGTGTGTGCACGTGTGTGTATGCACGCGTGTGTATGCACTCGTGTGTGTATGCACATATGTGCATGCACGTGTCTGTATGCAAGTGTGTATGCGCATGTGTATGCACTCGTGTGTGTATGCACTCGTGTGTGTGCGCACGTGTGTATGCACTCGTGTATGCACTCATGTGTGTATGCATGTGTGTGTGTGCATGCTTGTGTGTATGTGTGTATGTGCGTGCACACACACATGCACACATGCGCAGGTGGGTGAGTGGGGGCATCGATTTTCTTCCAATAAAAAATACTTTCTATCAAAATCTTGGAGATACTCAAACAAGTGATATCAATGAAAAATTTTTAGAGGAGATTTGAATATTATCAGAACACCTCCTGTGTTCTAAAATTACTTCCAATACTTAGATCTATTTCTGAGCTTAAATTTGTCTCTGAATAACTTCATCTATAAATAATAATGTATTATATAAGTGAATTTCCAATCAATCAGTGAAGAAATCATTACTTCAAAAGGTTTTGTGATAATTTACTAATCATTTGGAAAAAAATTAAGCTCTATCTCATCCTTCTTACCACGGTAAAGTAAAACCCAGATGGTTTGAAGATTTAAATGTAAAAACTGAAGTCATAAAATGATTATGAGGTAATTAAGATAAACATTTATATAATTTTACAGTAGACAGGCAGTTTTAAACATGATTAAACAGGCAGAAGCCATAAAGGAAAAGATTGAATGCAAAATAGAAAAATAAAAAAAACCCTGTATCTCACACAAAAAAAGAAAAACCTATAAGGCAAATGAGAATATTAACTACAGGAATATTGAATTATAACAGTTGATATATTAATTATTGATTATTGTAGTCAAAATGATTTGCAAATAAAGAATGGTAAATTACAAAGAAGAAATACAACTAAACAATATATAATGAAACTAAATTAAAAATGCTATTTAAACGAATAATGAGTTATTTCTCAAAGCAATGCCAACCTGTTTAGTAGCATTTCTAAATAATGCTTCTTGGACTGCACACTTGCATAACCTTTCTGGAGGGCAAATTTGCAGTACTGATCAGAAGACTTACATATATATGTTTGATTTTTATTTATAGGAACGACATGTTTATGCAATAAGTTCCTGCTTTTATCTATGTACATTTTCACAATAACTCCTTCCATCTTAGTATCGTTTCTTCTTCTTTGCCACTGGATCATCAATGAAACGTCAAGAGAAACCTGGGCACACATTAAATTAGAGAATCATATAGAAGAATTTAGTTAGAAACGAAGAATGACACAGTTATTTTGTATTAGGAAATTTCTTAAGCAAAACGAATATAACGCATAGAAAGAAACAACACCATGTCAACTGACTGCTAGTCTTCTTTTTCTTGGAGTGTGTTAGATCAGCATAGCTCATCAGTTATTGCTACTCATTTCAGCATTCTTCCCAATTTTCCTCAGCCTACTTTCTTAACGATCTGTTCTTCACGGTAAATGCTTAGAACACTTCTTTTTTCCAGCTGACTCTAGTTGCTTTAAGATTTATGCATTTGTGTGGAAATATAAGTGAAATGTGAAAAGATTTTAAAATATGGGCAAAACCAATTTGGTTTGAGTAGTTCTTGCAAACTCGTTTGACTCAAACCATCCCATTATTTCACAAGACACAAATCTTCCTGGTAATGCCGAGATACCCTTTAATTTGTGTTTAGAGAATTTAATTCAAGCCTCATTCAGCACAAGAAAAATGAGTTCGAGCGGCCTGAACTTGGCATCTGGAAGGGGATGAAAAAGCAGGTAGGGCAGTCAACAAGACGAAATCTTGGATCTTGAAGAAGGGCACTCCAATTATCCAGATCATTTGTCACATGTGAGGTGAGACTTTCCTTGTGAAATTTCCTGGAGGTTACTTACATAATTTAGTGATAACTGATATTCTGACTTTCAAAACGACAATGCATCTTTGTGTATAAGCAATGAGATATTAAGTGTTTGAAGCCTGGGAATTCATTTCTCCAAAATATTCTGCACCATGTTGAAGTAATCCCCATCATCACATAATATCCATTAAGGTGAAACGAGTGGTATTGGTGACGCAATGACTGTGACTCTTGCCTGAGACTCAAACCGCAGGCCGCTGACAGGTGCTGGGGTTGGGGCTCTTCTGCTATTTCCAGACCTTGCTGGTTTTTCTTCACAGGAAGGAGCTTTTAATTGGTTATTTCATTGGGGCTCATTTCACAAATGAACTGGACACAGAGTTGACTGCTCCTCAGGCTTGCCTTTCACTTTGTTTCTCAGGCTCAGCTCAGACGAGAAACCCTCATTTGAACTTCTTTTTATATTAAGTAAGGACCGGGGTGGAAGGAAACGTCTATTATTGCTAGAGGCAAATATTACCCATGCCCTGATCCTTTTGATGAACAGTTACTGAGTCCTAGGTAGAAATGTCCGCTGTCTTTTTCCATGAATTATTTGGGTGTAGATATTCAAGTTCTTACAGTAATCCCCTAAGTGCAGAACTCTATCCAGATGGTTTCCCGACAGGTGATTTCAGCTTCAGATAGTCTCTTTACATCTCAAAGTCTTACATTTGGAGTTCTGACTGTTTATTTCCAAGTCACTTTTCTACATGAAGAAGTAGAGCTAAAACTTTGATTTAGTGAATAAGTATTAATTATTACATTTGAGGCACTGGTTAAAGCATCCAGAGCAGTTTTTTTTTTAATTCTTTATTCTGCTCTCAGAAAATTCCTATTTAACACCAGAATTCATACAAGTACCAAAATCAAATTACAGGGTAATATGTGTGAGTTGCGTTTAGAAAAGAGTAAGAATTTTTACTAGAAATTACATTTTAATTCAGTTCTATAGTTTCTATTATAAACCTAAAATTATATAAAAAATCCTTTCTACATATCCATTCTTTCCTGGACTGAGAGTTGCTGCACAGTATGTTTTTTTTCTCTGATATTTTAATGCAATTAGTAATTGAAAGTAGGGAAATTACTGAAATCACGTTTGCAACAAGTTTAGTGAAGCACACTGAAATGGAATATTATTCAAAATTTTAGAAGAGATCTTCATAAAAATGTGCATCTTGTGTAAATGTTGCCCCTTGTACAAAGTTGCAAATTTCTACAACCAATAAAACTGTCTATCTCTCATAAGGACTCCAGGACACAGTGGCTATGTAGAGCTTTCATTGTTGGACAAAGCCAAAATCACACATCTCCAGCATTTGGGAACAAGCATCTTCACTTTGTCAATGTAGAATTCTTCTATGTATTTTGGATAAAGACCCACAGTTCTCCAAATGTGGACCTCAAGACCAGTAGCAACAACCTCACTTGGGAATCAGAAACACATTTTTGGATCCTAGAATCAGACCTAGATTTTCTGAATCAGAAACAGGGGGGCGGTTCCCAGCAAGCTGTTTTCCAGTGAGTCCTCCAAGTGACTGTGATGCAAAGGACAGGTTGAGAACCACTGGATCCATGAGCACGCGATGATTTAGGTTCCTCCATGAAATTAACTTGAAAGAGTCTATTGATGTCTACTGTGAAAACGTGTGTTTTTCTACCCCAGAGGGTCAGGTGTAGGAGAGAAATCTGTCCATGCAGCTGTGACTTCAGAAAGGAGCCTGCCCAGTGGGACTTCTCCCTACTGTTGTGGCTGTCTGAGGTTGGACTAGTCAGCCTGGAAGAGGACTCTAAGCCTAAGTGTGCACACGTGTGCCTTCTGGTTAGCGTTCAGGGTCCATCAGCTGAACCCAACATTCTGCATTCCTCACCATTGCATTGCAAAACCTCTGGCAAGTAATTGTGCTCTCAAGGTCTCAGCAAAGAAATAATGTGTGAAACCTCGAAGGGACCACTAAGGATGAAATGCCTTGGCGTCACATCCTGTCAGATTTTAACCCACCAAATTAAAAGATGACAATTGTCAAATTAATGACTATTTGTTTTTTCCAGTCAATGATACCAGTGTAAGAATTCAGATATTTTTTCCTCATAGTTTGTTGTTTCCAATGGGGGAAAACAGAAGAGTAACATCAGATAGCGAGACACATGCCACGGTTCACATTAGTGTAGAGCAGTGGTTGCCAGTGTGGTCCTCTGAGCAGCAGCAGCAGCAGCATCTGGAAACTTCTTAGAAGTGCAAACTCTCAGGCTCTACCCTAGATCTACTGAATCAGGAACTTTGGAGGTGGGTCCAGCAATCAGTTTCAACAACGTTTAGAAACTGACTCAAATGGCACATTTGAGAACCACTGGTGTTGGGTACTGAATATCATTCACGTGCCAGGAATGCTCCTAATTTTTCAATTTTAAGTGGGAAAGAATTTCACTTATAAGCTGGAACAATCAGAGCAATAATGTTCCTTTATTTTAGTTTAAGCTAAAGCAAATGTCATCTGCTGGAAAAATCAGCTGCAGGCCAAATGTGATTTCCAGTACTTTGACCTAGCCATTAACTGTTTGCTTGTTACAGTTTCAGAAAACGTTTCTCATTTCTTACACCAAGGCATTAAGATGGAATGAGGTGACATAAAATACTTACTATACGCTATTTCACTCTTAACTTGGTTTCTGTTATTTTAATCAGTGGAACCTCTCAATGATTCTCACAGACATCCTTTGTTACTCAGTATCCCATTCTCTTTCTCTTATTTTCATGTTTCCCTTTGTCTTCACCTTGCTGTTTCAACAATAGTTACATGGTAACACAATTCTCACTTCTTTCTACCTGAGTCAATCAGGGGCAGAGTTATTATCCAGGGGTAACTTCCTGCTAATTTCAACATCAGGGTGAAGAAATTCCACTGAATTCTTCACTGAAATCTCCACTGAAACACAGAGGACAGCCTAGCATGGAGGAGAGAGAAATTGTCTCTCTTTGGCAGAATTCCCCACCCTTCCACTGGGTTTGTGGCTGTGGACTCTGGTCCCTTGCAACCTTGACTCAACAGTCAACTGCTGCTTGGAGTGTGGAATCCAGTGGAACCCTTATGCATGGGATTCCTGGTTCTGGTCCACTTCTTGGATGCCCAGTATGAAGTTTGTGGTTTAACGTGTAGACACATTTTTTTCCTACCATCTTGAGAAATTTTATACTGGCCCTATTATGACACCTGTTCATGATTGTACTTGCCTTTCTTTTCTGAAGTAGCTCTCTTCCCAAAACTAGCTTCAATAATACCTGCCTGAGACACAGGTAGTGGACTTTTATAAGAACTACAAAGAGGTATGGTGGCTCACACCTGTAATCCCGGCACTTTGGGAGGCCAAGGCAGGTGGATCACCTGAGGTCAGGAGTTCAAGACCAGCCTGGGCAAACCCCATCTCTACTAAAAAAAAAAAAAAAAAAAAAAAAATTAACCAGGCATGGTGGCAGGTGCCTGTAGTCCCAGCTACTCAGGAGGGGAGAATTGCTTGAACCTGGGAAGTGGAGGTTGCAGATCTTGCCACTGCACTCCAGCCTGGGCAGCAGAGTGAATCCGTCTCAAAACAAAAATAAAAACAAAGAAAAAACTACAAAGATCTGGAAAAGGGCATTGTTATTTGATGTTACCAGTGACCCTCTATACATTCAATAAGACAGTAGGAAAATCGGTCTGTATTAGCATTGAAAAGTATATATTCTGAGTAGAAAAGGGATTTTTAATTAACAGGTTTCCTGGAAAGGTAGCATGGCACAAAGATGAGTGTGAGTATTGGAAAAACCTGAGTCTGAATCCAGTGTCTCATATTGATTAGCTAAGTGAATTTGGTTAAGGTATTTAAGCTGTCTGGGCTTCTATTTCTTTAACTAAAGCTTGAGGCAAGAACATCTGCCTTGCAGAATTGTAGCGATGCTAGATTAGTTAGTTATCATAATACTTGTGACCCATTGTTGAGGGCCAAACATTGGCAGCTATTGCTGTGAATATCCTGGATTAAAAACAAAAAAAAACACATTTTTAGTAGATATAAAATTGTGCACCATCCCATTGTAATGGACAAATTGTATACTTTGAGAAAGAAAACACCTCAAAAGTTTTCACTTTCCTTGAAGGAGAATCCTATTTAACCCCCCATGGTTTAGAAGTGATTATGATCTAAAAAGAAACTCTATGAATCCCTGTCTTCTGATCTCAGTGTCAAATATTTTCTTGGCGGTGTGGCATGATGATTACAATGAGCACGTTGCATCCCTCCGCCTGGGATGTAGGCACACCGATGGCCCTGACTGACCAAGGATGCTGCTGGACCAGCCTCCGCAGCAGCCACTCTCTTATGAGCCACAAGATAGAGGGTAATCCAAGTATCTTTTATTTTCACAATTTATCTGAACCTGGGGAGTAATTTTAACTGGAAGTCAGAGTGAGTCTAATATTGTTCATGGGGCAGAGCCCTGGAATTCATGACCTGGTTTAATATATCATGGGCATGAAATGCTACAATAAACTTAAAATATTTACATCAAAACATGCATCATGCCTTATCAGAGACTGTAAGAAGCTTCATTCTGGTAGGGATAAGTACTGGCAGGCTACCTACGTTTTATGAAAAATATTGAGAGAAAGCTCAAACATGTATAAAATTTAATCCACTGACTATGTTTCTACAAACTGAGAAAACAAATGTCATTATTCTCTTTTTACAATAAAACACCTTGATCTAGATAATAGGAGCCAGTTTCTACTATTCCAGAGGACCAGCAAAGATAAATTATATAATGTCCTTTATGGAGGCATAGGTAACTTTTGAACCCACTTTTCCCTGGCTATTTTAAAATCAGAGCAAACTGCTATATTAGATACTAAAGTCTAAATATCAGAGTAAAATAGGGTCTGGGATGCACTCTTCTTCCCCCTGTACCCCCACCCCACGTACAAATGCTCACTCTAGCTTTGATAGATAATATTGCATCTATTTTCTCTCTGAACCTTTGGCCAAACGCGATAAATTGTGAAAAAGATCTGAGCCAGAAAGAGGCACACAAGGGTTTGATTTGTTGATTTGCATTGGCCTCCAGCGTGGCAAACGTCCTATTTTCCAGTTTCTGAAATCTGTGCACCACTGAGTGTGCACGTATAAATGTTCATGTTACAACAAAATATAGGCATTGGCTGGTGGTGTTTGGAGATCAGATAAGGAAGAGGAAGACTAAATGATGTTTAGCCAGAAGGAGAGGACAAATTAGGGCTGCACTTTGCTTTGCCTAAACCAGCTTTACTTCCTGCTGACGGGTCTTGTGATCCATCTTTTTGACCTTTATCTTCCCTAGAGTCTCCAGACCTCTACTGGCACTGGTCCCAGGGCAGCTGCCGTAATAATTCCACCCCCTGGACTGTTGTACCAGGCATGCTCAGAGCCAGTGAACTGGAAGTGCAGTTTTTAGAAAAGGCCAGTAAGCAGCTTTCTGCCTCCGTAACACCCCCTTTCCCTTTTGGCTGCTCTTAGGTCTGTCCTCAAAACCAATCGTTGGATGATGTTCTAGGTTCTGGCACAATTTTATTCTTGGGGTTATTTTAAGTTCCTAACACCAATCAAAAACTACTAAAACCCCAGACTGTGTGTTAGGTGATTATTCATATTTTGCAAAATGAGTAGGAGAGCCAAAATTCCTGCTGTAATCCTTGTGTAGAGCACCTGATCACCTGCCCTCACAGCCGGCTTCCATGGGAATGGAAATTCTATCTTGAGAGCATTTGGTTCACAGAATCTTATGTATGTATAGAACTAATACTAAAGCGGATTAACCAAGGTGGTAAAAGGAGGCTTGAATTTGTAACCTGGAAACGAAAAATACACAGATCCTTTTTTTTTTTTCCACACAGTCATAAAACCGCCAGTGGTATAATTCTGAATTCCAGTAGAGGGCAAACTTAGTCTTTTAGTTTTCTAGGTATTTGAAAGACACCAGGAAGACAGCCTTTATTTTTACAACAATGCTTCCTCTAACTGTTCACTGCTACTTAAAAGCCACGTCAGCATTAATCACATCTGTCACTAAATTACTTGTCAGGCATTTTGTTAAAAATTATATTACAAAGGAAGGAAACTGACAAGAAACAATATGTTAGACAGAAATAAATTCAGTTTTCTTCCATTAGTTCCCCTCTGGATTCACTAACATCACACCTATTTATAATCTGTTATCTGCATATATAACAAGAATGAGGGGGCACCTACATGTTACTTTAGCCAAGATAAACAAGTTCTTCCTTGTCAATTTTGCTTACTTCTCTCTTAATACTACCATTCCTCAAGAGGAGCCTTGCACTGTATTGAGTTGCTGAGATATTGTACAGAGTACTTGCTAATAGTTATTGCCGAGTGAAAATACAAATGCTCCAGCTATATTTACCCGAATAATCATTTAGCATTAAGATGTACCTACTTAACTGGATTAACATTTGCCACGTTGTTTCTCTATATGAAAAGACACATTCTCCTTGCCCTAAATTGTTTATTTATTAAATAATTATTGAATAGGCAGTTCCAGCAAATGCAGCTTGCTAATAGGCCCTCCTGACTTCAGTTTACTCAACTATAAAATGATGCAAAACAACATGTTCTGGCCATCTCATTGTTTCAAGAATCAAATGAGATAATATTTGTGAAATTCTATGTAAACCAAAAGGTGATATGCAACTATGCTAATCCCTGATGCGTGACATGCTGCTGGGCTCTTCATTTTATTGTACAATTTAACCTTTAGAAGAAGCAAGTAAAGTGGAGGTTCTTATCCTCATTTTACATATAAATGAACTGAGACTCAGGAAATTTTGACTTAGAAAACTGAGGCCCAGAGGGTTAAGCACATTGCTCCAGATCTACACCATGGCTGACAGTATTAGCATAGAAAGAAATTAATTTACCATTATATTCCTAAATATATTTTAATCTTTCCTAGGAGGAGATGGGATGTACTTACTTTTTTTTTTTTTTAGATGGAGTCACCCAGGCTGGAGTTCAGTGGTGCAATCTCAGCTCACTGCAACCTCTGCCTCCTGGGTTCAAGCCATTCTCCTGCCTCAGCCTCCAGAGTAGCTGGGACTACAGGCGCCCACTGCCACACCCGGCTAAGTTTTGTGTTTTTAGTAGAAACCGGGTTTTGCCATGTTGTCCACACTGGTCTTGAATTCCTGACTTAAGGTGATCCACCCATCTCGGCCTCCCAAAATGCTGAGATTACAGGCATGAGCCACCGCACCTGGCCCATACTCACACTATTAACCAAGAAGTTGGGAGTTTAAAGTACAAGGCAAAAAGTACAACAGATATTTTAAGACAATGTGAGGCATGGAAATCCTTATGCTGGAGGGTTAGCTGTGTCTTAAAGGCTGCAGAGATGAAAGCAGAATGCATTGTCCTTGGTCCCACTGGTAGGAAATGCGTGAGCCAAGGTTTTTCAGTCCTATGATAGAGTTACTTAGGACCATGTTGTACAGCAAGACATGAGTGCATGCCAACTATGTAGTGTAGAGAGATTCCAAAGCCAGATAGGTGAATTTGACTTCTCCCCACACACCCCCACCTTTTTTTTTTTTGAGACAGAGTCTTGCTCTGTTGCCCAGGCTGGAGTGCAGTGACACTCCAATTTCAGCTCACTGCAACCTCCACCTCCTGGGTTCAAGCAGTTCACCTGCCTCAGGCTCCTGAGTAGCTGGAATTACAGGCACGCCACCACGCTGGCTAATTTTTGTGTTTTTAGTAGAGACGGGGTTTTGCCATGTTGGCCAGGCTGGTCTCGAACTCCTGACCTCAAGTGATCCGCCCGCCTCAGCCTCCCAAAGTGCTGGGATTACAGGTGTGGGCCACCATGCCCGGCTGGCTTCTCCCTTTTTATTGTTTCCATTTCAGTTTAAATCTTGAGAGTTTGTAAATCATGCTTATGCCTATACAAAAAGAGGATTACGTTTTAGATTGCGTATGACATGAGTGGAGTTGGGTGATGGAGGACTAGAGATGGAGATCTATTTAGGAGATTAGTTGCATCCACAACTCTGGAAAATCCCCTTTGCAGCGTGCATGCAGTTCCACTGAAGCACAGGCAAGAGATGAATACTTTAGGAAGTCATTCAATCAACATTTTCGCATTGCCATGAAAACTGCCAGGCCTCAACCAGAGATACCATGTAGCCCAAATCTCTAAACAAATGTTGAAGATGAGTGCTAAGTTTTCCATACACGGCAAAGGAAAATGATATGCACCTTAGCTGTGTCACATTGAGAAATAAGCAAGTATATCCTTCTAATACCACCCCACATCTGAGCTTCCATGAGTGCAAGGGGAGGCATTTGGGATTCTAACAGTTCTACAGTACACTATCTCTATTGCCCCAACACGACATGAGTCTTGGAAATGGAAGAATAAAAATTACTCAAAGAGACTATAGATTGAAATAAAGTCACTTATGCTTGAAAGTACATATTATCTTTGGAATAACAACCGTGTGCTTACAGAAAAAAATCACTGCTAAACATAGGACATCAAAACCTCTAACTACCTTATGCCACATATTCTCATGGTATACCATCATTCCAGTATAATATGTCACTCTGGGTCACGCATTCTTGACTTATTTATATATCCCTCCATCCTATTCAGACTTCCACTGATGGCAAATGATGTATCTAAGTCCTTGGCATCAGGCAAACTGCCTGGGGAAGAACACACCACTAGCCTACAAAAGCAACTTGTGAAAAGTGGAGGATATCCATGAACTGCATTAGAATGTTGTTTTTTCATAAAATGCAAACATCTGTATCATCAGACTCAGTTCAACAGTATTCTCTAGAAGCATTCAACTGAAATCAGTGTACAGAAGGAGGCGTCATAAATTGTAGTTATGAACACATGAGGCATGATGACAGGAGCCCCCTCGTGGCTGGAGATTTTGACATATCCCTTTTACCAGCAGAGAACAGAGGATTTGTCCTTGCTTTCGTTTAAATCGAGAAGAAGAGATTAAACATGTATGTGGTTGGTAATATAATTAAGCTGAAATCTAAAGTAGGCTAGTTTTTATTGCTACAACCATAAGTTTTGATTATTTAAAGAGCCAGGCTGGAGGCTGCAGAGGAAGAACAGATATAATATGGTATGTTCATACACTCACATACCCACTTGCTTCTCTCACCTGGGTTGAAACCCCCACCACCCTGCACCTGTCACCTGTAGCCTCTTAGAATAGCCTCCTAAACAGCATTCCTGCTTCCACACTTGCCTATTATGAGGCGCTCATGACAGCA
The DNA here is from genome assembly GCF_000001405.40 of Homo sapiens. NCBI lineage: Eukaryota > Metazoa > Chordata > Mammalia > Primates > Hominidae > Homo > Homo sapiens. The sequence goes on along the minus strand of NC_000007.14, from coordinate 153,831,968 downwards.
ACCAGAGGGAACTTTATGAAATCATAAATCAGACCGCTTCTCCTCTGCTTAAATTCCCTCCATGGCTTGCAATTCTCTTAGAACAAAATGCTAGTTTCTCTAAGGTCTACAGTGACCTAGAGCCCACCTCAGCCCCCTCATCTTCTTCCCTCTCTGGTCTTTGGCCCGAGGTCTGCAAACAATCGCCTCATGGGCCAAACCCAGCCCACTGCCTGCGTTATACAGCCTGTGACCTAAGAATGGTATTTATGCTTTTCAGTGGGTATAACAAAATTAAAAAAACATTATTTTGTGACACAAAAAATTATATGAAATGTAAATGTCGGTGTCCATCTATAAATTTTATTGGCATAATAGCTTACATATTACTGTGGCTGCTTTTTACTTGCCAAATAAAAGGGGGTCATTGTGACACAGACTGTCTGGGCCATAAATCCAAAATCGTCAACTATGTGTCCCTTTATAGAAAACGTTTGCCACCCCCTGCTGTAGCCTCACTGACCTCCTCTCTGTCCCTCTTCGTAGCTTAGTTTCTTCATGCACTTGGGCTTCAGGTCAGGTGTCAATTTCCTTCCTCTGAGAGGTCTTTGCTGGCTGCCTTTCACTCAGCCACATGCAGGCAACATCATCTCACCTCTTCTTTATAGGTCATAGAAAACGTGGAGCTGCCTTTGGAAATGTTAGCTCCTCCTCTAGAATATTAACGCTATGAAAATAGGGAGTTTGTTTGCCACTGTTATTGTTGTAATTTTGGCACTTACACAGTGCTGGGCCCCTTGTTGGTCCTCTGTAGACATCTATTACATAAATGAGTACATTAAATTAGTCACATATTACATAGTAAGTAATACACAATAAAATCGGTAAAATTAATTGCAAATTCATAAATATTCATTCTGCTAATGTTTCTGTGCTCAAATTGTTTTTAGTGTAAGTTAATTTATTCCATGAAAATCTTCCTTTTTCCCTGATGTGATCTGTAAAAGTGTAGGAAGAATGTTAAGTTTAAATCAGTTATATGTATGGACGCTAAGTGAATCAAATAAATGCAGAACAGCTTGCTTAGGAAATGCTAATCAATCCGTTATTTCATTGGAAGTGAAGCAGTCAGTATTTAATAGAATGACGTATTTTCTCTCTTGCCTAAGCTCTTCAGACAAAATGTGTGAAATATATCTTAAGCTATTGTTATCCCTGGTGCGATTCTGTTTCTTAAGTCATAAGAATATTAAATTCGGTATGAGATAAAATTCTACTCATGATGGACCATGTGTAACACAGCACACTCCCCAGCCCCACAGCCACTGTTACCAAGCACGAGCACAAGAATGATTAAACAGTGGCCAATTCGAAATTAACAGGGAGAGAAAAGAGAGCTCCTGTCCATGCTCAATCAGACACTTCTTATTCTTCATCTCTGTGGACCCCTTTGTGGGTCTACCAAAGGCTGTCTTCATAGGTCAAATTGCTCTTGGAAAGTTGAGAAAGCTTGCAAAATTCTTAAGACCATTAATCAAAGACCTGTGTTAGGCCATGCCAATCACTGTTTCATTTTTTTAAATGTGCACAAAGAGTATAAGAAGGAATTATTTAGCATTAGGTGCTCTTTCAGCAGGTTTTGCTATGGTAAATAATGAAAATCCAATGACCAAAGCTTTGAAACCCTTCCAAGCTCATCTCAGAGAAGAGTTACATATTTCTTCCTAAGTTATTTACTTCGCTGAGGGCTTTTTGGCTAACAATGAAAACTGAAAATGTTCTGCCATCAATCCACTGCCATTGATAGTGAGTTAAATTAATATAATTGAAAAAGATTTATACAGTTTAATACATGATTAAAGCTGTAACCAGGAGACAAGTACATTATTGTTGAGCCCAAATTTGTTTTTCCTTGTTCTGTTTCAGTCTCCTATAAACACATAATAAAATGGAGCACAAGTTTCAAAATACAATTCCATGCCCCAATTAGCTTCTCCGATGAAATCTCAGCTTCCCTCCTCGTGGCTGCCTGATGGCAAGGCACATAGAATCACAGAGTAGCATTTGGTGACAGTGGATGAGGGGCACGAGCTCCTTGCAGTTATAAGAAGGGGTGGCCGCTGTCTATGCCTAAGGTTGCAGGTAAAGAGTACCCGAAACAATCGGTCAATCTGACAACAATCTGATCCACCCAGTTCCGGCTCCCTGTTGGACACCACACTGTTGTCTAGGAGACTGAGGCGTGGTAAAATGAAAAGTGGCCATCAGAGGTCCACCCAAAGCTGGTATGCACGCTGCGTTCCAGAAGTGGCATTCCTTTCCTCACAGCTGTATTCTCAATGCCCAGAAGGCTGCCCGTCACACAGTAAATGCTCAACAATTGATTTGTGGAATGAAGGCACAGTAGAATGAATGAGGACAGAAATCTTAAAGTGCCAAATATCAGGGAAGGAGAGAGACAAAAAAGAGGAGGACAGGCCGGGCGTGGTGGCTCATGCCTGTAATCCCAGCACTTTGGGAGGCCAACGTGGGCAGATCATGAAGTCAGAAGTTGGAGACCAGCCTGACCAACATGGTGAAACCCTGTCTCTATTAAAAATACAAAAATTAGCCAGGCATGGTGGCATGCACCTGTAATCCCAGCTACTCAGGAGGCTGAGGCAGGAGAATTGCTTGAACCCGGGAAGTGGAGTTTGCAGTGAGCCCCGAGATCGCACCACTGCACTCCAGCCTAAGGGACAGAACGAGTCTCTGTCTCAAAATAAAAGGGAGGAGGACAAGCAATTACACAGACCTCGAAAGCCAAAACATGGCCCCAGGAAAGACTTTGAGTGTTTTATAATAATTTGCTTGAAGGTTCTTGCCTCCCAAATTGCAAAATATTGTTTCTACACTGGCTCCTGGGCCTGCCTTTGTGCTTAACTAGCTACGCAGATGCAAGACAAATGCACAACCATGATGTATCTGTGTAACTGTACCACACACTGGGCATGATTGGAAAGAAACCCAAAAAAATGTCAATTTTGGAACAAATATATTCAAATATTCTATGTACCTTGCATTCAAATTATTTCCCCATCCAGACTTCTGTGGTTTAATTCAATTTGGTTTTAGTATTATTTATAAGCAGATTTTTAAAATATTATGTTTTCAAGATCATTTCTTTCTTTACAGCCTTCAGGTAGCTCATTTCAATTATGAAAGTGATTAGTTCCCATAGTAAAATTTGCAAGTAGTATAGAAAGGCAGAAATAAAATGCAAATTCCTAGCTTCTTCTCAATTATCAGCCCCACTATCCAGAGTTTGTGTATCCATCCCAAAATTCCCCACGCACATACAAACATGTTTGCATACCTATTTCCATATTTTGCGCAGGAATATACTCTTTAATCAGATATACTTTCTTTCCTAATTAAAAGTTTTATCCTAATCACATTTATTGATATAATAACAATCATATTATGCCATCTCTGACACATGGCATATACTTTTCAAAAAGAATTTCTTGGTAAAACAATGATAGATTCACAGAGAATTGCAGTCATAGTACAAAGGGGTCCCAGGTGCCCACCCTTCCCTCAGCTTCTGCCAATGCTACATGTGTGCGTGTATCATTTTGGGTCATTAATCCCACGTGTAGATTCCATTAACAGCCAACACAGTCAAGACATGGAACTGCGTCCCCACCACAAGCCCTCTCTCCTGCTATGCCACAGTCACACTGTCTCCCTCCACTGCCCTACCCCTGGGTACCCAAGATATTACTTAAGCGTCCTGTTTTGCAGGCCCTCTCGGACACTGCACTGCAGAGGAAGTGGGCCTCTCATGACACTGCCAGTGGGGAGGGACACTTCAGGTTCTGCACTTGGTCTTGGAAGGCACTGGAGGAAGGGCTTCTTGCTGCTGTGGGGTGATGTGGGATTCAGACCCTCCACTACCCACAACAAAACACCATGGCCAGAAGCAAAGAAGCTCATCACCGCTCCTTGTGGAGTCCCCACTGACACTCTAGGGCAGGGGCCTCGTTATCTCCGAGCATCAGTGACCATCCCGACTCTACTAGGCTCCTTGGACAACCCCCAGTGGAGGGTAGGGGGCACCTTGTTACACAGGGTGCAGGTAAAAGTCCAGCTGTCTACAGGGTCTGCATTGACACCACGGGGAGCGCAGCCCCTGACTGTGTGGGTAGAAGTGGGAAGTCTCTCACTTGGCCTCCTCTGATGCCATCCTGGTGGGAGTTTGGGGCCACATTGCAGCCTGGCAAAGCTCTCCAGTCGACTTCTCCTTGTGGCACCAGAAGTGGACTCTGGTGTCCTATGTGGTCCTTGTTGGACTAGAGTGGCCGCTGTCTTAGATTGCCCATTCCTTGGTCTTTGGCAAGAGATGAGCATTTCTTGGGGCATGTTTGTTTGCACACACTAGGGTTTTGTGTCAGCCTCTCAACTACCTAGTCTGGAGATATAAGGCAAAAAGAAAACCCAAGGAATTCACCCCTGGTTTCTTCCTCCAGTCGCAAGCTCCCCAGGTGGTCTGCCTTCTTCCCTCCTTCTTTCAGAGTCATCTTACATTTGTTTTACGTGTAATGCCCAGTGGCTTTAGCTGCACTTAGTGGGAGGAATGGAGAAAAGGATGTCTACTCCGTCTACCCAGAAGCACAAGTACAACATATGACATAAACTTTAAATTCATTTTGTTGTCTGTGTTTCTTTCTGCTACATGGATATTTTTATACACTGTTATATATTCTTCTGAAAATTGTTAAAATTATAGCTTGGCATAACTTAAACTTCAGTGTTACATTTTCTTCTAAAAGTTAAGAAAGTTACCATGCTTGTATTCTGTCACCTTATCTTAAATTTCTTTAGAATATTTTATCATTTAATGACTTAACTTTTTTATTTATGCCTTCTAATTTTTTTTTCTTTTCAAACATGGTCTTCAACACTTGGTAGTCATAAATTTCCCAGAAAATGTCATAAAGGTTAATTTTAATGATTTTCACTGTTCTATTTATTTTTCCAAATACGTTTAGCTTACACATTTGAATAAATGAGTTACATTTTCACTTTTACACCCATCTATATGCCAAAATTATTTTTGTGTTAGTATATGTATGCATATATATGTGTGTGTGCATATATATATATATTTGCTGAATATAATTTTTAAGCAAAGATCAGCAGAGAGCTAAATTTCATGGCTATCATTAATGTATTGGGATTCTTAATCTATTTTTTCCTCCAATAACAAGTGCATATGGAAGCCATATTGATGTTTCTATATGCAACACAGAGACACAGAAGTTTTTAGGTGAATTTTTAATCAGGGTGATAATACTTAGACCCTTTCTAGACAAATGTAGAACCCAAATTAATTTCCTAGCAGGTGGGGGATATTAGCAGAAACCTTTTGTATCTAATCATTAACATAAATACAGTTTTTCAGAATATGTATGCAAACAACAGGAAATTGCAACTCTTTAAAAATGTCGCAGACCAAAAGGAGCAAATATAAGCATCCCAAGGACACAGAGAGACCATTCTTCAATGGATACAATGACAACTAGGGTTGGGAGATTACACAGAAGGACAAAAAAGATAGCCTAGTTTTCTATATCTAGAAAAATCCAAAGCAGTTCAGGCAACCTAAATTCTATCCCAAATGTGTGTTCACTTTGGTTGGGCAGGTTGTCTTGTTATTCCCCAACCTATGAGGCCCATTCCCAAAGCTGACTTTTATCTGTTTTTCCTTTAGCTTGAAATACCCTACATCCATTTCCCCATCTACTCCAATCCCACACACTCTCTGAAGCTTTGTTCTTCCTTGGAGATGGCCCTGGCAGTTCAGTTTCCCAGTGGTATTAAAAGCACTTTCCGATGGGTCACCATGCAGTCAATGTGCTGTCTTCTCTATGCTGCCTTTATATGAAGACATCTCCATAAAAGACTGTGCAGGGCTATTTTGTATTATTTTATGGTACCAGGCAAGCATGCTTAACAATTTACACATATTATCAAGGTTTATTTTTCTTTTGTAAATGAAGACAATTTTATTTGGCCAATATTTACTGGGTGCCTCCTATGAACCTGACAGTAAGTTAGACACAGAAGGTAGAAAAATGAGCAAAAGGCCAGGAGTGGTGGCTCCTGCCTGTAATCCCAGCACTTTGGGAGGTTGAGGCGGGCAGACTGCCTGAGCTCAGGAGTTTAAGACCAGCCTGGACAACATGGCAAAACCTCGTTTCTACTAAAAATACAAAAAATTTGCCGGGCGTTGTGGTGTGCACTTGTAATCCCTGCTACTCAGGAGGCTGAGGCCGAAGAATCACTTGAACCCAGGAGGCAGAGGTTGCAGTGAGCTGAAATCATGCCTCTGCACTTCAGCTTGAGCAACAGAGTGAGATGTCTCAAAAATAAAGAAAAGAAAACAAAACAAAAGAAAAAAATGGGCAAGATGCCATGTGCATGTCCCTAAGGGGCACTGTCTGGTACAATGGAGGGAAGATAACCGACTGTCATCAAATATAATATGTCTGTGTACCAATTCTATATGAATAATTTCATCAGCTGTGCCTCCATAGCAGCCTGAGAATCTCTGGGGAAGTCAGAGGAGACTTCAAAGGGGATTGGGAATAGGAATGGAAGGAGCAAGCAGTACGTCTATCTACGGTAGAGCCTTTGGAGGTGATTCATAAGTGGTCCTCCTTAAAGGGGGTCTCTCCAAGATGAGAGAACAGGACCATTTTTCATTACAAAACAGTGTAAATTAATAGAAGACACAGACGAGCACAGGAAAGAGATATATGCAAAGAAAATGAAAGGAAGATAGGAGTATCAAGAAATTTAGGACCTTGAGGTTTAGAAAACCTGTCAGCTTCTTGAACCCAAACAGAAACAGATGGGGTGTCACAACGCTTCCCACAGCAAAGCCTAACGAAGCTACTCAGCTGAGTAGCGTGACTGAGGCCACAGCTCTGATGAGAGTGCTGCCTCCCCTCTTACTGTTCTAAGTTGTCTCGGGCCAGTTGCTGTGGACTGAGAGAAGGCAAAGGGGTGATGAACTCAGGCACACTGGAGAAGGTGAAGCCAAACTTTGGGTGTAGATACTAGTCCTTAGAATTCAGGGAAAACAAATAAATCAGAAATCTGTTAAATGTTTGAGGAATCGTATTGCCAAAGAAATACTCAGCTGACTTAAGAGAAAACCTTCATGAATATGAATCTGGTCTTGAAAGCTTCCCAGCCACCAAGGAGGACATACATTCCAATACTTACATCTTTTTTTTTTTATTTTTATGTTTTTTTGAGATGGAGTTTTACTCTTGTTACCCAGACTAGAGTGCAATGGTGTGATCTCAGCTCACTGCAACATCTGCCTCCCAGGTTCAAGCTATTTTCCTACCTTAGCCTCCCGAGTGGCTGAGACTACAGGCGCCCACCATGCCTGGTTAATTTTTATATTTTTAGTAGAGGTGGGGTTTCCTCACGTTGGCCATGCTAGTGTCGAACTCCTGACCTCAGGTGATCCACCCACCTCGGCCTCCCAAAGTGCTGGGATTACAGGCATGAGCCACTACGCCTGGCTTTTTTTTTTTTTTTTTTTGAGACAGACTCTCCCTCTGTTGCCCAGGCTGGAGTGCAGTGGTGTGATCTTGGCTCACAGCAACCTCCACCTCCCGGGTTCAAGTGATTCTTTTGCCTCAGCCTCCCCAGTAGCTAGGATTACAGCTCACATCACCTCACTGGCTAATTTTTGCGTATTTAGTAGAGACAGGGTTTCACCATGTTGGCCAGGCTGGTCTCGAACTCCTGTCCTCAAGTGATCCACCCGCCTAGGCCTCCCAAAGTGCCGGGATTATGGGCGTAAGCCACCGCGCCCAACCCCAATACCTATTTCTGATGTGATAGGGTAGAAAATTGAAAAGGGAGGACCACCCAGAGATTGGCCAATGGTACGGAAAGCTGTGGACACGTGAGTTTCTCCTGAAACACATTTTGTTTAGCATCTCCTTGAATAATCAAAATCAAGAGGGATGAAGTTAGCTGGCCTATAAATATTAATGACTTATGAAAATGCACAATGCACAACAGAGTTATGATATCAAAGCATCTTCCGAAAATCCCCCTATTGTCGTGGGGGAATTGACTGCAGTGAAAACAGACATAATTATTTCTCACTCTTTAGTTGGCTTTTTGCAAACATAATTTACATGCAATAAAATTCACCCTTTTCAGCATGCAGATTCAACGACTGTAAATAGTCATGTAACGGCTACGACAATCAAGACATGGAATCTTCCCAGCTCTCCCAGACAACCCCTCACACCCTGAGTCCTCTTCCCTGATCCCCGGGGAGTATATCCGTCATGATTCCCTTTCCTGATATTCTGGAAAAGGCAAAACTGTGAGTGGAAATTAAATGCGCGGCTGCCGGGGACTGGGGAATTGTGTTGTCTTTCAGCCATCTCGTAGCTTCAGGACAGGGCTGTCTGTGGGAACCTGAGGCAGAGGGCAGCGGCCAGACCCACCTGCAACCCCAACTCTTCATCCCCCCGCTTAGAGCTCGCACCCCTGACTTCCATTGGCTGAACTGGGCAGAAGCCGGGAGGCAAGAGGCCCCCTGTGGAAGGTGAGAGTGGGCTGGAACCTGGGAGGCTTCTGGAAGAGAAGGAGATCAGGTGAGCCTGGGCCAGGCTTCTTAGGGCTTCCGGTGTAGCTTCTCCCCTCCGTCAAGACTCACAGAGAGCAAAGCCAAGACTGGAGAGCTTGCAAATTAAATCCATACATTTTCACTGAAATCCAAGTTGTCATTTTTTGCTAAGGTGGTAAGAAGGCTTTTGAGGAAGAAGGTAGTTACGTGATAGAATTAGGAAGGGAAGCTGAGGGCAAAGGGAATGGATTTCAGTGTGATTGCTAAGGACTATTAAATTCAGCAGCAATGCACGAGGCCCTCAGAATATTTCATCTTCAAAGACCTTTGAAAATGCACTTGAGTGAAGCTTTCCTAAAGACTAGAAAAAATAGCATGTTAAAGATATATTTTAACTCAGTACTGTTAAGATTGTCTTAAGCACCTCAGAAAGCCTGATGTTATTTAAGTGATACATAGAAGGTAATTTATTTGAAACGTAAAGAAGGAAGAAAGTATGCAATCCATAAAGGAACACTATAATTTATATTTTATTACCTGGAAATATTTCTGGCTGGGATCTTACAAATGTATGTTTTGTTAGATCAGCTAAATGCATGTAAACAATTGAATAATATTATTTTTTGTCCACCACAGCCGGTAGTTTAATCATCCCCATCATACTAGGTATTTATATGCTGATTTTATTTCTGGAATGCTTTCTAATTATTAGCTGTTTAATAATCATACCATCTCCACAGTGTACAAGAAATGCCACCTGCTTTTACATGAAAATGGAGAATTGAAGGTTACTCTGTTTGGGGAAGAAGCTCTATATTCTAACTGAAACTTATTTAAAACAAAATGATTAACCGGGCACAGTGGCTCATGCCTGTAATCCCAGCACTGTGGGAGGCCGAGGTGGGCAGATCACTTGAGGTCAGGAGTTCGAGACTAGTCTGGTTAACATAGTGAAACCCCGTCTCTACTAAAAATACAAAAAATTAGCTGGGCGTGGTGGCGTGCGCCTGTAGTCCCAGCTACTCGGGAGGCTGAAGCAGGAGAATTGCGTGAAGTTGGGAGGTGGAGCTTGCAGTGAGCTGAGATGGCACCACTGCACTCCAGCCTGGGGGACAGTGCGAGACTCCATCTCAAAAAAAAAAAAAAAAAAAAAAAAAAGATTCCCCCCCTTTCCTATTTTTCACTGCGAGCAGCTCACCTACAGAAATAACTGAGTGGAAAAAATGGAGTTTGGGGATCAAATGATATAGAATATATAAGGGTGCTAACTTGGGCATAAGCCAACCTGATGAGGAAATGGCAAACCCGTGAGCCACATGGAGAGGGAGAGTTGGGAATATTTAGCTACAGAAGACCTGAAGGGCTCCCCTGGAGAGGCTTGCGCTGTAGGTCCCCAGCTGTATAAATATGACCAATGGAGAAAAGCCACCAGCAGCAGAATTTGACTGAATTAGAAGATTTACTTCATCTCACAGAGCTTGTCACTGGAGGTGGAAAAAGAAGCATCTTTCCTGCCATAGGCCTTGTGGTCTTTAATCTGCCTCATTTCAACAGGCAGCACCAGGGTCGTGGCTGCATTAAAATACTCAGGTTGTAGGAAATGAAAATGCGAACATCACTCGGCAAGTGAAAAACCGAGGTGCTGATAAAGTGACCTACATAGGGTCACACATTTAGTTAGCAACATATCTGGGATGGAAACCTAGGGCTCTTGAGTTCTAATCCTAATGATTATCTCACCATTAGACAAAGCCAGCTACGGTTCCAAGCACCCTGAACTCTACTTCACTATTAAGTTATTGTGCTTTCTGTCATGGCTTAGTTTTTGACAATGAAATATTCAATTTCAATTTTTTAGACACAAAAGTATAGACATTAATACAACTCATTATATAGCTGACAACAAAGATAAAATATAAGCAAAAATAAAGACTATAATTCATCATAAATAAATATACTAAAACAACACCTGTGGTTCCCTTCTAGTCTTTTCTATGCATAGTATTTATGTAAAAGAGATTATACTTGTAGTTTTCTACTCTGCACTTCCTCTTAAAAATATGAATATTTGCTAATGTAATAATAAAAGTTATGAAAAAATATTCTTATTCCATGTCTATAGTTGCTTATTAAGTGGATCTCTGTCCTTGGATTTAATTTTCAGCTTGTATTTTACCACTTTTACTGTGATTAATTATGTAATTATTAAAGTTATCCATGTATATTAAAATAAAAATTCAAAATATTACTGAAAATTTACAATAAAAATATAAATTATTCCTCATCACCACCATCACTATCATCACCAAATCCAACATGACCCCTATTCTCTCTCCAAGTTCTCAGAGAAAAGCAATTTTGCCGGTGTCAATGCTAGTTCTGTGGTGGACAGCTCTGTATGCCCAGGAAGCAGGAACACAGATCCACTTCCTTATTTCCCCAGTTCAAACACAATCCATCACCTCTCAGCTGTAAGACAAAGAGTTCCACTAACTTCCACAATCAATTGTTCTTTTCTCCTTTTCTTACCAATTTTTCCTGTATCATCTTTTCAAATTGACATTATCACTTTACTAATGAATTTAAAACACTGTTTTTTAATCCATTTTGGAAGAAACTTGCTCATTATCCACCAAACTGATTTTCTTTTTTCGGCTGCTCTTCAGCTATTCCACATTTCTTGGCCTCCTTTGCTATGTGACTACGTTCTAGCTACTGGAATATGGCAGAAGTATGTGCTAGGTTCAGGCCTGGCCTTCAAAACATCCGGGGATGCCTTCTGAGAACTCTCTGGTTCTCTCCCATTCTAAAGTTGGAATTAAACTATTCTTGAATCTTCAGAGATGATGGATGTTCAAGGTGGAGGGACCTGGGTTCTTGATTCAGCATTCTGAAGGCCTCTGCTAAATAACTGATGTATTTTATTGTAATAAAATAAATTTTATTTTGAGCAATTGAGAAAGAAACTACTATTTTCTTAAAAGATTGAGATTACAGGGTTTATTTGCTATAGCAGCTGGAAGAACCTTAAGTAATGTACCCATCAATTTTACACAGCATCTCTTGCTACCCATTTGTAAAATGAAAAATGCAGTGTATCCTACATCTGTCTCCAGTACCTTCCAACAGAAAACCTACCATGCCTCTTGTAATGTTGAGGCTTGTACTATTGACTTTCTGTTCCAAAATCACAAAGGAACCTCTTTGGAAAGGAGATTCTCCTTCCTTGGGAAACTGAAAATCAATTAAAAACATTTAAAATATTAGGCATATGAAAATATCATTCCCTGAAGAACTAAGTAACGTGATTATAGCCACAAAGAAGATGTAATTTTATATTACTAAACTTTTGCCATTTGAAGAAAAATGTTCCTAGCTTTAAGATTGGATGAATTATCTTTTTATACCAACAACAGGAGAATAAAAGCAAAATATAAAGAAGAAAAAGAGGCCAAAAATTATAAGCAAAAACAAACAAAAAAGCTGCAGAAATATTCCTGAAACAAATACTGATCAAACTACATTTATTTCAGTGATTTTTTAAATAGAGATAAAATATGCATATATAATTTACCATCTTTACCATTTTTACATATACAGTTCAGTGGTAATAAATGCATTTATATTCTCTTTCTTTCATCCGTCCTCCTTATAAATGAAATAATTAATCATTTATTCATTATTACATTTATTAATAAACTACATTTACTTCTGTGACTTTTAAGATGCATTTTCCCCACATTTGGCATCTCTGAAACAAGCCTGTACTGTGTGGTGTCTGTGGGTCAGGCAGCAGTCATGATGTGTGTGCCATGCAAACTTGGCTGTCACCCTCGTTCAACCACAGCTGCAGGACGTTTCAGTCCAGTCACAGGAAAGCCACTCAGGCAGGAATAGGAGTACTGGTTATTACCAGGAAGTTTTTGGTTGACACCTTCTGGATGATTAAAAAAAAGCAGACTTAGAAAAATATCCCAACAGTAGTGTAACATTCTTTTAAGAAATGCATATCCTCACTTATAAGTGGGAGCTAAAGGATGAGAACACAGGACACATAGAGGGGAACAACACACACTGAAGCCTGCCAGAGGGCGGAGAATGGGAAGGAGACAATGGGGAAAACAGCTAATGGGTACTAGGCTTCATACCTGGGTAATAAAATAATCTGTACAACAAACCCTCATGACATGAGTTTACCCTTTACCTATATAACAAACCTGCACATGCACCTCTGAGCTTAAAAGTTAAAAAAAAAAAAAAAAGAAAAGAAAAGGGGAAAAAAAAAAAAAAGGCCAGGCGCGGTGGCTCATGCCTGTAATCCCAGCAATTTGGGAGGCTGATGAGGGCGGATCACGAGGTCAGGAGTTCGAGACCAGCCTTGCCAACGTGGTGAAACCCCATCTCTACTAAAAATACAAAAATTAGCCAAGCGTGGTGGCATGCACCTGTAATCCCAGCTACTTGGGAGGCTGAGGCAGGAGAATCGCTTGCACCCGGGAGGCAGAGGTTGCAGTGAGCTGGGATCACACCACTGGACTCCAGCCTGGGCGACAGAGCAAGACACTGTCTCGGGAAAAAGAAAAAGTCACAAATCTTGCCCACTTCAATCTACTTGCTTTTTCTTCCCTCCCTGCCCAGAGCTCACCACCAGCCTAAACTCAGTGTTTATTATGCCCACTTATTTAAAAACTGGCTTTGGCTATCTTAACCTACATCTGGCTAGATAAATGTGTCATTGTTTTACATTTTTACAATTCATAAATGGCACCATACAATATATCTTGCAACCTAATTTTGTGTTGTTAATTCACTGATAGCTGTAGCTTTTCCCTGCCACTGGGTAGTAGTCTATAATATCATCCTACAATTTATTATCCATCCTTCCACTAATGCATTTATAAATGGTACCTAAATGTTTACTTTTACAAACAATGCTGCAGCAAACATTCTTTTATATATGTTTTAATATGTAAATGAATTCTATATCTAGTGCTGGCATTGCCCCCTCATCAAATTTCCAGGGCTTAATCCAGCTATGTGTGACAGCTGCCACCGCCGCTGTCTCCAGCCCATCACAGTGTCACATGCTGCCACTTTTGCCACCGTGATGGGCATAAAACGATGTCTCTCTTCAGTTTTAATATGCACTTTCTTGGTTACGAATAAAGTTTGAGAATATATATATATATATGCATTGGCCATTTGGACTTTCTCTCTTTGAATTGCTGGATTACATCATTTGCCTATTTTTCTACTTGTTTGTTCATCTTTTCCTCACTGATTTGTAGTATATTTTAGGTATTCTGGATGGACAAACTTTTGTTCTATGGGCTGAGAATATCTTCTCCCCATATGTAACTCACCCTCCCCCACCTCCACTTGAAAAGATTTCTTTTGATGCACTAGTGTTTTTTTTAATTATTATTATACTTTAAGTTCTAGGGTTCGTGTGCACAATGTGCAGGTTTATTACATATGTATACATGTGCCATGTTGGTGTGCTGCACCCATTAACTTGTCATTTAGCATTAGGTATATCTCCTAATGCTATCCCTCCCCCCTCCCCCCACCCCACGACAGGCCCTGGTGTGTGATGTTCCCCACCCTGTGTCCAAGTGTTCTCATTGTTCAATTCCCACCTATGAGTGAGAACATGTGGTGTTTGGTTTTGTCCTTGCGATATTTTGCTCAGAATAATGGTTTCCAGCTTCATCCATGTTCCTACAAAGGAAATGAACTCATCCTTTTGATGGCTGCATAGTATTCCATGGCATATGTGGATGAACTAGCGTTTTTAAATGCAATACAGTGACTTTTATCTTTTCTGTGTGCAGTTTGTGATGTTTGTGTCATGTGTGTGAAATCCTTCCCTTCCCAATGAGGTTATAAAGGTATTTGTTTATATATTTGCAAAAAGCTTTAGGTTTGTTTTCCACATTTACATCTTTAATTCATGTGGATTTTATATGTGTATACTGAGAAAAATGACTACTTTTGAAAGTAGCCTGATTTTCTAACAAGCCACATGCCCACAGAACTGAAGCTTGATAAACTTATGATTTGTACAATGAAATGCACCTGCTGCCTGGTGACCAACTCTTCTTTCTTGCCCTCCCAGCCCCATTTTCCTTCCCTGCTATATACACCCCTAAATTTAGTTGGAGGCAGGAAGAAGAAACAGATTTGAGGTTTTGCTCCAATCTCTCTGGCTGGCGTCATCCAAATGAAACCTTCCTCCCTGGCAATACTCATCTCAGGGATTGGTTTTCCACGCCCTGGTGAGCAGTGGAAGCTAGACTGAACCCCTGGAATTTGGCAAGAATTTTATGTTTCCCCATATGGGTAAGCCATGCATCCTGAATTATTTAGCATCGCTTGTTGACTAGTTCTTTCTCTCCCGCTGGTCTTGATGCCACCTTCTGAGATTGAGGCTATGTTCTCAGCTCTACAGTTGGGAGACGGGGAGAGAGGCTTGGTAAGAGTTGCCTTGCATCCGTTCCACAAATCACCCTCTTAGTGTCAAATCTCATTTCTCTGTGTAGCTGCTCCATGCAGAGGGGTGTTAGGGGAGTGAGTGCATTCCTAGTAAATGGGTCTCACCTGTGCTCTGAGCCATGGATTCCTCTACTGGGATATGTTTATTAATGTGATCCTGTCTTCCTTCTGTCTTGCAGAAATTTGTCAAAATCTTGGTCTGTGGCTTCCTCCTTTGCTTTTCAGTGTCATATAAACATAGTTCCTTTTGGGTTTCTTTACTCTTATTTCAATCATTTTAAAGGAAGAGAGGGGATTTAATTATATCTGCTTTGTCCTTCCTCTTAAATATTATGTAAATTATCAATTTGCATGCTGTTGTCAATATTTAATCATAAGGGAAACAGTTACTTCCAATTTTTCACTGTTACAAATAGGAGAGCAACAATTAATACTGATTTCAAACTTGCTTTTGGTTTTTAGGACATCTTCACTATGTATTTTGCCTGATTTTTTAATTTGTTTGATCTCCTAACATACTAAATATATATATTAACATAGGAAATTTGTTGCAAATATTTTACCAGATCTTGTTTTCCTTTTATTTCTGCTTTATATTTAAGTGTATGTTTATTATACAGTAAAACTATAAATATTTTCCTTCTAATTATTTTTTGGCTTTTATTGCTTTTATTCTAATGATGATATTTTTGTTGAGATAATAATTATTTATCTCCATTTTCTTAGCTTCTATTATACAGTATTATCTTTTTTCTATTTTTCTTAGTTTCTATAACACACAATATTTTCTTTTTTCTATTTTTCTATTTAGCTACTTAAATACATCTGAGATTGGGGTATGATATGTGGTGAGAATATTAATTTATATAATAAATGACATTGGAAACCTTAGCTAGCTTCTTGACAAACATTGGCCATTCCTTATTCTACTAATTTGTGATATTCTCTTAATTTATATTAATTTATTTCTGTAACTATCTCATCATAAAATGTGCAGAATAACAAGTAACAATTTAGAATGCCAATTTGTGCAGATGAACTTCGGTTATAATGAAACACAGATAACTCACAATACAGAGATGATGGCTTTGCAAGTTTAAACAGGAGTGTTGATGACCAGATCTCTGTCTGAATTTGTTTTAGGGAAGCTGTACAAGGTTATCTTTTTCTGACAAAGGACTAACTTCTTGGGAGTTTGTGTCACCTCTTCTGTTGAAGTACCACTGGGATGCTTCAGGATTTTCATGTCAGAGAGGCTAACAATGAGAACACATGGACACAGGAAGGGGAACGCCACACTCTGGGGACTGCTGTGGGGTGGGGGGACGGGGGAGGGATAGCTTTAGGAGATATACCTAATGCTAAATGACGAGTTAATGGGTGCAGCACACCAACATGGCACATGTATACATATGTAACTAACCTGCACATTGTGCACATGTACCCTAAAACTTAAAGTATACTAATAAAAAAAAAATTTCCTCACCAGGCACTCTGATGCAGGATTCCAGCGTTTATATGTTTGTCTGTTACTGGTGTATAAGAATGCTTGTGATTTTTGTACATTGATTTTGTATCCTGAGACTTTGCTGAAGTTGCTTATCAGTTTAAGGAGATTTTGGGCTGAAACAATGGGGTTTTCTAGATATACGATCATGTCATTTGCAAACAGGAACAATTTGACTTCCTCTTTTCCTAATTGAATACCCTTTATTTCCTTCTCCTGCCTAATTGCCCTGGCCAGAACTTCCAACACTATGTTGAATAGGAGTGGTGAGAGAGGCCATCCCTGTCTTGTGCCAGTTTTCAAAGGGAATGCTTCCAGTTTTTGTCCATTCAGTATGATACTGGCTGTGGGTTTGTCATAGATAGCTCTTATTATTTTGAGATACGTCCCATCAATACCTAATTTATTGAGAGTTTTTAGCATGAAGCATTGTTGAATTTTGTCAAAGGCCTTTTCTGCATCTATTGAGATAATCATGTGGTTTCTGTCTTTGGTTCTGTTTATATGCTGGATTACATTTATTGATTTGCGTATATTGAACCAGCCTTGCATCCCAGGGATGAAGCCGACTTGATCATGGTGGATAAGCTTTTTGATGTGCTGCTGGATTCGTTTTGCCAGTATTTTATTGAGGATTTTTGCATCAATGTTCATCAAGGATATTGGTCTAAAATTCTCCTTTTTGGTTGTGTCTCTGCCCGGCTTTGGTATCAGGATGATGCTGGCCTCATAAAATGAATTAGGGAGGATTCCCTCTTTTTCTATTGATTGGAATAGTTTCAGAAGGAATGGTACCAGTTCCTCCTTGTACCTCTGGTAGAATTCAGCTGTGAATCCATCTGGTCCTGGACTCTTTTTGGTTGGTAAGCTATTGATTATTGCCACAATTTCAGAGCCTGTTATTGGTGTATTCAGAGAGTCAACTTCTTCCTGGTTTAGAGTCTTGGGAGGGTGTATGTGTTGAGGAATTTATCCATTTCTTCTAGATTTTGTAGTTTATTTGCATAGAGGTGTTTGTAGTATTCTCTGATGGTAGTTTGTATTTCTGTGGGATGGGTGGTGATATCCCCTTTATCATTTTTTATTGCATCTATTTGATTCTTCTCTCTTTTCTTCTTTATTAGTCTTGCTAGTGGTCTATCAATTTTGTTGGTCCTTGGATTAAAGACTTAAACATTAGACCTAAAACCATAAAAACCCTAGAAGAAACCCTAGGCATTACCATTCAGGACATAGGCATGGGCAAGGACTTCATGTCTAAAACACCAAAAGCAATGGCAACAAAAGCCAAAATTGACAAATGGGATCTAATTAAACTAAACAGCTTCTGCACAGCAAAAGAAACTACCATCAGAGTGAACAGGCAACCTACAGAATGGGAGAAAATTTTCTCAACCTACTCATCTGACAAAGGGCTAATATCCAGAATCTACAATGAACTCAAATTTACAAGAAAAAAACAAACAACCCCATCAAAAAGTGGGCGAAGGACATGAACAGACACTTCTCAAAAGAAGACATTTATGCAGCCAAAAAACACATGAAAAAATGCTCACCATCACTGGCCATCAGAGAAATGCAAATCAAAACCACAATGAGATACCATCTCACACCAGTTAGAATGGCAATCATTAAAAAGTCAGGAAACAACAGGTGCTGGAGAGGATGTGAAGAAATAGGAACACTTTTACACTGTTGGTGGGACTGTAAACTAGTTCAACCCTTGTGGAAGTCAGTGTGGCGATTCCTCAGGGATCTAGAACTAGAAATACCATTTGACCCAGCCATCCCATTACTGGGTATATACCCAGACGACTATAAATCATGCTGCTATAAAGACACATGCACACGTATGTTTATTGCGGCACTATTCACAATAGCAAAGACTTGGAACCAACCCAAGTGTCCAACAATGATAGACTGGATTAAGAAAATGTGGCACATATATACCATGGAATACTATGCAGCCATAAAAATGATGAGTTCATGTCCTTTGTAGGGACATGGATGAAATTGGAAATCATCATTCTCAGTAAACTATCGCAAGAACAGAAAACCAAACACTGCATATTCTCACTCATAGGTGGGAACTGAACAATGAGAACGCATGGACACAGGAAGGGGAACATCACACTCTGGGGACTGTTGCAGGGTGGGGGGATGGGGGAAGGGGGAGGGATAGCTTTAGGAGATATACCTAATGCTAAATGACGAGTTAATGGGTGCAGCACACCAGCATGGCACATGTATACATATGTAACTAGCCTGCACATTGTGCACATGTACCCTAAAACTTAAAGTATAATAATAATAAAAAAAAATTTCCTCACCAGGCACTCTGATGCAGGATTCCAGCGTTTTATACCCTCAATGACCCATCTTCATTACCGTTAAAATCTAGTGATGCATGTAAAGACGTCTCTTTTTTTAAAATAAATCTTTGTTTTGGTCTCAGTAGGTTGTATATTTCCATTTATATTGTACTTTCTTGAGATGCACTGTAGGCTGATTACATAGGGCGATTTGTTGGTCTAGATGGAGATCACAGAAACCAAGGCATTTCTGGAATGTATTATTTCTCTGTGAGGCTACTTCAATGCCTGAGTCAAGAGCAAGAATCCCAATCCTAAATTAGTCCTTGCAGCCTTGACCTCAGCCACTTTCTCTGTTGAATCAGGCTTTCTGGTTTTGTGTCCAGCAGACAGGAAGTCGTAGAGCTTTGACTCATTCATTCTGAAAAATAAATTTTTGAGGGGGCTTTTCCTATTCCAATCAGAGCTTAGCATTTACATGTTGACTAAATCACCACCCAGAAAATTCTCGTATTTGGAAGCTGCTCCTCTGAGTTTGTAATTTAGCCACATGCAGAACTGGGTTCGGAGAGTCTTCAGATACCAGACAGAATACCCAGAAACATGCTGAGTTTCAAGGTTGTAGTGAATTGCCTGGGTGAGGAATTGGTACAAAAATGATATTAAGAAAATCTACAACAACCTATTTACATTTCCTCAGATGTGGAAATAGGTATCATGTTTTAAGGATCCTGTCCCTCCCCTGGCCCAAATGTTAAAAGGTGAGCGTAGACAAACACAGGCCTAAGAAGAATCGACCTGGCTGGAAATGCACGAGAGAGGGTCAGGGTAAACCAGTTTCCTTCAAGAAGACAAATAGAAGCAATATCACCGTTGCTCTTTTATAAGCACTTTTCTGAGTAGAGGAAAAGATGAAAGAGGAGAAAAAAGTGCCCACGGAGATCCGGTGGAAAATAAATGGGGAACAGAGATGAAGTCAAGGTGTGTGGATCCGGGCTGTGCATTTGGGCGGTAAAAACACCACCAAAGCAGCATCCTGTTACACTTGACTTTGTTTTCAGTCCCTCTGATCTCAACTGCCACTTGAGTTCATCATTTCCTACAGTCAGCACGCTCATTCAAAATAACAAAAACCAAACCCAACACTGGAAGATGCTATAAAATCTCATCATCTGTGGAATTTGAGAATTCATGTAAAGAATCTTAGCCTGGGGACAGGAGAGAGTCCCACCAAAAACACAGCAGGTGCATAAGGCCTCAAAATGGTCTTCATCTAGCTCAGCAAAACACACAACGTTTACATAAGTTTTGTGACTTTAAGAGCAGAGCTGTAATATCTGGGTCTGTAAAATGAGGAATTGAGACTCATGGTCTCAAAAGTTTCTCTGACTTCTAGTGTCCTGTGCCTCTGTGGTCTCATCTCCTGTCATTCCTCACAGGCAGCCTTCCAGAGAGGGTGGACACAATGCCTTCGACTGGCAGAGGGTCCCTGAAGAAGTGACAAGCAAACCCCAAAAAGGAGATCATGAAGTGGACGACTCAAATTTTGGATGTTGATGTGTCCTGCCCTCCCCTCTCTGCTCATTCCTCCTCACTCTGCATCCTCCTAGGCACCAATTCTCATTGGGCTGCCTTGGTTCTCTAATGCAGGGAAAAATGCTCTGCCCCAGTAATTCATTTAATGGGCCATATTCCAGAGCAACTTGTATTTTAAACAGCGCATTTGAGAGAGTAAAAGTCAACCTAGTAAGAGGACATTGATCAGAATGAAATGTCATTCTGGAATGGAGAGGGAATTGTGGAGCATCCTTTAACTCGGGCCTTGCAGGGAGTCAGTGAGGTGGGTGAGCTGGTCTCCACAGCCTTCCCTCTCATGGGAATTACATACTGTTCTGGACAATCTGCTGTCCAGCCTCCCTGACTCATCCGTCATTCTGGGTTATTGCATTCTCACCAGAGGGTCAGCAGCAGGCGCTGAGCAACAGTCCAAGTCAAGTTAAGCAAGATTCCTGTTTGCCGCTGTGTGTTAAATTCCAGTACTGGTTAAAGCATAGGCTGGCCATGTGTTTAAACTATGCACTAATAGAACAGTTCATCAAAAGAAAGTAATCTTGAATATGATAGACACATTTATATGGTGTGATTTGTTCTGAGGCTATGGGACCAATTTCCTACCATTCTATCATTATCACTAAATTAATGTTTAAACTCTTGATGAAATAAAAATGAAAGTTGATTAGGACTTAAGACTTGAGTATCTTAGCAAGAACTATCAAGCATGTGCCATAGAATAGGTATCCTGGTGCTTACTGAGAGAGAGAGAGAGAGAGAGAGAGAGAGAGAGAGAGAGAGAGGAGAGAGAGAGGAGAGGGAGCGATTTGGATTATTTAGGAGAGAAAACAAGTAGAAGAAAAGAAAAACTGAGAAAAATATCATTCAATTTAAATTTCCATTGATTTTGGAAGAAACACTAGTTAGGCAAATGATTCTTCCCTCCTCTAATTCCTATTTAATGTAGTAACATACATATTTGACTATTTCCTCCCAGTGCCTCTTACACCAATGTCATCCCATTCCTTTCGCTCCAGGTATTTGAGTTTTCTCACTGTGTATCAGTAATACTGTAAAGGATGAAGGTTTATTCCTGTCTAGTATTTTATATGTTTTATTAAAAACTTCATGGTTCACTGAGGGGTTGGTTAATCATACATCGTAAGTCTTACCACCTATCAGTTCTTTTCCAACTCTAAAACCCTATGAGTCATGTGTCAACACCAGAAATGAGCTGCTGTGAAATGATGGTGATATTTCAGTTGTTCTCTGAAATACAAAAAACACGTGGACAAGGCTTCACAGCTGTGAGATGAGAAGCATGGTACTTGTCCAGCTTATGTCATGCAAACTCGCTTTTATGGCATCAAGTCGGTGAACTTTGCCTAAAACTGCAGCATGATGTTGTCAAAACAGTGACCTGAAGACTCATCAGGATCCAAAACGTGTTCTTCAGGACTCTGCCTGGATTCCTTCTAATGGTAGCTTCTTTAAGGCACTGGAGACTTCTGCTAAGATACAAAGATACTCCTTGGGAGAGAATAGGCTGAAAAATAATGATCCCTAACACATGAATAATTTCTACACTTTATTTGAAAGTTCTCACATCAATTAACTCATGTGACCCTTGTAACAACCCTGAGAAGAGAGTGCAGAGGAATAATCACCCAACTGGGAGATGTGAGAAAGTGAGGCTCAGAGATGTTGGGCAACTTCGTGGAGCTCATACATACCCTCAGCAGGAAACAGATCCAAGGTTAGAACACAGGCTTTCTGGTGCTGCTCCATGCTCTCTACCAGCAAGTCATTATATTTAGGTGATCACATTATCTTTAGGAACTACAATTTCCTGAGTTCCACCAACACTGCACCAAGGAAAGGGCTGCAAGCTCCTCCAACTCAAACATTCTAGGTAGGAAGCATAGATGAAGAGTAGAATGGGGAGGAATTACGGAAGTGTTACCACTGAGCATTCACAAGACTACGAACTGCTTGCGGGAAAACATCAAGCCACATTTGTCTATCCATTCAGTCATCAATCCCGCTTTGAGCATCTGTCCATGCTAGGCACAGCGCTGGGTCACAGGGATGAGCAGACATGATGTAGAACTGAGCAAAGGCTAACACGTGGTAGGGGTGGGGACACAGAAACTTTAAGGCACTGAAAAGCAGAGAATTAATATCCAAAGAGAAGAAGGAACTCCTACAACTCAATAGTAAAGAATCAAATAACCCAAGTAAAACAATAGGCAAAGGGCCTGAATAGACATTTCTTCCAAAGAAGACATACGGAGATGCAACAGGTGTATATTAAGGTGCTCAGCACCACTAATCATCAGGGAAACGCAAATCAAAACTGCAATGTGACATCACTTCACCCGTTAGGATGTTTATTATTAAAAGATCAAAATATAATGAGTGTTGGTGGGGACGTGAAGAAAAGGGAAAAACTGCATGCTGTTGGTGGGACTGCAAATTGTTATAGTCATTATGGAAAGTAGTATGGAGGTTCCACAAAAAAATAAAAATCAAAATAGAACTGCCATATGATCTAGCAATTCCACTTCTGGGTGTACGTTAAAAAATAAAATGAAATCATTATCTCAAAGAGATAACTGCACTCCCATGCTCACTGCACTATTATTCACAATAATCAAGATACAGATGCAACTTAAGAATCCATTGATAGATGAAGAAATTGTAGTAACTATCAAATGAAATGTTATTCAGCTTTAAAAAAAGAATGAAATCCTGCTATTTACAAGAATACGAACATTATACCAAGTGAAATAACCCAGGCACAGAAAGATAAACACTGCATGATCTTACTTACTTGTGAAATCTAAAAAGGTGGACTCATAGAAATAGAGTAGAACAGTAGTTGAGGACGGGTGATCTTGGTCAAAGGTTACAACCTTTCAGATAGAAGCTGAATAAGCTCTGCAGATCTAATGTATATAACACTGTATTGTGTACTTGGAATTTGCTGAGAGCAGATCTTAAATGTTCTCATCACACATACACACACACACGCACACACACAGTCACACACACAGACACACATACAGGCACACACACAGGCACACACGCACACACAGGCACACATACAGGCATGCCCACACACACACGTGCAAACACATATGCACACAGACACACACAGGCACACATGTGCGCAGACACACACACAGGCACACACGTGCGCACACACAGGCACACACGCACGCACGTGCACACACGCACACTCAGGCACGCACACTCAGGCACACACACTCAGGCACACACACACACAGTGGCAACAAGGTTAGGATGGGTATGTCCCTTAGCTTGATCGTGGTGATCATTTCACAATGTGTTTATCAAAACACCATATCGCTCACCCTAAATATACACAATTTTTATTTGTCATACGTTAACAAAGCTGGAAAAAAATATCAAAAAGAAAGGAGCCAGTGGGAAGCCTGTTCAGAAGGAGCTCTGCTTCCTGCAGGCTGCCACCTGGAGAAACACTTCTTCCCAGGATGGGCTTGGTATGTCTTCATTTCAGGCCACGCTGCCTCTGTCCAGATTAACAGATGTTTTCTCTTGCACTTCATCCCTCCCCCACAGCTTCCAGGTAGAGGCTTCTTTCAAGCCACAAGATCGATTCGTCGTGGAAGGAATCAATACTGGTGTTTGGAAATGAAAAGTAGGCAAAGGCGGAAGGTATTTAGCTTTGGCGGACAACGTCTCTGTCTAAATTCTCCCTCCTCCTGCAGCTGAGCTGGAAACATCCAGATTGGAACCCATGCTCAGTCTCAGGGCATTTAAGGAATAATTCATCACAACATTCCACCCGAGCCCCGCCAAAACCTCAGATAACTGACATTTCCTTTGTTGTAAACTTTCAGGAAAGAGTGGCACATCTCCAAGGAAGCAAGCTGATTTGGGGGACTCACCCTGGACACTTTATTTTTCTACGATGCCTTGCATTTACTGCATGTCCTGTGAAATCTCCAAAACCCTATTCATATTATTCATATGCTTCTATGGTCTTTGTTTTTTTTTTTGTTTGTTTGTTTGTTTGTTTGAGATGGAGTCTCGCTCTGTGGCCCAGGCTCACAGATCTCGGCTGTGGCACGATCTCGGCTCACTGCAACCTCCACCTCCCTGGTTCAAGCGATTCTCCTGCCTCAGCCTACCAAGTAGCTGGGCCTGCCACCATGCCTGGCTAATTTTTGTATTTTTAGTAGAGACGGGGTTTCACCATGTTGGCCAGGCTGGTCTTGAACTCCTGACCTCAGGTGATGTGCCCGCCTCAGCCTCCCAAAGTGCTGGGGTTACAGGTGTGAGCCACTGCACCCAGCCTAAGGCAAGAAATATTAATGCATTCTAATCTCTAACAGAATTTTCAGTTTTCTAAATTTTACCTATAATTTATTGAAGTTTACTTACTGAGACAAATGAAAAAGGATTCTGCAATTCGATAAAGAATTTTAGTAAAAAAGAAGGGAATAAAAAAGGCCGGAGGGGTCCTTCAGTTAAATCATATTTAATAGTTGCAAATCTAATCCCTAGAACATTTTGGTAAATCAGATTTCCCTGGTAGTTTTTATTTGTACTCAAAAGAAACTCTTTCCTTTATTCTTTTTGCCCCTGCCTTTCCTCACCCCTTCTCTGAAACTAGGTCAACCTTCACCCACACAACAGCACTAGAACAAAGAGAAATGGGCATTCCTAAATGACCAGGGGCATCAATATACAACACTTTCAAAATGACAGAAAGGAGAAAATATGTTATGAGGAAAAGAAGATCTAGAGGCATTTTGATGTTTATATTTGCTACAGTTGTACAGGAATGATGAGACATGTAAGTAATAAAGACCATAAGCCATCATCCTTTATAAGCCACCAATTATATGGAAGGCATTATATAAGGATTGAAAAATGTATATATGAAATCTCATCCCTGAATTGCAGGAGCTTAGACTGAAGCTGGAAATTGAGTCTCACACCCACTGTACCTCCTTCACCTGTGTTCCTGGTGCCTTGAACAGGGACTGACCCAGAGAAGGCACCCTACAGATATTTGTCAAAGAAGTAAACCAATGAATTAATGTATGATTTATACATTAATTACAGGAGTATAAAGTGCTTAGAATTCAGAGAAGGCAGAGAAATTACATCTGGATAGGGGACTTCCATGAGGGTCCCATGGTGGAGGAGCTGGGAACAGAGACTCTGTAAGATTTAAAAGGGGAGATAAGGTGGTCAGTGAGCCAGGTGTCAGGGCAGGACTCTGGCTGAATGGACAGGAGTGACCAGAGGCAGGGAGGGCTCATTTCTCCCTGTCCCCAAAGGCACCTTAATGTTCTGATCATGAAAAATGGTCCTGAGCTGCCAAACACTTCATTCTTCCTGACGTCAGATATGTGATCTTCCCTCAGCCAGATGAAACGAGGGAGGAAAGTATTTATATATATATGTATTTTTTTTTATTATACTTTAAGTTCTAGGGTACATGTGCACAACATGCAGGTTTGTTACATATGCATACATGTGCCATGTTGGTGTGCTGCACCCAGTAACTCGTCATTTACATTAGGTATATCTCCTAATGCTATCCCTCCGCCAGTCCCCCACCCCACGACAGGCCCCAGTGTGTGATGTTCCCCTTCCTGTGTCCAAGTGTTCTCATTGTTCAATTCCCACATATGAGTGAGAACATGCAGTGTTTGGTTTTTTGTCCTTGCGGTAGTTTGCTGAGAATGATGGTTTCCAGCTTTATCCATGTCCCTACAAAGGACATGAACTTATGATTTTTATGGCTGCATAGTATTCCATGGTGCATGTGTGCCACATTTTTGTAATCCAGTCTATCATTGTTGGACATTTGGGCTAGAAATACCATTTGACCCAGCCATCCCATTACTGGGTATATACCCAAAGGAATATAAATCATGCTGCTATAAAGACACATGCACATGTATGTTTATTGCAGCACTACTCACAATAGTAAAGACTTGGGAGGAAAGTATTTTAAACAAACGTTGCCACTCTTTCAAAACTTAACCCAAGATTACCTTCCTTGGGACGTCTGACTTGGATGCATTCTAAGAGTGTTCCAACAACAACAACTGCTATTATTTCCTGAGGCTTACTCTCTGCGGGGCCCTTGGACTAACAATAACAAAGTCAACAGGTTATAAACAACAAAATACATCAGTCATATACTATATTTTATCAAGTCTAAAATGTCATTGACTGTAATAAAGACCATTGCTTCCTATACCAATGAAAAAGAAACAACATTTTGGCACTTAAAATTTGAAATATTAATTTTTACTTAAGTCCTTATTTCATTAAAATAACCCTTTGTGTCTACTGATGATTTTTGCCACATATCAATTTTGTTAATAAGCTGAAAGGAAAATACAAATGAAATAAACTTGTTTCTGCATTCCTGAAATGTCTTCACATCCAGGGTTGGCTTTTCTGAATCACATTTCAACACCAATAGAGTCAAGATCATTTTTTTCCCAGTACAATGTCAGGATTGATGTCATTAACAGTGCTTAATTAATAGGTTGGTGCAAAGGTAATTTTTTTTTTTCTGAGATGAAGTCTCTCTCTGTTGCCCAGGCTGGAGTGCAATGGTGCAATCTCGGCTCACTGCAACCTCTGCCTCCAGGGTTCAAGCAATTCTCCTGCCTCAGCCTCCCGAGTAGCTGGGATTACAGGTGCCCACCACTACGCCCAGCTAATTTTAGTAAAGAGGGGATTTCACCATGTTGGCCAGGCTGGTCTCGAACTCCTGACCTTGTGATTCACCCACCTCAGTCTCCCAAAGTGCTGGGATTACAGGCATGAGCCAATGGGTCCAGCTGTAAGTTTTTAAATGGCAAAAACCTCAATTACTTTTGCACCATCCTAATATTTTTCTCATAAGCCTCTGACATCCATGCTACAGGTTTTGATGTATATCTACAAGCAATGGCAACAATATCATCACCTTTCCCTGACGATAGGGTTTGTAAAGATCCATCCTAATTCTAGAGATATTAAAATATAGAAAATTATCTCTACACTAAAATTGATGAATGACGGTACCATGAGTAGAGCAAGCTAGATATCAAAAGTACTAGTGGGTGGGGCACTGTGGCTCATGCCTGTAATCTCAGCACTTTGGGAGGCCAAGGCAGGTGGATCACCCGAGGTCAGGAGTTCGAGACCAGTCTGGCCAACATGGTGAAACCTCATCTCTACTAAAAATACAAACAAATTAGCTGGGTGTGGTGGTGCACACCTGTAATTCCAGCTACTCACGAGGCTGAGGCAGGAGAATTGCTTGAAATAGGGAGGCGGAGGTTGCAGCGAGTCGAGATCACACCACTGCACTCCAGCCTGAGCAACAGAGTAAGACTCAGTCTCAAAAAAAAAAAAAAGTACTAGGGATTATAGTGCAATTTCAGATAGAGGGTGGACAGGGAGGACCTCCTTGAAAAGTTAACATTTGAGCAAAGACTTGAAATTCTTGGGGAGTAAGGAGTACAGATATCTGGATAAAGAGTTTGTGTATTAGGGTCCTTCAAAGAAACAAAACCAATAGGAGAGGTACATATATCCTTGTGTGTATATATATATGTGTGTGTGTGTATGTACACATACACATTTATCTGTTTCTATATATACATATATATCCTTATCTGTTTGTGTATATCTCCATATATGTAAGTTTATATATAATTTATATAAAAGGAGATTTTACATATTGTATATCTAAGAGATATCTATATCTTTACATATATAATACATATATATATACACATATATATATGGAGATTTATTATGAGGAATAATCACATGATTAGGAGGCTGAGAAGTCCCAGAATCTGCCATCTGCAGACTGAAGAGGCAGGAAAGCCAGTGATATAATTCCGTATGAGTCCCAAGACTTGAGAACCAAGGAGACAGTGGCGTGAATCCGAGTCCAAGGGCTAGAGAAGATGAGGTGAAGCATCCCCGTTCAGGCAGGTAGGCAGGGGCAGAAAGGGGTGAATTCTTTCCTCTGCCTTTTGTTCTATTTGAGTCCGCCTCCATGGACTGAAAGATGCCCCAATGGATTGGGGAAGGCTCTCTGCTTTACTGAGTCCACGAATTCAAATGCTAATCCCATCTAGAAATGCCTTCACACACACACCCCAAAATAATGTTGAATCTGGGCATCCTGTATCCCACTCAGGTTGACACATTAAGTTAACCGTCACTGTTTGCATATGCCAGGGACAAGTGGATAAATATCCCAGGCTAGGGTATGCTGGCATCGTAGAAGAACATTGGGACGCCCACGTGTCTGGACCAAGCCAGTGTGGAGAAGGGGAGAGATGCGGGCACGCTGGTTACCAGGGCCTTGTGAGCTGTTGTTGGGCCAGGTCTACTCTGCATGAGAGACCATGCTCTCACAGACGTGGAACACAGCAGCAGTGAATCTGAAGCATGTTTTTCTAGGACCACCCTGCCTGCCTGCCGGGCTGAGCATATCAGAGGGTCGAGGAAGGAAGCAGACCAGTTCCAAGGCTGTGCAGTGATTGGGGCGAGGGTGTTTCAGCTGGACAAGACCACCACAGTGATGAAAAGTGGTCAGATCCTCGGTGTGTCCTCAAAGTAGAGCCACTGGGAGTCCCTGACACATTAAACATGCTTCTTTCCAAGTTCTTTAGAATAAAAAATAGGGGGCTTCTTTTTCAATGAGTGACACAAGTTTCAAACTTCAAAACAGGTTTTTCTTCAGAAGTAAGAATTATAATTTTATTTCCTTATGCATTTCCCGAATAGGCAAGGGAATTGGAGGCAGCAGCATCACAGAGATAAAATTCGAGTGCATTTTACAACATCAATAATTGAGTAAAGGAGTGTAATAACTTGTGCTGGAAGAGGGGTAATCAGATGTCATACTTCAGGCCAGGAGATGAGCTCATTTCAGAAATCAGCCAATATTTTGTTTGTTTCTTCTTTTTTATCATCTCTCAAATTTCTGGAATACAGACAGAATTCTTATTTGGAAATATTACTGTGTGAAAGTCTTAGTAACATTTCAGTATTTCAACAAGGAAGGCCCCTTAAATAAAGCTCAAGGTGACTCGTTATAGGGAGAATTCCCCACCAGTAGGCACAGGTGAGCGCTGGTTTTGGGATTGAGCTATTATTTCTTTTCACCTCATTTAACCCTCCTGGGGCCCCCTGTGTGGCAGATTGTTATTCCCTTGTCAGAGGTAAGGAAACAAAGTTTCTGGTGGCTTAGGCAACGTGCACAAATGGCATTTAGATTTAGGTGTGCCCCACTCCGAAAGCCAAGCTAATTTGGCACCATGGTGTGCCTGCTCCTGACCGAAACTTTCTGAGTTCCAGCTCAATGCAATTCAACATCTCGGCATTGCCACCACATAACCATCTGATCTCAGGCAAGTCACTTACACTTTTCATTTTGACTTTCCAAAGTTTGCTTCTGTGAATTTTCCCCTCTGTTTGAGACATGAGGAGATCAATATTTGCCCTGACTTCCTAGCAGAATTATTTTCTGTAAACAAAGTGATGTGCTAGATATGTGAGAAATTTAGAAACAGAGAAATCAGTATTGGAGAAGAAGAGTCCAGTTAACTTTTAATGAACCATGGCCAGTCTGAGAACAAGAGCTGCCTCAAGGGCTCTCTGAATTTTAATGCAGGACTTTTTGTTTATGTACTTTCTTGGGGAGAAGTTCCACGGTTTTCCACGTCCTCCAAAAAAGTTTAGCAATTGCCTTGAGCCATCTTGCAATTTCTTTTTTCTTTCTTCTCCCACCACAAATAGGCTCTGAGGCTCCTCTGTTGCCACTTAATAGCTTAGGGGTCTGTGTGGCTCTCAACAGTGTCCCAGCAGAGCGGCTGGAGTGGCCCCCTTTCCTGCCATCATCCACACAATCTACTCTGAGGATTTCCCTCTTGTGCAGTGCACAGCTGGGCAGCTTGACCAGTGACCCAGAGTCCATTCCCGCTCTCCCTCTACCGCTGTACACCTGCTGTCTTTAAGGCACAGGTCGAGGACTGATGAGGTTTGAAAGAACCCATAGGGTAATGAGGAACGTGGAGCATGTGCAAGGAGACCTGACATAGAATTTATGCCCTGCGTTGTGAGGATGGAT
Source organism: Homo sapiens (assembly GCF_000001405.40). NCBI lineage: Eukaryota > Metazoa > Chordata > Mammalia > Primates > Hominidae > Homo > Homo sapiens. The sequence goes on along the minus strand of NC_000007.14, from coordinate 153,801,318 downwards.
GGTCATTTTTGACTTTCCAAAATTGACTTCCTTGATTCCTTCTCATGAGTGATAGATACATTTCTTTGGTGTTGAAACTGTGAAAACTGAAACACACATGATTTTTATAATTAGAAACTAGAACATTGTCTAAAAAATTGTGTGATGCACCCAAATATTAAGGTGATTAGATAAGCGCACACAGGGCTTTGAAATTCCGAAATGTGCTGCCTGTTCTGTGCCATTGGCCACTGATTGACTTTCTGCATTTGCTGCAGTTTATACATAAGCTCTACAAACAGCTTAAACTAAGCAATAGAAAATAATTTAAAAAATTGATATGTAATTGTATATATTCTTGAAGTACATGTGATGTTTTGATACTTGCATGCAACATGTAATGATCAAATCAGGGTAATTAGCATATCCATCACCTCAAACATACACCATTTCTTTGTGTTGGGGATACTTCAAATCATTTCTTCCAGCTATTTTGAAATATATAATAAAGTTTTGTTAACTGGGCTGGGTGCTGTGGCTCATGCCTGTAATCCCAGCACTTTGGGAGGCCAAGGAGGGTAGATCACTTGAGGTCAGGAGTTCAAGACCAGCCTGGCCAACATGGCGAAACCCCGTCTCTACTAAAAATACAAAAATTAGCCTGGCACGGTGGTGCATGCCTGTAGTCTCAGCTAGTTGGGAGGCTGAGGCAGGAGAGTGGCTTGAACCTGGGAGGTGGAGGTTGCAGTGAGCCGAGATGGTGCCGCTACATTCCAGCCTGGACAACAGAGTTAGATTCCATTAAAAAAAAGTTTCGTTAACTGTAGTCACTGTGCTGTTGAACATTAGAATGTAGTCCCTCATCTCATTGTATTTTTGCACCCATTAAGCAACCTCTCTTCATGTCCCCTCAACACCATTCCCAGCGTCTGTAACCAATATTCTACTCTTTGCCTTCATGAAATGAACTTTTTTAGCTCTTAAATATGAGTGAGACCATACAATATTTGTCTTTTTGTGCCCGGTTTATTTCAACTAACATGACAACCTATAGTTCCATGTGTGTTTCTGGAAATGACAGGATTTTATTCTATTTTATGGCTAACTAGTATTCCATTGTGTGTATATATATGGTATTTCTCTATCCATTCATTTGTTGATGGACACTTAGGTTGATGCCATATCTTGACTATTGAGAATAGTGCTGTAATAAAATGGGTGTGCAGATATCTCTTTGACATACCAATTTCTTTTGTTTTGGATATATTCCCAGCAGTGGGATTACAGGATCATATGACAGATCTATTTTTAGTTTTTGAGAACCCTCCATACTGTTGTCCACAGTGGCTGTGCTGTACTAATTTACCTTCCCACCAGAAGTGTACTAGCATTCCCCTTTCTGTGCATCTCTGCCAGATATGCTATTTTTTGTCTAAAAAGGAATACTTTAGGGTTCTTATAATATGCCTTGTTACTGTCACTTTTGATCTGTTTCATACAGCTCATGGTAAAATTGTATTAATAATTCTTATCTAAATTACAAATGCATAAATATTGGGATAATAGAATGAGACAGTTAATTCAGTCTCAAGAGTGTAAACACATTTTATTATAATTAATGATCACAGAAGAAAATATCTTTTTTAGAGGAAGTGGCAAATTTCAAACATTTTTGCAGAACTAAGCTTGCTACACACACATGGATGAGAAGTTTAAACTTCAATGAATTAATGAGGAAATGTTATGGGCTATAAAATGTAGAATCTGATGATCACTTCTTAGGTGATCAGGACAGCTGCAGTAGAGCGGGATGGTGTGTACATGGAGGCGGTGCAAGCTCTCCGGGAGCAGGGGCAGTGTCTGCTTTGTTCAGTCTGGAATCCACTGCCAGCACACAACAAACACTCAATAAATGCTCCCTCAAGGAAAAATGGGCGATTAGGAGCCACTCAGCTCAAAAATATGTCTTCATCGTACAAATTCCTTAGAAGTTATTTCTTTGCTTATAAGATTGAAGATGGGTATGGCTGACTAGTTCCATAAAAAATATATATATTTAGATAAATCAGTGAGTCTGAAAGATACCATGGAAGAGTCAAACAGAAATTTCTACTACATTCCATCAACTGTGAAGGTGAAGAATTTTTCTGTAGAAGAATTGAACATCTTCATTCATACCGTTGGCAGCTACCAGTAGCTATCAGTCTGTTTCATGCCCTAAAGCAGGGGTCCTTGACCCCCAGTACCAGTCCACGGCCTTGTCTAGGGCCGCACACCTCCTAGAGGAGGTGAGGGGTGGCCAAGTAAGCAAAGCTTCATCTGTATTTATAGCCACTCCCCATTGCTCACATTACTGCTGGAGCTCTGCCTCCTGTCAGATCAGCAGTGGCATTAGATTCTCATAGGAGCTGGAACTCTGTTGTGAACTACCCGTGTAAGGGATCTAGTCTGTGCACTCCTTATGAGAATCTAATACCTGATCCTTATGAGAATCTAATACCTGAAGATCTGTTGTCTTCCATCACCCCCCAGTGGGACTGTCTAATTGCAGGAAAACAAGCTCAGGGCTCCCACTGATTCTACATTATGGTGAGTTGTATAATTCTTTCATTTTATATTACAATGTAATAATAATAGAGATAAAGTGCACAGTAAGTGTAATGCACTTGAATCATCCCAAACCCATCACCTGCCACTCCATACCAGTCTGGTCCATGGAACAATTATCTTCAATGAAACCAGTCCCTGGTGCCAAAAATGTTGGGGACTGCTGCCTTAAGGAACACAATTTTACTTAGGGGTCCTCCACATCCCCTCGTAGCCAAGGGCCTCAGTGGAAGGGGCCCCATCTCCAGCCCCAAGTAGGTTGAATGAATCTCAGAGCCTTTGCCTGTGATTGCCGCTGGCATGTGCCTGAGGACTGGGCAGTGGGACAAGAAATAAAATCAGCTGGGGGATGGTAGAAGACATTTCTTTCTTCTAGGGAAAACCAAAGAACCAATATCTCTTCTTTGTCTAGCTGTTGGATGCTATGGGCTGAATTTCTGCATCCCCGAAACCTGCCTAAAATTTGTATATTGAATCCCTAACCTTCAATGCATTGGGAAGTGGGGCCTTTGGGAAGTAATTAGGTATAGACGAGGTCATGAAGGTGAGGCTCCCATGATGGGATTAGCGCCCTTCTAAGAAGATGGAGGGGGCTGGGCACGGTGGCTCACGCCTGTAATCCCAGCACTTTGGGAGGCCGAGGCGGGCGGATCAGGAGGTCAGGAGATCAAGACCATCCTGGCTAACATGGTGAAACCCCGTCTCTACCAAAAATACAAAAAAATTAGCTGGGCATGGTGACGGGCACCTGTAGTTACAGCTACTTGGGAGCCTGAGGCAGGAGAATGGCGTGAACCCAGAAGGCGGAGCTTATAGTGAGCCAAGATCTCGCCACCGCACTCCAGCTTGGGCGACAGAGCGAGACTCCATTTCAAAAGGAAGAAAAAAAAGAAGAAGAAGATGGAGGGACACCAGAGCTCCCTCTCTCTACCTTATGAGGATACACATGAGGTGGCCGCCTATAAGCCAGGAAGAAAGAATTCACCAAGAAGCATATCTGCTGGCACCTTGATCTTGGGTTTTCCAGCTTCCAGAACTGTGGGAAAAAAATGACTGCTGTTGAAGCCACCAGTCTGTGGTAGTTGGTTACAGCAACCCAAGCTAACACACTGGAAATTCAGGCTGAGTCAGCTTGCTAGAAGGCTGAGGATGAAGCCAATATTGAAATAGAAAGACACAACTGAGTCATTGAATCATATGAGCTTATTATTCTTCCTGTTTTTGACTTCCTCCTACAGTATATTATGAACTTTCTTGTTTTAGTCCAGTCTGAGTCAGAACTTTTGCATCATTGAGCTTAAGGCTTAATTAATATAATATCCTATTCCTCCTCCTTCTCCACACTCTCCATCCTTTTCTCCTTTCCTCCTCCCCTCTTTACTTTCCCCGTTTTCTTCTTCTCCTCTTCTTCCTTCATTTTTTACATCTGGTTGTTAGATAGTTCTTATTGTATAACAAATTACCCCCAAATTCAGTAGCTTAACACATCCCATAGTTTTTGTGGGCCAAGAATCGAGGTGTGGTTTAGTTTTATCCTGTGGCTCAGAGTCTCTTGAAAGCCTGTGATGAAAGTGTCAGCCAGAGATGCAGTCATCTCAGAGCTAAATGGGAATGATCCACTTTCAAGTTCCCTCATGTGACTGACGGCAGATCCCAGGCCCTTGGCAGTTGGTGTCATACACATTGTTCCTTGTCATGTGGGCCCCTCCACAGGGCAGCTTGCAACATGGCAGCCGGCTTCCCTTAGAATGAGTGAGAAAAAGAAAGAGGCAAAACAAGCCATAGTCTTCTTGTAACCCAGTTTTGAAGGTGGCATCTCTTCAACTCTGCCACGTTCTCTCTGCTAGAAGCAAGTCACTAAACCCAGTCCACACTCAAGTTGAGGAAACACACAGGGCTCCTGGGTATTTTACCCTCCTGGAATCCACATGTGATGATATACACGGAGTACTGCCAACTTAGGAAGCTGACCAGAGATTTTACTGTGGCTGCATTATGTAGGTATGATTGATTGTTTCATTGCTGGCCCATTGAACTCAGTCTCTAGGCCACCCACCCCCAGAGATCAGGTTGGTAACATGTGGCCTTTGTGCCACGTGTTATATTTTTAGCACAAATTATATTTGTAGCATAAAATACTAGGCATAGTCCCAGGGACCCACCGTAAATAACAAAAACACTCCTATCACTCAAGACATTTCAAGGGTTTAAAGGTTCACTTCCAGGAGCTGGAGACAAACACCAGGCTTCAATTTGGGCAAATCAAATCATTCACCAAACATCACATTAATATGGGTCATAAAAGAGCCAGAGGAGCACGTTAATATCAGATAAAGTAGATTTCAGAGCATATACTATTACCAGGGATACAGGGATCATTTCACAATGATATAGGTGTCAATCCCTCAAGAGAATATAATAACCCTAAATGTTTATGCACTTAATAGCAGAGCTTCAAACTACATGAAACAAAAACCGATAGATCTGCAAAGAGAAATGGAAAAATCTATCATTATAGCTATAGACTGTCATACCTCTCTCTCAATAATGGATAGAATAAGTAAACAGGGATGTAGAACACTAGAACAATAGGATCAACAAACCTGACCGACTTTTTATCACAGAGAACTCCAGCCAACAGCAGGAGAGCACACATCCTTCTCAGGTGTGCATGGATCACTCGCCACAGTAGACCCAATTCTGGGCCATGAAACAAGTCTCAATAAATTTAAAAGGGTTAAAGTCATGGGATGTATGTGATATGACTGTAATGAAAATAAATTAAACATTTATAACAGCAAGATCGCTGGAATATATCCAAATATTTGGAAACCAAATTATACCCCTTTAAATAATCTATATTTCAAAGAAGAAACAAAAAATGCAATCAAAGAAGAAATTTAAAAATTATAAAGAATTTTCAAGGGAATGAGAATAAAATCATACCACATTAATTTTGAGGGAGTCTTTTAAAGCAATTTTTAGAAGGAAATTTATTAAATGTCTACGTTAGAATAGAGCACAGGTTTCAAATCAACATCTTGGTTTCCATCTTAAGAAACTTAGAAAAAGAAAAGCAAATTAACATCAAAGGAAGTAGAAGAAAGGAAATAAAAGTTCAGGGTGGAAATTAATAAACTAGAAATTAGGAAAATAATGGAGAAAATAAATAAAACCAAAAGCTAGTTCTTTGAGAAGATCCATAAAATTAATAAAGTTCTAACCAAACTAAGCAGAGAAAATAGGTAAGACACAGCTTACAAATATTAAAAATAAAAGAGGTGGCATCACTATAGATTCTATTCTTTCTTTCTTTATTTTGAGATAGTCTCACTCTGTTGCCAGGCTGCAGTGCAGTGGCGCAATCCTAGCTCACTGCAACCTCCACCTCCTGGATTCAAGCAGTTCCCCTGCCTCAGCCTCCTGAGTAGATGGGACTAAAGTCATGTGCCACCACACCTGGCTAATTTTTCGTATTTTAGTAGAGACGGGGTTGCACCATGTTGGCCAGGATGGTCTCGATCTCCTGACCTCGTGATCCACCCACCTCGGCCTGCCAAAGTGCTAGGATTACAGGCGTAAGCCACTGCACCGGCCAGATTCTATAAATATTAAAAGGGTAATAAGAGAATATTAAGAAAATTTTAAGGGCACCTGACCTTCATGTGCCTGCTTGAGTCTCTTCCAAATGTACTTGTATTAGTCCATTTTCACGCTGCTGATAAAGACATACCCAAGACTAGGAAGAAAAGGAGGTTTAATTGGACTTATAGTTCCACATAGCTGGGGAGGCCTCAGAATCATGGCAGGAGGTGAAAGGCACTTCTTACATGATGGCGGCGAGAGAAAATGAGGAAAAAGCAAACGTGGAAACCCCTGATAAACCCATCAGATCTCACAAGACTTATTCACTATTATGAGAATAGCATGGGAAACACCAGTCCCCATGATTTAATTACCTCCTCCTGGGTCCCTCCTACAACATATGGAAATTCTGAGAGATACAATTCAAGTTGAGATTTGGGTGGGGACAGAGCCGAACCATATCATTCCATCCCTGGCCCTTTCAAATCTCATGTCCTCACATATCAAAACCAATCATGCCTTCCCAACAGTCCCCCAAAGTCTTAATTCATTTCAGTATTAACCCAAAAGTCCACAGTCCAAAGTCTCATCTGAGACAAGACAAGTCCCTACCGCCTGTAAGCCTATAAAATCAAAAGTAAGCTAGTTAACTTCCTAGATACAATGGAGGTATCAGTATTGGGTAAATATAGCTGTTCCAAATGGGAGAAATTGGCTGAAAGAAAGTGGTTACAAGGCCCATGCAAGTCTGAAATCCAGCAGGGCAGTCAAATTTTAGGGCTCCAAAATGATCTCCTTTGACTCCCTGTCTCACATCCAGGTCACGCTGATGCAAGAGGTGGGTTCCCATGGTCTTGGGCAGCTCCACTCCTGTCGCTTTGCAGGGTACAGCCTCCATCCCAGCTGCTTTCACAGGCTGGCACTGAGTGTCTGCAGCTTTTCCAGGTGAACGGTGCAAGCTGTTGGTGGATCTACCATTCTAGGGTCTGGAGGACAGTGGCCCTCTTCTCACAGCTCCACTGGGAGGTGCCCTAGTAGGGACTCTGTGTGGGGGCTCCGATCCCACATTTCCGTCTGCACTGCCCTAGCAGAGGTTCTACATGAGTGCCCTGCTCCTGCAGCAAACTTCTGTCTGGGCATCCAGGCATTTCCATACATGTTCTGAAATCTAGGTGGAGGTTCCCAAACCCAAGTTCTTGACTATTGTGCACCTGCCGGCTCAACACCAAGTGGAAGCTGCCAAGGCTTGGGGCTTACACCTTCTGAGGCTACGGCCCGAGTTCTACATTGGCCCCTTTCAGCCATGGCTGGAGTAACTGGGACACAGGGCACCAAGTCCCTAGGCTGCACACAGTACAGGGACCCTTTTCTTCTAGGTCTCTGGGCCTGTGATGGGAGGAAGTGGCCCAGGAAACCATTTTCTTCTAGGCCTCTGGACCTGTGATGAGAGGGGCTACCATGAAGACCTCTGATGTGGCCTGGAGACATTTTCCCCATTGTCCTGGGGATTAACATTTGGTTCCTCATTACTTATGCACATTTCTGCAGCCAGCTTGCAGAAAATAGGTGTTTCTTTTCTATCACATTGTCGGGCTGCAAATTTTCTGAACTTTTATGCTCTGCTTCCCTTATAAAACTGAATGTCTTTAACAGCACCCAAGTTACCTCTTGAATGTTTTGCTGCTTAGAAATTTCTTCTGCCAGATACCCTAAATCATCTCTCTCAAGTTCAAAGTTTCACAAATCCCTAGGGCAGGGGCAAAATGCCACCAGTCTCTTTGCTAAAACACAACAAGAGTCACCTTTGCTCCAGTTCCCAACAAGTTCCTCATCACCATCTGAGACCACCTCAGCTAGAACCTTATTGTCCATATTGCTATCAGGCTTTTGGTCAAAGCCATTCAGCAAGTCTCTAGGAAGCTGCAAACTTTCCCACATTTTCCTGTCTTCTTCTGAGCCCTCCAAACTGTTCCAACCTCTGCCTCTTACCCAGTTCCAATGTCACTTCCACATTTTCAGGTATCTTTTCAGCAATGCCCCAATGTACTGGTATCAATTTACCGCATTAGTTTGTTTTCATGCTGCTGATAAAGACACACCCAAGACTAGGAAGAAAAAGAAGTTTAACTGGACTTATTGTTTCACATGGCTGGCGGGAGGCCTCAGAATCATGGTGGGAGGTGAAAGTCACTTCTTACATGGCGGTGGCAAGAGAAAATGAGGAAGAAGCAAAAGCAGAAACCCCTGATAAACCCATCAGATCTTGTGAGACTTATTCATTATCATGAGAATAGCATGGGAAAGACTGGCCCCCATGATTCAGTTACCTCCCCCTGGGTCCCTCCCACAACACATGGGACTTCTGGGAGATACAATTCAAGTTGAGATTTGGGTGGGGACACAGCCAGACAATATCAGTGCTTTTCTTTTTGTCCTGTTCTAAAGCCTTTTAAAATAAACTTCCAATCCTGCTCTGAAAAAAAAAAAGAACAACTTTAAGAACAAGTCTGTGACAAAATTCAACAATTTCAACAAAGTGGACAAATTTGTTGAAAGACAAACACTGACAAAATTCACTCAATAAGAAATGTATATTTGAGTAGCCTTACATCTATTAGAGAAATTGAATTTGTTGCTAAAAAAGCCTTTTCACAAAGAAAACTACAGGCCCAAATGGCTTCAATGGTGAATTTCCCTAAGCACTTAAGAAATAAATATTACCAATTCTACACAAAGTCTTCCAGTCAAACTATTGCTGAAACTAAACAACTAAATAATGTTATTGGGTCAGAATACTTATTATTGTTAAGATGTTGATTCTCTCCAAATTGATCAGTAGATTCAACCTAATTCCCATCTAAGTCCTAGAAGATATTTTTGTAGAAATTGATGAGGTGATTCTAAAATTCATATGGAAATGGAAATGAAGAGGATGTGGAACAACAGTGAACATCAACATAGGAACATCTCACAAAGTTACTGTAGTGTGAAAGAAGCAAATAATGAAAGAATAAAGTATGATTCTAGCAATTTAAAGTTTATAAATAAGAGTAGTATGTGCATGTGTCTGTGTGTACAATAAAAATATTAGGGAAATCCTTATCACAAAAGACAAGATAATAGATTTCTCTCTGGGGAAAGACTCCTTGAACAGCACTGTTTGTGGAGAGCACATGGGCAAACCCAGAATTTTCCTGGTAAACAGATCCTCAGTCTGCCATTCAGACTGGAGATACACATGGTCCCCACCTTAAAATCACTTGGTACAAATAATGTCTACACAGAAATAGCCTTGTCTCCCTCTCATTTGTATTCACAGCTTCTTCATGACCTCTGTCTTAATTTCAGTTATATTATAGGACTAAGTAGGCTTCTGTCTGCTCTTATAAGAACCAAATTATTATATATAGCATTGAAAATGAGTTTTTAGCTGGACGCAGTGGCTCATGCCTGTAATCCCAGCACCTTGGGATGCCAAGGCGGGTTGATCACCTGAGGTCAGGAGTTCGAGACCAGTCTGACCAACATGGTGAAACCGGGTCTCTACTAAAATACAAAATTAGCTGGATGTGGTGGTGGGCACCTGTAATCCTAGCTATACGGGAGGCTGAGGCAGGAGAATAGCTTGAACCACCTGGGAGGCAGAGGTTGCAGTGAGCCAAGATCCTGCCATTGCACTCCAGCCTGGGAAACAATGAGACTCCATCTGAAAAAAAAAAAAAAGAAAGGAAGGAAGGAAGGAAGGCAGGAAGGGAAAGAAAAGAAAATCAGTTTTCAAACTCAGAGCTTCCTGGAGATGTGAATAGGTATGGATTTGTGCACTGCACTGCAAAAATCTATCGATAAGATTAAGTCCCTTTGCCATAAAACAAAGTGTCAGTGACATTGCATGGAACGCTCTCAGGTGGAACACTAATAACATGATATAGACGTAGTCAGTCTTTTCTAACTTCTAATTAGTATACTACGTTAAGAGTATCAATGAAACCCCAACAAAAATACACGGCAACAAAACACATATAATTTCCCAAAATATTTCTGAGCCTTTTATAACAAATTAACTTGGCACAAAGATGAATAAAAGATTGTCTATAATAATGAACAGAACTGCATTCCACTATATCATGAAAAGTCAAACCACATGATTTCTCTTTTTCAATTTCTTGAGGCCTTTCTTTATCTCCTCGGGTCTTCCAAAATGACTAGTTGCTCCGTAGAAATGAACTCAAGGATTTGTTCACCAGACACCTTTGTTAGGAAAGCTCTTTGAGATTCCAAAATACTCTTCCGCCATTTCCTTCTCCATCTTCCTTCAAAAAGCCTTCCTCTAATTAAGTGATTACAGCTGAGCTTTATAACACTATGAGGAGAAATAAGTCACTCTTCTGTCTTTTACAAAAATGGACACGACAGATCATGTTTTCAATATTCTTTTGTTCACATACTTTACATTCTTCTGAATACCTCTCCGGCTGTTTCATGTATATCATCAAATCACGATTATGAGGAAGGACTAATGTCAGTATCAACGGAAACATTTTACAACAGAAAGAGCAAGCTTTAGGCATTCAATATTTGCTAACCTAATGTTTACTGAAGTTTTCAGCAAACCTTATGAAGTCTTCTCTTAGGAGACTTAAAGCCAAATACAATTAAACTAATGGAGCCACAGGAAACTCGGGGATCTTATTGAATTCAATAATAAAGATGCTTTTAAAAACATGTCATATAATTGCCAGTTTATACTTTTTAATAATTATATAGCACAATGACAGAAATTTATTTTATAAAAATTAGTTACTGAAATTATTTGTTCATTTAGTAGTTATTTTTCCCATCCTACTTGGATAATATCCCTAGAGGTCAACACAAATTCTCTAGATGCTCCTATATTTTAACATAGCTTCAGTTGACCTTTGAAGATTATATATTGTCTCCAAGATCTTTTAAAGTTGTAGAGAACTGAAAGCACACCCGGACTTTTAAGAGCAAACATATTTTCAGTCATAGTTTTTATTACCTCATTTATTTTATAAAAAATAGTTACTGAAATTTATAAAAGTTAGTTACTGAAATTATTCATTTTGTAGTTAACTTATTTTTAGTTCATAAAAATTAGTTACTTAAATTATTTATTCATTTTGTAGTTAACTAATTTTTTCCATCCGACTCAGATAATATCCCTAGAGGTCAACCCAAATTCTCTAGATACTCCTGTATTTTACCATAGATCCAGCTGACCTTTGAAGAAGATTATATATTGTCTCTAAGATCTTCCCTAAGTTATAGAGAAATGAATGTACACCCGTCCTTTTAAAAGTAAACATCCTTAATGATAGTTGCCACTACCTCATTCCATGTCATAACAAAGGCAATTATGTTGACAATACAGTGGTAAAAGTCCCAGTTCCAGTATGAAAACACTTCCTCATTATTTCTACTTCAAAACTTTATAATTTTCTAAGGTGTGATATCTCTGTTAATTAAGGTGATTTTCTTCTTTCTCTCATCAATACAAAAGCTTCTCACTTATTATTCATTATACCATTACTTTGTAGTCTAGCATCCAGCTGTGCCTGTACATTTTATATGCAAGTGCTTCTTGCTTAAGAATAGCTTCTGATTGTCTTATTTCTCATAAATCCAGTGTTATTTGCCATAGGTAGATAAAAACATCTGACTACCTCATTAGGTATTCAGGTATGGTTGTGCAAAGTCATTTTCATAATGAATAAATACTGATATATTTTTATGTATCTGTCATATTGTAGATAGACAATTACATTGATTCTTGAAAATTATATATGTAGGTAGCTTTATTATCCATCAATTTTATTTAAGGATAATAAAGGGGACATTACAAATTATGTTTCTTCTTGGATTGGATCTAAGATAACATTGATTATGAGACACAACAAATTTTATGTTATAACATTTACAAAAACACACTGCAATTAAATTAGGACACAATGCCTTATCACCACTTGAAATTTTGGACACAACATCATCTTCCAAGCCAGCAAGAGCATTAGTGATACAGCATTTCTGAAAGGCTGCTCCACTACTGACACCTCGATTTTCTTCCAAGAGCCAGCAATAATTTTGGCAGTTTCTTGGTCTTACTGGAGGTGTCCATGGAAGATTTTCAGGTAACAAACAGGAATACTTTTTTTTTTTTTTTTGAGACAGACTTTCGCTCATGTTGCCCAGGCTGGAGTACAGAGGCACGATCTCATCTCACTCCAACCTCTGCCTCCTGGGTTCAAGCAATTCTCCTGCCTCAGCCTCCCGACTAGCTGGAATTACAGGCATCTACCACCATGCCTGGCTAATGTTTTGTATTTTTAGTAGAGACAGGGTTTCACCATATTGGTCAGGCTGGTCTCGAACTCCTGACCTCAGGTGATCCATCCGCCTTGGCCTCCCAAAATACTGAGATTACAGGCGTGAGCCACTGCACTCTGCCAGGAACACATTTTTAATATGAGTTGAGACCCATACACATGTAGTTACCACAATCTACTGCCCTTAAAGTTATGGCAGTATGAACTCCTTTGACTAGGTACAAACATGTACAGTCAATGACAACTGTGTCACACCAGCCAATGTGGACTGTGAGATGCCATCGATTGTATAATTTTATGTTAAAATGTCAACCAATGAATTGTGGCATTGCATAAAGTGGGCAATGAAACTGATAAGTTTTTGAGCCACTGAGCTAATCGAATTCTTTTTATCTAACTCTTTCTTCAGTGAAACTTTTGCACGTATGAGTAACTGTTCAGAAAGTCTACAGACGACTTAATTTTGAACAGGTCATTCAGTTGGCAGCAGCAGACTACAGTTTACCAAATGCTACAGAAGGCCAGTGGATCTGTGCCTCCAGATTCAAACAAATTCTTCTGGGGACTTTTCTGGCACATGGCTGGATGTGTCCCAAAATGTAGAAAGAAATCTTTTTTTCCCAAACCAGTCTACAAGCTTTAATACAGTCATTGACTATATTGAGGTTTTCAGATTTAATGTCTACAAAATAACCTAGAATATTATGAAAATATTCTCCATGTCTTGAAGAACTTAGAATTTCTCTTTCCTTTTATAAAAGAAAATCTGATGAAGGTAGAGATGATTTATTGCCTTGAGTCTAGCCAGTCTGATGAGGACCAGTCCCGAACCATTAATGTGTGAATAATATATTTCTCCTTCAACTGCTCTACCTTCTAAGGTGTCCACTAGAGGTTCCCGTAAGAAATACCCTTTCAGTTAAGATCCTTCCAGAAAGATAGACACAACAGGAAAAAAAAAAAAAAGAAATTGTAAATCACTATTAAAATCAATGCCTACATAAACCACAGTAAACCAGCTTTTCTTTTTTTCTTATTTTATTTTTATTGTTTTAGAGACAAGTTCTCACCGAGACTGAAGTCATGACTCACTACAGCCTTAACCTCCTGGACTCAATCAATTCTCCCACCTTAGCCTCCCAAGTAGCTAGACTAGAGGGGCGTACCACCACACATGGCTACAATTTTATTTTTTATTTTTGTAGAGGCAGGGATCTCGCTATGTTGCCCAGACTGGTCTTCAATTCCTGGCCTCAAGAAATCCTCCCTGCTTGGCCTACCAAAGTGCTGGGATTAGAGCTAGGCATAAGCCACTGTGCTGGGACTCTGATGGGATTTTTACATGTTAATGTATAATTATTAAAGAAAAATAAAATGCTTTTCTTAACCACATTGCAGGTACAAAGAACAGCATCTCTGGAGAACGACTGTTAGGGTTTAGATATTATACTGCTGCCTTTTTTTCTTATTATGATAAATATCTGTTTACAAGCATTTTAATATTTACCAAATTACTTTTTTCAAGACACATTTCTTAAAATGGAAATCTTCCGTGGCCGGGCGCAGTGGCTCATGCCTGTAATCCCAGCACTTTGGGAGGCCGAGGCGGGTGGATCACGAGGTTAGGAGATCAAGATCATCCTGGCTAACACGGTGAAACCCCATCTCTACTAAAAATACAAAAATTAGCCGGGCGTGGTCGTGGGCACCTGTAGTCCCAGCTACTTGGGAGGCTGAGGCAGGAGAATGGCGTGAACCCGGGAAGCGGAGCTTGCAGTGAACTGAGATCGCACCACTGCACTCCAGCCCGGGCGACAGAGCGAGAGTCCATATTAAAAAACAAAAACAAAAACAAAAAAAAGGAAATCTTCCCCTTCCTATGTTTTTTTACATAAAGTGCTAAATTCATTTCTAGAATGTTTGCCATTTTTTTACTTCCCTGACCAGTAGTGAGACTTTGTTTCTTATGCTGACCAGAATATTAGTATACATATAAAAAGAATGATTTGCCCAAGCTGATGGGCCAAAATAGTAGTATATCTTTTTTTTTTTTTTTTTTTTTTCTGAGACGGAGTCTCGCTCTGTCGCCCAGGCTGGAGTGCAGTGGCGCGGTCTCGGCTCACTGCAAGCTCCGCCTCCCGGGTTCACGCCATTCTCCTGCCTCAGCCTCCCGAGTAGCTGGGACTACAGGTGCGCGCCACCACGCCCGGCTAATTTTTTTGTATTTTCAGTAGAGACGGGGTTTCACGTGTTAGCCAGGATGGTCTCGATCTCCTGACCTCGTGATCCGCCCGCCTCGGCCTCCCAAAGTGCTGGGATTACAGGCGTGAGCCACTGTGCCCGGCCAGTAGTATACCATTTTAATGTATATTATTTTAATTACTAGGGATGTGAACATTTTTATAGTGTTCTTGTCACCTGAAGTATTGTTTTGTGAATTTATGTTATTTGCATGCTTCCACGTGGTCATATTTGATATGCAATCCCTCATTTACTTACATTAATGTTTTAACTAGTATTTCTAGTCAGATGTCAGATGTCATTAAAACCACCAACAGAAGGGTTAATATATAAGCAGATTGAAATATAAATATTGTAAAAGAGAAATAAAAATGATGTAAATGACTAGCAAGAACTCTCAAAAGAACCATCTGAAAACCTATTAGTCATGGTCTAAGTCAGCTCAGTACATGGCCAATTATAAAATAAATGCACAAAAGACAATGCTGTCCTAGCAAATGTATCCAGCAGATAAAATATGTCGGTCTTAGCAAACATAAGCAGTAGATAAACTATTACATTTGAAATAACAAATATTTAAACACTTGGCTCCTATACATTTGTTATTTATTTCCATTAGAAGAAAATATTCAGGTTCTACTATTCGACTGAAGATAGAAAAAAAAAAAACAGTTTTAAAAATAAAAAGACAGGCTGGGCAACATAGCAGGAGCCCATCTCTAAAAACGAAAAAAGGAAAACTTAGCTAGGCTTGGTAGCACACACACCAGTAGTCCCAGGTACTAGGGAGGCTGAAGTGGAAGGATTACAATTGGTTGAGACCAGGATTCAAAGGTACAGTGACCTTAGGTGGCATCACTGCACTCCAGCCCAGCCTGGGCAACAGAGCAAGACACTGTCTCAGAAAAAAAAGTATATATATAGTACCCATTTCCCAATGAGGGAACTCAAAATTGATTTGTGGGGCACTACCATCATAAAATTAAAGAGGAAATATTTTACAAATTTTAAAAAATATAGCATAGTAAATTCGGAAAAATGAAAAATGGAGTAGACCTAGAAAATGCTTGAAAAAGATCAACAAATAGAAAAGGTAAGAGCTAGGGGATGAGATTACCCCTATAAAATACTAAAATTGTGTATAATTGATTCAGTCAACAAATGTGTATTGGATCCCCTTGTGCCAGACCCTGTTCTGGACAATTGTGATGTATCAGTGAACAACACAAACAGCCCTGCCCTCATGGAGCTTACAGTCTAGCGATAGACAAAATAACATGCTGGTTACACTAGAATGGACACCAAAAGGGAGCAGAGCAGAACGTGCAGAAACAGAAGTAGTGAGACACGGGGGTTTGTGGCAGTCCATGATAACCAGCTCTTTCCTCGTTACTAAGTGTCCCTCCTGAGGATCTAAGTTCATTCCAGTTCCCAACCAAGCATCACCAACAGATCAAAAACAAACAAACAGAAAAACAGTAACAACAGGGATGACAAGAAAACCCTATAATCTACTATTGATTACTGTGGATTTGTTAGCTGCATTTATGCATTACCTGTAAACTGAATGTAGTTATAACTGCATTCTCGCCCCAGCAACCTGGTTAATTGGGAATTAGCTAAATGCTACAAAAGAGGTTATTTTGCAATAATTAAGGATGCTTATTCAGTCTTCAATTTTGGTCTGATATTGTAACAGCTTACTTTAAATTGTGTTATTCAAATATTACAAATAAGAAAAAATTTGTATCCACTTTATACCATTCCCTACCTGTCTGTTGCCCATAAAATTCAGCTTTATGAAGAAGAAAACCCACCAGTCTTTTTTTGGGAGGTCTATTAATAATGGACCACTAGATCTTTTCAGACTCCTACAGCATATCATTAAAAATCCAATGTTCCATCAATTACAGATGGCGATTTTTATGAGCTTCACTGCAATTTAACTCTGCAGGTGTTTAAGATTTAAAATGAAAGTCATAAGGCATATCTTCACCTGAAATTAAGCCATTTGATCACACTATGTCATCCAAAACTTATTCTTCTAAAACAAGAAGAACTAAAACATTCAGGACTATCAAATGTCTACCTTTCAAACAATTTAATTCTTTGCAATGATATAAATTATTCTAGGCATAATGCTAACTAAATGTTAATGGACAAGGCTGAATAAACTAAAAGTTAAAAAATAATATTCTTTATCATTTTAACTATCATGTGATTCCGAATTCAAGAACTCCATCTTCTACAATTAAATTTATGCTAAGCACAGCAAATACATATTTCTGTTTTCAGATTGACGAATTAGGGTTTGCAGAACAGGATAGATTACATGAGGGCAATGTTCTTTGCAAAATGCTGCTTGCACATTTATTATGTTTGTTGATGAACTTTAATTTTAAATGCCACATTAGATGTACAACAAGAAATGGAAAACTCCATTTAATTTACTTACTGAGCACTAATTGTATTATCTTATATTGTTTTAAATTCCAAGCTAAATGGCAAACCAACATGTATAGGGTAACTACTGTGTTCCAGGTATAGCATTAGGGGCTAACACACACATTATGGATTCTTTCCCTTTGTAAATATGACTATGAGATTCCTCCATGTTGCCACATGTAGCTATGCAGTATTCTAATGTATGAAAAATACTACAGTACATTTGTCCAGTCTACTTCGATTAACATCAACATTGTTTCCAACTTGGGGCTCCTATAACAATGTTGCTGTGAATATTCTATCCACTTCTCTTGGTGCTTATGTGTGCAGTTGGCAGTGAAATTACTGGAAGGTAGGGTATGGACATACTCAGTTTTAGTCAATAGTGACAGTTTTCAAAATAACTGTATGAATTACTCTCTGATCATCAGCACATGTAAGTTTTTATTGTCATTTTAAAAGGGTTTGGGTAGTAAAAGGTGACAAACATTTTTCAACTTCCATATCTTTACATCTAATATAGATTTTATGACATGCCCAAAGAAAAGAAAAAGCTTATCAGTCAGAAACACCTGAATGTACATTTACACTGTGATATGCTTTGGCTCTGTCCCCACCCAAATCTCACGTTGAGTTGTAATCCCCATAATTGTGTCAAGGGTGAGACCAGGTGGAGGTAATTGAATTATGGGTGTGGTTCCCCCCAGGCTGTTCTTGTGATAATGAGTGAGGCTCATGAGATCTGATGTTTGTAAGTGTCTGACATTTCCCCTACTTGCTCTCATTCTGTCTCCTGCTGCCCAGGGAAGAGGTGTCTTCCGCCATGATTGTAAGTTTCCTGGGACCTCCCCAGCCATGTGGAACTGTGAGTCAATTAAACTTCTTTTCTTTATAAATTGCTCAGTTTCGGGTATTTCTTCATAGCAGCGTGAGAACAGACTAATACACACTATTTCTTGCTTTGTGTCTGTGGACATGTCTAATATGCTCTGCATACTACACTTTACACTGGCTTTGTAAAGGTCTCGTCAGTTTCCCTGCTTCTCCTTGTTCAGCGAAGTTTAATTTCACAAAGTAAAGATAAACCATCCCTTAACTCTCAGCACATCACCTGCAGGCCACATTCCGCATTTCAGCAACTACCTCAGAGCCAGGCAGCAGAGTGGTGGTCTATACAAGTATCGCACATGGCGTTAAAAATCCCAGGCTGCAGTGGTCTCAGCTCTCTTGTCCAGTTGGTTTTCCTCTGTTCCATGTCTATGGACCTTGACTGGAACCTGGGTAACCATAGAGTAAGACTAGTAACAACACAGAGCGGAGAGATGCACAGGGCAAGAGGTGAATCTATCTCCATTCTTGAGAAAACACTCACACCACTAATGGTACACATAAACAGCTCCATTTTTATACAGGCAGGACAGCATGCTAGAGAGATATTAACACTTTTTTTCTTACCCTTCTTTCCTCACTCCTTCTCCAGCACATCTGTACTTGAAAAGCCAGCACTGAAAAACTATCATTTAGAACTATTTTGTTGAAAAGAATAGAAAACACAACCTACACAGAAAGGGCCCACACGCTAAGGGGGTTTGAGCTCACATAACTGCTTAAGTCTCACCCCACCAGTGCATTCCTTCATGTTTTGTTCAAGGCCGCTGCTCTCTTTCTCTGTGATGCTCTTGGTTCTGCCTGCCTCTAGTTGACAGCTTTGTCTTCACAGTGCCACGGTTCGCTTCCTTCATGGGAACTAAATGGATTCTGTTATTCTAGGCTTCCCACCTGCCCACCACAATATACAGAAGGAGAGAGAGCAGAAGGATGAGAGGAAAAGTCCTGTCATCTAAGATCTTTGGGCTATGCCTAAACCATAACATTGGGATTGTCAAGGACTGATTGGCTTAACTAGACCTGATCCCTTTGGTGTGATTAGGATATTATCGACTGAGAGGAATCATGGTCTCCCCAAAAGATGGGGCTGGGGTTAAACCCTCCCAAACAGCATGATGCCCATAAATGAGTGCACAGACGTTGAAGAGAAAACCATGGTGTCTACCACAGTGATCCTGATTGTTCCTTGTAGATTGAATAGTCAATATTAAATGTCAGGCGTGTGTGTGTGTGTGTGTGTGTGTGTGTGTGTATTCTCTGGGGGAAAGGGCCAAAACTTTTATCAGATTATGATAGAAGTTTATAAATTTAAAATAGTTAATAATCACTGCTTTATGACTTGATTTAAAACAGTAACAACATCTCATAAATTAAGCTAACATTCAAATATCTTTAAGATGACTGAATTTGCTTATTTTCATCAAGTGTCATCTTTTTCTATATAAAGGAATGATACACTGTGATTCTGAGGCAAGTTCATAGGAGTGGTTAATCTAACCCTGCTATCAATCTTTCACGGTACCCTCAAATTGTTTCTCATCACCAATCACCATGCATCTCATCAATATAAAGGGTGACTCCTATGAGGACAGCAGAATAAGGGGGAGCCAATCTACCTTCCCTCTCTCCTAAGATGAGCAGAAAAGCTTTCACAGGGAAAACTATTCTCCTATGCCTGACATCTCTCACATGGACCGATCTGGAAAGAAGAGAACAGAGTGTAAGTAGTGTGCCTGTTCCTACAGAAGAACCACAACCAGCTGTTCCTTACGGGGCCCAGTCAGATAAAAAGCAAGTTAGTGCAGCTCTCACAAGAATATCTTCTATTGCTAATCACATATTACTGCCCAATGCTGCAACTGCTCTGCGTAACAACTTCCCTTGCAGTCCTGGGGAATTTTGATCTCGGATTAGTGAAGAATTGAAGCAAATTTCAGGGCTATTTCTCATCTCCGACTGAAACTGTGAAACGAAGGCAATAGGAAGTCAGTCCAGAGCTGGTGGAAGAGCTCAGCCTGCACAGGCAAGGTGAGAAAGGGGCCCAGAAGTCATCTTTATGCTTCATTATCGTGACGTGCATAGATAATTCATTAATCTGCATTAAAAACTCTCTCTTCTAAAACAATTTAGAGAATACACCTAAGTGACTAAAACGGTCCAGTCCTCATCAATGCCTCCCTGACAAATGTTTCAAGAAGTAGTTATAATAAATATGTCAGGGAAATTTATCATGACAAACACATCCATTTTTTTAAAAAATTCATTCTTTAGCAGTTTGAAATGATATTTATTGATTTTCTCCAAACAGAAAGTTACAAGGAGACACCAGGTTGTGATCCATCCCATGAGAAAACATTCTTATTGAAGGCCCACATGTTTGTGTTATAATCCAAATGGGAACTTGGAGGACCAGAAGGTAGAATTAATCAGGATAAAAAACACGTTCTGGCCACTGTAACATTTCCTTCTGGACTAACTCCCAATCCAGATCCTCTCTCCATTCTTCTTACCAGCAGCCCACAGTGAAATTACTCCTCATTTTTCAACCCCCATATGCTCAGGGTTATTTACTCCTATTTTCCCCAGGGCCAATCCTCTCGCCAATCACAATACTTATCCCATCACTGTGTGTGTTAGAGCTTTGCCCAAGTACGTTCTTCAGATCCCAAAGTCCAAGGATGTTAATAGGTGTACAATAAATACTTGTTTAATAAATAAATGCCAAGTATGTGCTGTGAATTGTGTTTGTGTACCTGGCACCAACTTTATGCTGCTTTCATAAAGTTGATATCAAGAGGCTATTTAAAAACAAAAGAAAGGACTCATAGCTAAATAATTCTGGGAACCATTCGATTTGTTTTTAAAAAAAAGGTCAGTAGAGAAGCCTTTCTCAAACTATTTACAGGCATTGTACTTTATGTATTGCTGATTTCAAGAAGATTGAATAACCATGGAATCATTTCTCTATTTGAAGGAGTTATATCATGAGAATACTCTACAGGAACACAATATGAGCAATGCTGCTTTCTTGGTTTGCAAGACACTGTTCTCTTTTTTTGATTCTCAGCTTACTTCTCTGAACATTCATTGTTTCCATAAACACACCTTCTTTTGCTTGCTATTTCTTTAAATTATAACCAATTTTATGCTTGTCTTCTTATATATACTCTTCTCTGTACTCCTCCAAGCACCTGTGTTTTTTAACTCTTTGAAATAACTTTAGACATTACCCCAACTGGCATTGGGGTAAACAAATTAATTATATTTGTAAAAATGTTACAAATATAGGAGATAATTCGTACATATCCTTCATGTATCTTCTCTACCATTGACATCTTGTACAATCACAGCAGTTATCAAAGCCAAGAAATTAATGTTGCTCCAACAGTACTAACTAAAGAATTTATTTGGATTTTCCCAGCTGTTTCACTAATGTTCTTTTTCTGTTCTGGAATCCAACCCCCAGGGCCTACATTACATTTAGTAATCACGTCTTCTTCATCTCCTCTGATCTCTGATAGTTCCTCAGTCTTCCATGACCTAGATACTTTTGAAGAGTCCTGGTCAGTTATTTTGCCGAACGTCCCTTAGTTTGGGGTTGTCTGATGTTATCTCCTGACCAGATTTATTTATGTGGTTTTGGCCAGAATAACATAGAATCCATGTGCATTGTATCAGGAGGTATAAGATGTGGATGTATCTTAGTACTGACGAGTTTTACCTTGATCCCTTGGTTAAGGTGCTATCTGCCAGGTTTCTCCACTGGAAAGTTATTATCTTTCCTTAAGTAATTAATAAATAACCTGGGGGAGATCTTTTAGAATATGCAAATCTCTTATTTCTCCTTGAACTTTTGCTCACCAATTTTAGCATTAAGGGTGGATCCTGCTTGCAACAAATATAATTGAGTGTTCTAATTTTTTGGTTTGTTTCTGTTTTGCCTTTTCTTACTGATTATCTGACACCACAAGATACTTCATGCTTATCTTGAATTTTCTCTGCCCCAGTTCTGAACTCCACCACTTCCCCAAGGTACCCTAGTTCCTTCTATTGGAAAATGATATTTAAAATGTAAGATCTGATCTTTGTCTCTGTACTTTTGTTCTTTCCAGAACATTATATAAATGAAATAATAGAGTTCATAGCTTTTTGATTGTGGCTTTTTTCACTTAGCCTATTTTTTCCGAGATTCATCCATTTTGCTTCATGCATCAGAAATTCATTTCTTTTTGTAGCTGAGTAGTGTTCCACTGCATGAAAGTAACAATTTGTTCATCCGCTCACCTGTAGGTGAAGACTTCAGTTGTTTCATTTGGAATGACTATGAATAAAGTTGCTGTAAACAGTTGCATACAGGCCTGGTGTGTGCACAGTCTGTAGTTCTCTTGAGTAAATACTCAGGAATAGAATTACTGGGTCTATGGTAAAGGAATGTCTAACTTTACAAGAAACTGACAAACTGTTTTCCAAAGTAGCTGCTCCGTTTCACATTTCCACCAGCCCTGTATGAGGCTTCCAATTGCCCCCATACTGGCCTCACTTAGTTTTGGAAGTGAGGGGAGGGGATTGGTAACAAAAGAGCACAAGGGTATATTTTGAGGTGGTGAAACTATTCTTTCTCTTGATTATCATGGTGCTGACGGAATTGTAGACATGGTTGAGTATCATAAAACTGTACACTAAAATGGGTATATTTTACTCTATACAAATTATACCTAAATAAACCTGAACCCATTCCCCCCAAAATACAAGATCTGAGTAAGAGGTACATTCATTGTTGTGGGGTGTCATTGTTTCTAAGCCCTCTCCAGGGACAGAACTCAAAAATATGTGTATGCATAACAACTATACACACACATTTATATTTATTTTTGTACCCATCTCTGCATATATATGTATATATTTGTAATGCCCACATGCTTTTTAAAACATGAGTTCACACGGATACCACCAAGCTCCCTCCAACACCCCAGGGTTTATTCTAGCCTTCCCTCTTTATATGTAGATTCTTTCTCTTACACAATGAAAAACTCAGTTCTCATTATCTACAATGCATTTACTAATGTATTCAACCCTAAATATATACATATAAAGTAGCTTCAGAATTGCTAACATATAACCTTATTAGAAATAAATTTACTAGAGTTTAACATTTTGCTCTATTCTTTTTGCCTTTGGGCTTATAGTATCAAGTCAAAGTAATGCTTTTAAAGTAACTGGTTTGTTCCTGTCCCACATGTTGTGTGGTTGTGATACTCATCTATAATAGAGTTAGTTTCATTTGTTACAATTCGTATTCCATTTGAGTTCCCCAAATATCTTGTGTCTGCACTTTAAGTTACATAGATTAAAACTCACCCTCATGTTGTACAATTTCGTATATTTTGACAAATGGATAAAATCACGTATTAACTACCAAGATTTTAATACAGAATGATTTCATCACCCCAGAAATTCCTTTGTGGTATCCTTTTGCAATCAGCCCCTCCCACCTAATTCTAACCTCTGGCAGCTACTAACTTGATCTGTACCTCTGTAAGTATGCCTGTTACAGAATGTCTTATAAGTGGCATTATTTGGTATTAGTCCCTTGAGTTTTGGCTTCTTTGACGTAGCAAAATGCATTTAAGATTTATTCACATTGTTGCATAGATCAATACTTCCTTTCTTTTTATCAGTGAGTAGTACTCAATTGTACGGATATACCACACTTATTTATCAATTTACCAGTTGAAAGTTACCTAAGTAGTTTCCAGCTTTTGATGCTTACAAATGAACCTGCTATAAATGTTCCTGTACAGGTTTTTATGTGAGCACACCTTTTCATTTCTCTTGAGTAAATACCCAGGGACGAGATGCCTGGACCATGTGGGAGATACATGTTTAACATTATCAGAAAGTTCTCACTTTCCCATGGGAGATGAAACATTTTGCATTACCACAAGTAAAGAAATCCAGTTGCTCTGTGACCTTGCTTGAACTTTGTGTGGTCAGCTTGTTGCTTTGTTGTTCTTTAGCTATTCTAATAATACTCATAGAGTGGTATTTCATTGTGGTTGGAGTTTTTGCATTTCCATAATGACTAATGATATTGAGAATCTTTGCATGTGTTTGTTTTGCATCCACACATCTGTAGTTAAGTTTCTGTTTAGATCTGTTTCCTCATTGTTGACTGGGTTGGTCATTTTCTTACTGTTAGGATTTAAGAGCTCATTACATGTCTAGATACAAGTCCTTTGTCAGAAATGTAATTTGCAAATACTCTTTACCAGCCTATGGCTGTCTTTGTATTCTTTCAACAGTTTTAAAATTATAACAAAGTCCATTTTACTGATTCTTTCCTTTTACGAATATTGCTTTTGATGTTGTATCTAAGTCTCAATGTCACACAAATATTTTCCCAATTTTTTAAAGAAATTTTCATAGATTAAATTTACATGTGAGTCTATAATTTTTAATTAGTATTTCTATGGGTGGGCATTTATTTTTCATATGCATGTCCCGTCTTCCCAGCACCATTTGTTGGAAAGACTGCCTTTCCTCTGTAAAATTACTTTGCATCTTTGCAACAAGTCAGTTGGTTATATTTATGTGAGTCTATTTCTGGACTCTAATCTGTTTAATTGAACTGTGTATCTATCTGTGTTAGTCTGTTCTCATGCTGCTAACAAAGACATACCCAGGACTGGGTAATTTATAAAGAATAGAGGTTTAATTGACTCCCAGTTCAGCATGGCTGGGGAGGCCTCAGGAAACTTACAATCACGGTGGAAGGGGAAGCAAACACGTCCTTCTTCATGTGACGGCAGCAAGGAAACGTGCCAAGCAAAGGGGGAAAAGCCCCATATAAAACCATCACGCCTCAGGAGGACTCATTCACTATCACGGGAACAGCATGGAAGTGACCGCCCCCATGATTCAATTACCTCCCACGAGGTCCCTCCCACCACACTTGGGGATTACGGGAACTACAATTCAAGATGAGATTTGGGTGTGGACACAGCCAAACCATATCACTACCCTTTGGCAATACCACACCATGTTGATTGCTGTGGTTATAAAATACATCTTGAAATCAAGTATGAGTATCCCCATTATGTTATTTCCTTTCCAATTTTGTGGGTAGTTATTTTAGTTCCTTGGCCTTGCACATTTTATAATGAACTTGTCAGTATCTGTAAAAATCACTTTGAGATTTTGATTCAGATTACATTAAAGAAACATATAACGTTGGGGATAATTGACATCTTACCAATATTAGATCTCCCAAACAAAGAAAACAGTATATTCCCCCAATGATTTAGCTTTTTTAAAAATTTCTTTAATCAGTTTTATACATTTCAGCATACAGATCCTGTAAATATTTTTTAGATTTAGTCCAAAGTGTTTCATTTTTATGCTATTTTGAATGGTAATTTTTAAACTTTGAATTACCATATGCACTGCTAGAACACAGAAAAACAATTAATTTTTGTGTTTTGACCTTGAATCTTGTGACCTTGCTAAACTCACTAATTAGTTCTAGAACATGTTTTGTGGATTTCTCGGGTTTTGCCATGTAGAAAGTCATTTTGTCTGCAGATAGAGGCAGTTTTCTTATGTTCAAATTTTGAGGCCTTTATTTCTTTTCCTGACTTCTCTACCAACCTGTGGTAATAAGTAAATAAAATACTATTTATAAATAAATAAAATACTATTAATAAATAATTTTCGTAACTAGGACTTCTAGTATGATGCTAAACAGGAGTGGATCTTTTGGATTAACCACTCAGTTTTCATCATTAAGAATTATGTTAGCTGTAACTTGTTTATAGAAACCCTTCATCAAGTTAAATAAGTTCCACTTTATTCCTACCATACTGAGAATTGTCTATCACGAGTGGATATTATAATTTATTTTCAAATTCAATTTTTGTGTCTATTGCAATAATCATATAGTTTTCTTGTTTGCTCTACTAATGTGAATCACACTGATTGATTTCCAAATACTGAACAAGCCTTGCATGCTTGGAACAAACTTGACTTGGTTGTGATGTGTTACTCTTTTTATATATTGCTGGATTGTATTTGCTAGTATTTTATTGAGAATATGTGTGTGTTTGTTCATGAGGGATATTGGTTTTTAGTTCTCTTTTAATCTTTTGCCTGTTTCTGGTATTACATTAGTGATGGCCTCATTAATTGAGTTGAGAAGTGTTCTATCTTCTCTGCTTTTTAGAATATGTTGAATAACATTTTATTACTTTTTTTTTTTCCAAGACAGGGTCTTGCTCTGTTACCCAGAACACTGCTGGAGTGCAGTGGTGCAATCATAGCTCACTGCAGCCTTGAACTCCTGGGCTCAAGAGATCCTCCTGGGCTCAAGGGATCCTAAGTAGCTAGGATTGCGGGTGCATATCACCACGTCCAGTTAACTTAAAAATTTTTCATAGAAACGACGTCTTGCTCTGTTGCCCAGGCTGGTTTTGAACTCTTGGCCTCAAGTGATCCTCCCACCTCAGCCTCCCAAAGAGTCAGGATTATAGGCATGAGCCATCATACCTGGCCCCTATTTATTCCTTAAATACCGACAGAATTCCAAGTAAAACCCTCTGTTCCTGAAGTTTCCTTTTTGGAAGAATATTAACTATTCCTTCAATGTATTTAATTGATAACCTTAGGTCACATTTGGCAAGCTTCCAAATTACCCACGTGGCGATGGTCTTATGATTCATGGTTAACCTTTTGTCCTTGAATAAGGAATCCGCAAATTTTATTGTCAGTTCCTCACATGATTGACATATCGATTAACATGTAAACAACTGACACAAAGACACTGCTGATTTGTTCTAGAATCATGAAGTTTTACTGATTGTCTTGCACACAGACATTTTAGCCTGTATGTTGCAATCTCTTGCCAATGATCTTAACCTCTGTATTGTACCTTCCGGTGAAAAGGACAACTCTGATATGAGGAGTCACCTTTCCTTCTCCCAAACTTTCTTATAAAAGCCTTCGGACTTGTAGCAGACTTTGGAACATACCCACTTTGCTGATGTGTCTTCCCCAGTCAATCCTCATATTTGGCTTCCAGTAAGCCTTTACTAAATTGTTTCTGCCTAAACAGCCTTAATTTCAGTCAACATAATTGGTACAAACATATTCTGCTTGCCTATTTCTTGAGTTATATTTGGTAGTTATGCCTTTTATAAGCTTATGGGCATAGAATTGTTCATTTAATTTCTCTTTTATATTTTAAATTTATGTCTTTTATTTTCTCTTGGTTAGTTCAGTTACAGGTTTATCAATTTTATTGATCTTTAAAAATTACCAGCTTTCGGTTTAATTGATTTTCTCTATTGATTTTTTTATTTTCTTTTTTTTTTTTGTCTTTGTTGCCATCTTTATTATTTCTTTCCTTCTGCTTGCCTTGGGTAAAACTTGCTTTTCCTCTTGTTTCTTAAGAGGGAAGCTTAGATGATTGATTTAAGATCTTTCTTCTTTTCCAGCATAAGAATTTAGTTGTATAAATTTTCTTCTAAGCATGGCTTTGTTCATTACACAAATTCTGATATAGTTTATTTATACTTTGATGTAGTTCAAATTATTTTTAAATTCCTTGAAACTTTTTGACATGCAGGTTATTTAGAAACATGTTTAATTTCCAAGTATTTAGGAATTTTCTAGATACCTATTGGATATTAATTTCTAATTTAAATCCCTAGCAATTTGAGATCATATTTCATGTGCTTTCTGTTCTTTCAGATTTGGTGAGGTTTATTTTATGGCCCAGAATATAGTCTGTCTTGGTGAATAATCCAGATGTTCTTGCATAATAATTTACAAATGTCATTAGGTAAATTGAGTTAACAGTAGTCTTTCCAAATTCTTACCAATATTATGCCTGCTTTAAAAAAAAATATATATATATATATATAAAATACACATACACACACAGACACACACACACACACACACACACACACGAAAGAAAAGAGTTTCAGTCTGTAACCACAACTGAGGATTTGTCTTTTTTAAAAAAATTTTTGACTTCCTGTGGGTTTTTTAAATTTTTGGTTTTGTGTGTTCTGTCATTAGGTGCACGCATACATAGTATTGTTACACCTCCCTGGAGAAATTCCTCGTTTATCATTATGCAATACCCCTGTTTGCTTCTGATAATTTTACTTGTTACTTTTATATTAATATCAAAGACTTTTATATATTATTATATAATATATGTCTTTTCTTTTATATATTATTATATAATATATAAGTCTTTTCTTTTATATATTATTATATAATATATAAAAGTCTTTTCTTTTATATATTATTATATAATAATATATAAAAGTCTTTTCTATGATATTAATATAAAAGAAACAAGAAAAATTATCAGAGGCAAAAGTCTTTTATATCAGAGGCAAAAGTCTTGTATATGATATTAATATAACTACTCCAGCTTCTTTGTGTTAATGATTTTATTGTTTTTCTTTTAACCTATCTAAATCTTTATATTTAAGTTGGATTTCTCAAAAAGAGCTTATAGTTTTTTCTTTTTTAATCCAATCTGACCATCTTTGCCTTTTAATTTGTATGTATAAACCATTCACACTTAATATTACAGTTGATCTCTTTGGATTAAAATCTACCATCGTCCTAGCTCTTTTCAAGTTGTTCCATTTGTCTTTGTTTCTTTTTTCTTCTTTTTCTGATTTTTGCTTATTGTTTTCATTGTTTCATTTTATCTCTTTTATCAACCTATTACTTATGCCCATGTTTACACATTTTATTGGTGGTTGCCCTAAGGTTTACAATATGCATTATTAATTAATCAACATCTAACTTTAAATAACATTATTCTCCCAGCGGGGCGTGGTGCCTCACACCTGTAATCCCAGCACTTTGGAAGGCCAAGGCAGGCAGATGACCTGAGGCCAGGAGTTCAAGACCAGCCTGGCCAACATGGTGAAACACCATCTGTACTAAAAACACAAAAATTAGCCCAGCGTGATGGTGCGTGCCTGTAATCCCAGCTACTCAGGAGGCTGAGGCAGGAGAATTGTTTCAGTCCAGGAAGTGGAGGTTGCAGTGAGCCAAGATCGTGCCACTAGACTCCAGCCCGGGCAACAGAGTGAGACTGTATTTATATATACTTCCTGTGAAGTGTAAGGATCACAACAATGTATGCTGTGAAGGAGGAACTGGGAACGTACTGTTATAAGATCCCTACACCATAGATACCTTTTAACCATGCTATAAATACACTATAGAGCTAAAATTTTTGCTTGAAAAAATCAGTTATCTTTTGGAGCAATTAGGTATAAAAAACTAATTTTATTTTCCTTTGTTTCTTTTTAAATATTCTTTGTTTCATTGTGTAGATATAAGTTTCTTTCTGGTACCATATTCCTTCTGCCTCAAGGAATTCTTTTAATATGTTTTTTCTCTTAAAATTTCTTGCTATGTAGGTCTATTGGCAATACATTTTCTCACTTTTTGTCTAACAAAGTCTTTATTTCTCCTTCATTTTTGAAAGATATTTTCCCTCTGTATAAAATTCTGTGTTGACTCTTTTCTTTCCAGCCTTTCAAAAAGATCACTTCAGGGGGGCCAGGTGTGGTAGCTCATGCCTGTAACCCCAGCACTTTGGGAGGCCGAGGCAGGTGGATCACTTCAGCTCAGGAGTTAGAGACCAGCCTGGCCAACATGGTGAAACCTTGTCTCTACTAAAAATACAAAAATTAGTCAGGCGTGGTGGCACATGCCTGTAATACCAGCTACTTGGGAGGCTGAGGCAGGAGAATCACTTGAACCTGGGAGGCAGAGGTTACAGTGAGGCCAGATCGTGCCATTGCACTCCAGCCTGGGAGGCAGAGTGAGACTCCATCTCAAAAAAATAATAATAATAATTTCATTTCACTTCATTGTCTTCGTCTTGCATGATTTCTGACAAAAAGTCTGCTATAATTCTTATCTTTGTTCCCCTCTTGTGTCTTTCTTTTCCCTGTGGGTGCCTTTGGGACCTTCTCATATTTTGTTCTTCAGCAATTGAACATGGTATGTGTGTGTGTCTGTGTACACAAATGCACTTATATTGGCATTTATTTATAGAGTATTCTTGAACTTCTCAGATCCATGGTGTGGTTTTTCTAATTAATTTTGGACCAATTAATTCTAATTAACTCTTAGCCAATATTTCTTCAAACATTTCTTCTCCTCAAATCTCTATCATACTTTTGGGGTTTCAATAATGCCTATGTTAAGCCATTTTACATTGTACCATAACTCATGGATGCTCTGTTCCTTTTATTTTTGCTTTAGTTATATCTGGTTCATTTTGTAAAAATTCTATTAATCCATCTTTATATTTATTAATGGTTTTTAATCTACTGGTGAGCATGTCAAAAGTGTATTTTATCCACATTTATATTCATTTTTATTTTTAGCATTTCCATTGATTCCTGTCTTGAGTTGCTGCAATAGCCCATTTGGTCTTACATGCTGTTCACCTTTTCCATTCATGCCTTTAACATAGTCATAGTTATTTTAAATTATCTGTTAGACAGGTCTGTGTCTAAGTGGTTCTTTTGATTGCTTTGTCTCTTGCCTTTCCATATTCCTCATCCTTATTTGTTGATAGCTGAACATCTCCTGTAGAATAGTAGAGAGTGAGGTAAACAGTTTTGTGCTTGGAAATTGGCTTTTTTTTTCCTTCTCCTTGGCCTTTCTTGTGGAAGTTTGTTTTAATCTAGTTAGGTCTTGGGCTGGGTTTGGGATTCGTTATTGTTTATTTATGTTGAGTGTACCACTGGCCTCAGATTTATCAGTACCTTGGGTTTAGGATATTCTTCTTTGTTCTTTGTTCTTCTTTGTCCTCGGCTTCAGCCAGGGACTATGTTCTTTGGTCTTGGGAGTGTGGCTTTGAGGAGTGCCCCTTCTCCTCTGACTGCTGTGGTTCTGAGCCTAGAATATATTACTGCTGATTCTCTGGGATAGATGAGTTTTCCCATTTTCATACACCAGTTGCAATGAGTATTCATCTCGGCCTGAGGGTGACAGCTTTTGTTCTCTTTCCCACGGCAGATTAAGACTTTTTATTCCTTCATGGACACGGGGCAGTAGAGTCCAGGCTGAGTCCAGCATCTCCACTGCAGAGGCTGGTTCTCCCCTCCCTCAGGCAGCATCTTTGAGAAAGTTTTCTCTGCACTCTTCCCAGGCTTCCCTGTGAATGCCTGGATTCACAAAGAAAAAGTCTTCAAGAGAATATGAACCCTGCCTTCTCCGCATAGAAGCAGCCCCCAGGGACTCCACTGTCCCTCACCAACCCACACTTGACCTCTACCAATTCACCTGTTATTCCAGCTGAGTCCTGCCTATTGACGTCTGACTTGATCTGAATCAACTAAGCAAGTGTGTTCAAACCCTATTTCAGCCTGTAGTCTTTTATCTCTTCTTAGATTTGGATTACTTGGTTGTCCTGCAATATCTTCTCTTTAGTGGATTTAAAAAAAAGTGAGGAGCTCACACTTCTGGCTTTTTTTCTCCTGTTTTAAAGTTGGGTGTAACCCTCCAGCTCTTCCTGAGCAGAAACTGGAAAGTAACCTCACAGTTTAAGTTAATGCTTGTCAGTTGATGATTCCCAAGTTTAAATCTCCTAGAATTACCCCTTTCCAGAGCTAGAGACATTCATGGCCAGCTCCCTACTGTCTTTACTTGGTCCTATCACAGGGATGATTACATTTTCCTCCAAACTATTCCTTTCTCTTTCTTCCCTATGTTAGTAAATCACACCATTATGTGTCCCAACTATGCTAGAATATTGAGTAACTTTCACTGGAAACACTACTGTTTAACATAGTACTGGAGGTCCTGACCAAGATTGTGTGAGGTGACAGATGTATTAATTAGCTTGATTGCTATTATTTCACAATGTATGCATATATCAAAATATCACCTTGTATACCTTAAATATACACAATATAAAGAACATAAGAAAAAATAAACAGGAACAACAAGGTACAGGAAGTAAGATATAACTGTTATCATTTGTGGACACCACAATCTCATGTACAAAATCAGCAAAAACTCATAATTACAGCTAATTAGAAAGCTTTGAGATCAATGGGTACAAGACCAACCTATGAAAATCAATGATCTTTCAGCAAGTAAATCAGAGCCATAATTTCTAGGAAGACAATTCTACTGTATGGTACCATTCCGATAATGAAGAAGAACCTTATTTACTCAAAGGCCAATTTAACTGGCGACCAAATTGCTAAGTGGACATTTTGATTAATTTACTTCCTTTTCACTATTTACTATTCAGTTTGGTGTTAGAATTAACCTATTAGATTCATAGAATTTGGGTGTTAAGCCCAGGTCTGAATTTGTTGTTGTTAAAATTGTCTTTATTAAAATTAAGAGCTTTTAACCACAAAAGTGACCATTAAGAGACTGAAAAAGTAGTCATAGGTGGTAAATACACTGCAATGCATATATCTGACAAAGAACTCTTTTCAAAATATATTTAAAAATCATTTTTTCAAAAGACAGATAACTGAGCTAAAAATAAAACAAGCAAAAGATTTGAAGACAATATACATGGCCAATAAGCATAAGTGTTTAATATTCACTAGTCATCAAGAAAACGTACAGCAAAACCACACTGAGATACCTCCATAACCTCACTTGAAGCCCCACATCCAGAAAGGTGATAACATCAAGTGTTGAAGCCCTTATATAAACCAGCACAACTGCCTTGAAAAACTCTTTGGTAGTATAATACTAAAGCTGATCTCATGCCTACATGTGAACGAACAGACATACAAAGGAACCTCGTGATCTTAGGCAAGTTACTTAATATCTCTGAGTTCTCCTTACAAATGCACTTCCTGAGATTACTGAGACGGTTAAGTGAGATAAAATATTATATGTTTCTGGCATATGGTACCCTCTCCTTTAATCCATGGATAAACCTTTTTCTTTTTCTTTCCTAATTACCATCAAGAACTTCTTTTTCTTTTCCCAGGTTGCTGTACTTAACAATAGAAAATTAAAAATTCCCTTTCCACAGTAAATGTACATTATTTATTTTAAACTCTATCTTCATATTGTCTAGATGTTGGTTTATTGATCATGAACTAACTTTCTAGCTTATTCCCTCTGGGGATGAGAATTCTACACCTAGATTCAAACACTTTTTTGTCTGCAACCCTAGTTCCATTATCAATTTTCTAACAGTGAGCCTTCTATTTCAGATATTGAAATACTTTTCAAGTTCTTAAAAGACCTCATGCTTGTCTCAATTTTGACTCACCCCACTTTCTTCACCACCCAGGTGCTGCCCCACCTGCCACGGGGACACATCCGTTCCAGGTATTCATTTTATAAAACACAACACAATGGATACATACAGAGCCCTCAACACAATAGTGCTGCAAAGAAACTCCAATGTGGAATGATGCACATTTAAAAATGTGTGGCATTTGAGCTATTCTTGTCCAGAATAAGACATCAATGTTTCCCACAATATGTGATACACACATTTAAAAGTTTCTCACTTTTTTTTAGGCTGGGCACAGTGGCTTATGGCTATAATCCCAGCACTTTGGGAGGCTGAGGAGGGTGGATCACCTGAGGTCAGGAGTTCAAGACCAGCCTGGCTAACACGGTGAAACCTTGTCTCTAGTAAAAATACAAAAAAAAAAAAAAAATTAACCGGGTGTTATGGTAGGCACCTGTAATCCCAGCTACTCAGGAGGCTGAGGCAGGAGAATCACTTGAACCTGGGAGACAGAGGTTGCAGTGAGCCGAGATTGTACCACTGTACTCCAGTCTGAGCGACAAGAGTGAATCCAACAACAACAACAACAACAAAAAGTTTCTCACTTTTTTGAAAGTTGGCTAACACATAAGTTTTAGATTTGAATGTTCTGTCCTTATCATCAAAATTGCATTTATTGTAGCATTTTACACAATTTGTCTCTTAAAATAAGAGCTATAATGTAACTGGTAGAAGGAAAGTGGACATTTTTCTGCTCTTCTTGGTAAGTGGAAGCGTTTGCCTCACAGCATCACTTGGATAATCAAGGAGGAATTTCTGGGCTTCACACACCATTTACTTTTCACCCCTGACTTCCTTCTTTTCTAGCTAGTAAATGTTATAGTGACATTTCCTTGTTTGTAATAACACATCATTTAAAGACTAACTAGGTCATTCTGCCTTTTCCATCAATCTTTTTCTTGACTTTCCTCAACTTAGGGCCCCACAACCCACAACCCCATAGAATGGTAACTCATAGCTCAGTCACTGATTTTTTCAAATTATTATGTGGCTTGTGACATGGATGGTATACCTTAAAGAGAAGAAGACGTTTCATTGATACAGAATCACTAAAATGTGTGAGCCAGGAAATATATTTCGGTTTTTGCTTGTTTTTTTAAAAAACTTTTATTGTTTTTATAATGATACAGATTGTAGCTCTTTTTTACTGTTACTATTTGATTCTAGCGAGGTTGCCTCTATTACCCTAAAGTCAGGGATGAGAAACTCAGCATGTGTGAATATTATTGAATTTATTATTTTGAATTTTAGTAAGTAAATGTCATTCAGCAATATAAATTTGCTAGATTAAAAAAAACTCATGGATTCTTTATTAGAGTCACTCTTGTATCTTCACTGTCAAAGCTCTGCAGCATCATCATTAATAAACATTTATTGAGCATGTTTAATGGCAAGGTTCTATTGTTTGTTCCAGAAAGGAAAATACAGGCACAAACAAAAACTTAGTTCCCAACTTTTTAATGATATAGCTGAGTAGATAAGATAAACATAAAATATATCTAGAAATAGAACGTTGGTATTGGCTAGACCTCTGGAGACTACTTAATACAAAAACTCAATGCAAGTGGCTAAAGTTTGGAGATGATAAAGCTTGTTAATGGCCACATAGCAAAAGTCGATAGCACAGCTGACAACGGGAACCTCATTCTCTTTGTTCCTATTTCAAGTCTCCTTTCCAAATGAATGGCACCAAAATGTCTAACCCCAGTTCAAAGAAATGAGAGGCTGTTATGTGCAAACTACCACTAAGACCGTTTTCACGAAATGAAAGGCTTCGACTGATTTGTCAATCATAAATGACAAAATGTATTATTTAGTACATTACATATGACTCAGCAAAAGCAGTGGAGCCTTACCACTCAAAATGTGGTCATAGGACCAGCAGCATCAGCACCATTTGGGAGCTTTGTAAGAAATGCAGAATCTTGGGCTCCACCCTAGACCTACTCAATCAGAATCCACATTTTAACAAGAACACCAAGATGGTTTGTGTGGACACTGATGTTTGAGAAGAAGCATTGCAACAGGGGGAGGATTTTATTGTGAAAAGGATAAGTCATTCAAGGGTTCCCTCTTTCCATAAGCATGAGTACACAAGCAATTGCAGTACGGTGTGTAAAGAAAATGAGATTTTTCCACTTTGGTGAGGCGACATGTGTTTTTTAGGTAAAACAAAGTCTCAAATAAGAAGCTGTGTCCTCCACTACTCTGCTGAAACCTCAACTCTGCCGTGAATCCTTTTAAAATCACATAAACCAAAATACATCCTCCTGATATACCCCCTGAATGTAGATAGCACTGACAATTTACATACATCATCAACTACCTAGGTGTTTTTTTCTGTTTTTTTTTTTTGTTTTTTTACATGAAGTTTTGCTCTTCTTGCCCAGGCTGGAGTGCAGTGGCATGATCTTGGCTCACTGCAACCTCCACCTCCCTGGTTCAAGGGATTCTCCTGCCTCAGCCTTCCAAGTAGCAGGGATTACAGGTGCCCGCCACCATGCCTGGCTAATTTTTTGTATTTTTAGTAGAGACAGGTTTCACCATATTGGCCAGGCTGGTCTCGAACTCTTGACCTCAGGTGATCCACCTGCCTTGGCCTCCCAAAGTGCTGGGATTACAGGCATGGGCCACCACACCACACCCGGCCCGGGCACCAAAAGTTAAAAGCTGTAAAAATGGTTGCCAAGTGTCCCTGCAGCCCAAGGTGACCTGTTACATTATTTAAAAAATAATAAAGGGTATGAAATTGGTTAGCGCACATTTACAATAATCCACAGGAAACCTCCAAATAGAGAGTGAGTGGAATTATCTGGCACCCTCATCTTTTGGGTGGAGGAAGAAGGGACTAAGGGCTGTGCAACTGGGTCAGGAAAAGGAAAGTACAGGTTTCCTCTCAGCACAAGCCAAAGGAGAAGGTGTCACAGAGCCATTCGGCGTCACAGAGCCTGAAACGGGTGCTTTGGAGAACAGAGAGTCTTTCAAGCATAAGCAATGCTACCTAGACCCCACCTGGAAAAATCTCAGGCAGCCCCATGTGAAGAGAGGGGACTGTATTGGAAGCAAGCTGTGTCGGTTCTGGTGATGGTGGGAAAATGTGGGTGTTTCTCATAAGCCAGAAGTGAACTACATGGGGGAATCCCAAGAGCCATTTTGTAAGGAACTCCACCCAATAGAGCCAAAGGACCAGAAGAGGGTAAAGACAGGAAGTGTGAGGATGTGTGAAGGCATCACAGTGAGAGAAAAGGCTAAAAGCCATCTTCCAACATTCTATGTGAGGGTCTCCAAAGAAGCTCTCCAAAAGCTCCCCATGAGAAAAAGTGCGGCTTTGTGTATTTGTCACATCCAGAGAGACCCATCACCAGATGAGATCCATAACCACCATGTGACGCTGTATCCTTTCTCTCATCCCTCCTCCCCCTGAACCCAACCTTGGAGAAGTGAGAAATTAAGACTGGCGAGTGCAGAGGAGGAGCGAGGAACATGCCAGGGAGGACCGGCGAGTGCAGAGGAGGAGCAAGGAACATGCCAGGGAGGACTGCTGAGTGCAGAGGAGGAGCAAGGAACAGGCCAGGGAGGACTAGCGAGTGCAGAAGAGGAGCAAGGAACATACCAGGAAGGGGGCCAAGAGAAGGGCCTCCTGTCTTCCCTTCCCCAGTGCAGGTTTCCAGACCCACAGCCACTCAAGCTCAGAGAGAGGAAAAGTTTCTCTCTGAATGAATCCTGAAGCTAATAATGTTATATTAGACTAGGCCGGGCATTTTAATTTTGTAAATGATACTATTTGTGATGCAAAAGAGCCAGAAAAAAAGCTATGTTATCTTCAAAAATCAGTGTGATTCTGTTTAGAACTAGACAGAGTTTTGTTCTAAAGGGACAGCTGGAGAAAAGAATAAGGCTGTTTTATGATTGTTCCTGGAGTCTAACTTACCCATATAACACAGGTGAATTCATGAAAGGGTGGAGATCATGTCTAATGCTTATTGAAGCTGCTAAGGTACTTTGTACATTACACATCATTTTCGTTAGAGCTTATTTGATTGCAAGAAAATAGATGCCTATACAAAGTAGCTCAAATAAAAACAACAAACAAATGTATTATGGATGTAACCTACATTTTCTGAGACCCGTTGGGCAGTCTGAGCTCTTGTCTCTCCCATCTTGCACCTCTGCTCAATGTTACGTAAACTACGCAACTCCAATTGCCACAAAACGCCCAAATCCAGCTCTATAACACATTAGTAAACCCAGAAGATTTCTATTCACACTTTTCTAAAAAAGCAAGATACAATACAGTAACACTTCCATTCTTCTCCCCAAAGTATATCTCCTGGCTGCCAGCAACATCTTTTTTTCCTTGTTCCCTTTTGTCTCTCGCCACAAAGCCTCATAGATACCCTCTATTTTTCTGACAAATTCAGTTCTGGTGAGCTCTAACCAATACTAACCTGGAAAATAGCCATCACTCCCACTTCTACTTAGAAAATAATTCAGAAGAATTCAGAAGACCTTTTTTTTTTTTTTTTTCTTACTTGTACCTCCTGGGATGCAAAGTAAGAATGCAAAGAGGCTTATAGAAAAGTTTGCTCAACAAAAACAGTTTTATTTGGTGGTAATGGCGAGTGAGAGTAAAAATGGGAAATCCCACTAGGAATTAATGGTTTTTCTTCATTTTCTGTCACTTTTACGTAATGGTACATTTCAGAACACTGAGAGTTGGAAAGGAAATAAATGGAAGTAAAGACAAATTTCACATGACTGCATCAGGAAAGTGAGAAAGTGAGGGCGGGATCTTCACTTTTCAGGGCCTCATGATTTCTGTGATCTCTGCTGCTCTCCGCCTTCTCTTCTCCCAGTGGTCATCCCTGGGCTGCTCATGACCATGCACGGCTGTCAGTCTAGTATCTTATACAGCGTCCTTCAAATTCTCATTGTAATCTCTATGTCTTTGTTCAAGTTTCCAAAAGAGAGGATTTGATTGGCATGGCTCAACTAGTGGCTTTATTCCCCTAGGAGTGCTTGTTCAACCTTGGTGTGTATCTAGGAGGAGACAGAGTCCTGTGTTTCAAATAGGAGAGAAGAGACTGTGGGTGGGGTTTATTTTATTTTATTATTATTTTTTTTGAGATGGAGTTTCGCTCCTGTTGCCCAAGCTGGCATGAAATGGCACGATTTTGGCTCACCGCAACCTCCACCTCCCGGGGTCAAGCGATTCCCTTGCCTCAGCCTCCTGAGTAGCTAGGATTACAGGCATGCACCACCATGCCCAGATAATTTTTTTTTTTTTTGTATTTTTAGTAGAGACAGGGTTTCTCCATGTTGGTCAGGCTGGTCTCGAATTCCTGACCTCAGGTGATCCACACGCCTTGGCCTCCCAAAGTGCTGGAATTATAGGCGTGAGCCACCGCGCCAGGCGGGTAGAGTCTTAATCCCTTAGAAGATAAGTGGCCTGGGAAGCAATGAATAACACCTGTATTACACAGATGTCCAATTGGCAGTTGATGAATAGGTTAAGTAAGGAATGTTGCACCACTACAAAAGCCTACATAGGATGGAAGAAGATATTAAAAGTTGCTTTATTGTTTTTATTTTTTCATATCATGTTGCTCTTTATGATTTCTCAGGCTTTTGACCATTGTAAAGGGGAAGTAAAGCTTCAGAGTTCCTGTATTGCAGGGAATTAGAATCTATTCTCCGTGGTTACAAATACAAATTAACAGAAGTAAACATAGAAAATGTTATGTAATAACTGTCTATTAAAACCCTA
The DNA here is from genome assembly GCF_000001405.40 of Homo sapiens. Taxonomy (NCBI): domain Eukaryota; kingdom Metazoa; phylum Chordata; class Mammalia; order Primates; family Hominidae; genus Homo; species Homo sapiens. The sequence continues at coordinate 153,762,137 of NC_000007.14, read as the reverse complement.
TAGGGCCCTTGAGTTGCAAAGGATTACAGTTATCATGTGGGGAAGCGGAAAATGTTTTTTACACGGACTTTAGTCTGCATATTTCTATGACTGCAGGACATGTAACTAGAAGAGTAAGCAATAAGTCCCATTATCTTTGGCAAGCCTTTCCTACCTAAACCACACTGACCACTCTTTCCCCTGACCAACCAAAATGCTACAATTTGGATTTATTCCTTTTCAGTGTCCCTGGGTATTTTATTCTGTTGTTTTCTGCCTTGTTTGTGCACACACGGACTCATTAATAAAAATAATAGTTTCTTAGTTATTTTTAAAGGAATAATAGCAAGGAGTCCAATGCTTATGAAGTATAGAAATAGTATTCGGCATTGGATAAATTAATAGATAACGTGGGTTGAAGGAAGCATGGATCGATGCTTGCTGAATAAAAGATTGAATAGTATTCAATATTTATACATTTTTAGTTTGAAAACATTTCTTGATTTTATTAGCTTTTGACCATAAGTGATACACACGTAACTGTGTAGCACAATTTCCTCAGTCAAAAAAAAGGGGAGATAAATACTTACCTATTTACCTCAGTGGCTGTTGCAAGATGAAATAAGGTGACATTCATGAAAAAGTTTGGAAAAGTGGAAGCATGGAGAAAGAAATGTCAAATTGTTGACAAGCTTTTCATTTCATAGTGTCTTCCAGTCTTCAGACCTCAAATAATTCATGTCAGATATGCAGAGTATGGGTTTGTCTTAGTTATATTTAACTTATTCAATATATTCAGCATAAAATTTAGCCTAATTTAAAATTTCTCATACATTTTAGGCCCATTTTATTTTAAAGTCATGATTTCTAAAATCAAAAGGTATGTACTAACAAATTTTCCCAGAGATTTTCACTTCTAGTCAAAATAGAGAAACAGGAAATGGATGAATCCTCCTGCCTGAAACAAATAAATCTTGTACAAACATAGGAAACAACATATTTCGAGACACTGGATATCAAAGAAAGCGAAGAAGGACACTGATTTCTGATAGATGGGGAGTAAATGAGGAGAGTCCCATTTATCCCGAGCTTACTGCCTTAGAGAGTTTTCAGACTAAAGCGGATGATGGACAACCTAGGTGGGGCCCAGGAGACTCTGAGCTAAACAGATGGAGCTGAGAGTCTGGGGAGAACAAGGCAGCTACAGTTTGCGCTAAAGGGTCTGAAAGAGGAGCAAGCAACACGGAAAGAGAGCTTTGGAGATCTGCTGAGGGCCCCCTGAAAATTAGCTGAGTACAGAACAGGGCACGCATGAGAGAAACTCTCCAAGGTTGGGGAAAGAATAACCTGGAAGTATTGGAGGCAGTGGTGCCCTGACACTCACACAGGACAGAAAATAGTACGTGCTCAGATAAGCCACTCTCAAACAATCTCATGATTCATGGACATTTCATAGAATACGCAAAAGGGCCCTATTTTTGTAGTGGGGATAATTAGCCCTAAAACTGAGCATAGGGATAATTATAATCATAGTTAATTATAATTAATATTACATTTCCACCCAGTAAATCTTTAAAGCTAGACCTGAAGGAATCAGATTATTTCCAGGGGCCTTAACTGAGTACCAGAAAAATAGCTCTGAAGTAGGTTTAGGAATATTCGAATATCCAGCATGTACAAGATAAAATTCACAATATCTGGCATCCAATCAAAAATTACCAGGCTTGCAGAGAAGCAAAACAATACAAATCTCATTCAAGGATGGCATTTGATCAATTGAAATTGACCCAGAGCTGCTGCAACTTTTAACATTAGTGGACGTGGACATTAAAACAATTATTACAGCTGAATTCCATATGTGCAAAATGTTCAATGAAGACATGGACAACATTAAAAAGACCCAAATTGAAATCCTAGAGAGGAAATGGATACTGCGCACAACAAAAAATACACTGGGTGGGATTCACAACAAACTAGTTATTGCAGAAGGTAATATTAATGAACTTGAAGACATAAGAATAAAAATAATCCAAAATAAAACCCAGGGAAAAGATAAATTTAAAAATGAGCAAAGCATCATTGAGATATGTTAAAACTTCAAGCAGCCTAATATACATGCACTTGAAACCCCTGACAGAGAACACACTCACTCACATACAGATAGAGAGAGAGAGAGAGAGAGAGAGATACAGAAACAGAGAGAGACAGAGAGAGAGACAGAAACAGAGAGAGAGAGAGAGAGACAGAAACAGAGAGAGAGAGAAGTGGAAGCAGGGAAATATTTGCAGAAATAGTGCCCCCAGATTTCCAAATTTGATGAAAAGGATAAACTCATAGATACTTAAAAAGCACTTGCCTAACTTAAAGGTATTTTATGTTTTCTTCTAGAATTTTTCTAGTTTTAGATTGAACATTTTTATTTATGATCCATTTCGAGTTAATATTTTCATATGGTGTTAGGATATATCAAAGTTCTTTTTTTCACATATGGTTATCCACATTGCAAGCATCTTCAAAAGTCATTGTTGGCTGGGCATGGTGGCTCACAGCTGTAACCCCAGCACTTCGGAGGCCAAGGCAGGCAGTTCACCTGAAGATAGGAGTTTGAGACCAGCCTTGCCAACATGGTGAAACCCCACCTCTACTAAAAATACACACACACACACAAAATTAGCTGGGTGTGGTGGTGCGTGCCTGTAGTCCCAGCTACTAGAGAGGCTGAGGCAGTTTCAGGATCGCTTGAGCCCAGGAGGTGGAAGTTGCAGTGGGCCGAGATTGGGCCACTGCACTCCAGCCTGGGTGACAGAGCGAGACTGGGTCTCAAAAAAAAAAAAAGATTTATTTATAGACTATATACCCCTATAGACTGGAAGAAACTTTGCAAATATATAGCTGATAAAGACATTTATGAAAAACTCTCAACTCAGTAGAAACCAAGTAACCCAATCAAAAATATGTCAGGGATTTTCAGAAACCCTTTAGCCAAGAGGATATGTGGATGGAAATAAGCATCTGTAAAATGCTTAACATCATCAGCCATTGCAAAATACAAATTTAAACTGCACCAATATGCCACTAAACACTTATTTAAATGGCTCATATTGAAGACTGATTATCTTGAGTGTGGGCAAGGATTTGGGGGAACCGGAAGCCTCAGAAGCTGCAGGTAGAAATATAAAATTCTAAAATGACTCTGGAAAATAATTTAACAGTTTCTTAAAAAGTTGAACATATGCCTACTGTATGATCTTGCTGTTCCACTCTTAGGTATTTACCCTACCTAAGTGAAGTGTAAGCATATGTCCATATAAAAACTTGTACATAAATGTTTATAAAAGCTTTTTTGGTAATAGCCCAAAATTTGAAGTAACACAGATGTCCATCAACATGTGAATAGATACACAAACCATGGTATAGGCATACAATCAAGTATTACTTGGCAACAAATAAATAACTATTGATACATGCTGCAACATGAATAAATCTCAACATAATTATACTTAGTGAAAGTTGTCAGACTATAAAAGACCACCTACTTTAATAATTCCATTATCTAAAATGTTAGAAAATGGAAAGTAATATATAGTAACAGAAAAAAAAGATCGGTTTTCCTTACGGATGGAAAAAGGTAGTGGAATTGTTAGGGAGAAACAGATCACAAGGGAGCATGAGGCACCTTCTGGGAATGGCACATATGCTCATTGCCTTGACCGTGGCGTTTTCACGGGTATGCACATGTGCACACGTCAATACTTATTAAACCGTACATTCTAAATATGCACAGTCAACTATACCTCAATGTACTTATTAAACATGGTATCCAGTGTTTGCAATATCTTTTTCAAGAACAAAAGAGGTAATAATCTTCTTTTGTCCTGCTTTTAAGACACCATCTCTTGACTTAGCTGACTTCAATAATTTATAACTTTATGCAATGAGTTTAGTACTTACTCACTAAATATGACAAACACCAATTAAGAGTCCCTGAAAAGACTAGCCTAGCAACTATAAGGCACCCTTTCCCTAAAGGACTTGCTGGAGGTCATAATTTTTACACTGAAGTCTAAAGGACATCTACTGGCCTAGGTTCTCCATTAAGTATGTTTTACTATGGGATAGTTTTTGATATCTATGCCAATGGATGCCTTAATAATAGCAAACACTCTGCCTATGGTTCTTTCTTTCTTCTTTACATTTTTTGAGACAACATCTCATTCTGTCACCCAGGCTGGAGTGCAGTGGCACGATCTTGGCTCACTGCAACCTCTACCTCCTGGGTTCAAGCGATTCTCCTGCCTCAGCCTCCAGAGTAGTTGGGACTACAGGCATGCACCACACCGTGCCTGGCTAATTTTTGTATTTTAGTAGAGATGGGGTTTCGCCATGTTGGCCAAGCTCATCTTGAACTCGTGGACTCAAATGATCCACCTACCTCGGCCTCCCAAAGTGCTAGGATTACATGTGTGAACCACCGTGCCCGGCCCATGGTTCTTTCTAGGCTTGGAATATTGTGAAGTTGGAGCTTGACGTGACCCTGAAGGCTGGTTGAATGTCCTCAGCTTTCACACAGGTGAACAAAGGCCCAGAGAGCGGTGCCCACCCACCTGACACAAAACAGGTGCCCCACTCAACCAATGCTAAGATCGAGTCTACTGATTCCGTTTCCCTCCTTCCACTCTACCTCAGTAAACCATCCGCCACTGGATGAGCTTTTCTGTATGAAGTCACACAGTTAAGAAGTTTCCACGAGGCCCCAGTGAATTGTCAGCTTTTTTGGTTTATGAAAAACAAAATGAAAAATATGAACTTGTTCTGCTGTGCGCACATTTTGTCAGATGTAATTTTAAAATGTCTCATAATGCCTAAATGCCTTATGATCTCTTAATATTGCATTTGAAATTTTCATAAAAAGGAAGATACAGACACTGAAAGAACAGACACATTATGTCTCCATAATAGGAAAATAATACAAACTTTCTAAAGCCCTAAAGATGAGGGAGGGCATGCACAAGAAATTACATAACTTCCTCCATCTCTTTTGACTAAATCCATATTGCTGGGACTGTAATAAAAATATTAGATTTGAGGGTCCTATAAAATTCCAATCACTCTATTTCCTTCATGAGGTACAAGGTGTAAGATAATTGAAATACTGCATTTGAGGTATAACTTTTGACTTAAAAAAAATCCAACAAATAAAACCAGAAAAAACAGTTACTACTCATTTACTGCCCTCTATTCCTGGAAACTTAACTTATGTATGAGCTTAGATTCATTTTATGTATTTTACTGATAAAATGAGGACAATTAAAATTTTAAAAATCAATAAAATGTAAAGCCAAAATAACATAAATAGATTTTCAGTAATATCCTGGAAGTCATAAAAGTAATTTATGTTCTATCCATTATATTAAACTTTCTGAAATACTTGGGGATGATTTAAGTTTTGGGTGATAAAAAGAATTTATTTATTTATATTTACACGGGTACTCTTTCTTATTTCTTCCAGAAATTACCAATTAGACAACTAAGCTTTCTTTTCAGAATGAAGAGCAATGGTGGATAAGAAAAGTTATGAACTAGACATGCCCTTGCTAACAGCAAGTGTTAGTGAAGTGTCCTTCAGGCTGACTCACTAACCTTCATGATGCCCAAGTGTCTATCAGATGTGGCCCTTCACTGCGTGCTCAGATGGAGAAGATGAACCACAAAACAGCCTCGTATAATGGAATGTGCCAAAACCTAGAATCAGGCAGTGGGGGTTTGAGCCCTGGCTCTCTCATTAACTGCGTTTTGTTGGATCTCAGTTTTTTGAAATGAGAGGACTAAATGAAATTACCTCTAAAGTTAGATCCTAATTTTAAATATGTTATATTAGGGATGAAAGATTCTCCAGCATAGGAGGAACTAGACACTATGTGGAAAACGACAGATACCAATGGTCAGGATGAGGGAACCTGGGAATTCAGAAAGAACTACAGGCTCAGGAACAGGGAGGTGTAGGGATCAGAGTAGGTGGGAGGGTCTGATTCAAGTCCAAAATCAAGCTGGAGAATGGTACCTGCAACCATGAGTTATTAAAAAAAAATTCCCTTCTTAGCAGGACTCTGGTTCTGTGATATACTCATGTCCATAGATGGTGGTTCTGAAGCCAAGTGTGTGAGAAAAGAAAAGGGGCAGGAAAAGGACCTGCTGTTATGGCAGCAACTGGTGAAACGCCATAAGCCTTGCATGAGTTTGCCATGTCCCATAGCCTGTGAGTCAGTGGCTGATCTAATCATTTAGAGGGAGGGCTTCCTACAGAAAGAGAAGAGAAAATAAAAAAGAGACTGAGTGAAGGTCAATAACAAAGCTTCACAAAGATATAAAGTCTTGAAGAGGACTCACTTGGAAAGTGGAAAGCACAGAAAGGGAATCAGTGCTAAAATCCAGGAGGGAAATTCTTTAAGCCATGAAGAGGAGGAGGAGGCTGCTCAATTCCTAAGCAGGATAGACTGAGGAAAAGTTCGGAAATAGGATGAAATGCCCCAGAAGGGGGAAGGTCTATGGATCTAAACCAAAAGGGGCAGGAAAGAATAGAAAAGGAGACAGGAGGTATTTTGGCAAAGGGAGAGCATTAAAGTAGGTTTTGCTTCTTATGAGAAGACAAAAAAGGGAGGGCATGAAAACCTTCAGATTTTTCAGATTTGACAAGTGATAGTTTATCAAAATGTGAGTTTTGGAAAATGTAACACTGGGAAAATGAAAGAAGAGTAGAGAAAGAACTGACAGAAAATAAAAAAGAGACTGAGTGAAGGTCAACAAGAAAGCTTCACAAAGATTTAAAGTCTTGAAGAGGACTCACTTGGAAAGTGAAAAGGGATTCCAGAATTAAGAAAACTAGGCAGCCTCCAAATCTCTAGTTGTCCCCTGAGTCATGCAGGTGCTGAATGGGCTACAAGAGGATAAAAGAACAAAACTTGTATTTGAGTTGCCATCCAACTTAAGTGTTCATTAAAATGAAAAACAAATCATCAGAGAAACAAAACAGAATGCAGAGTTTCCACAACAAGCATGATGCCCAAGATAAAATTCAAAATCACTCAACATACAAGGACATTTTAAACTGTGGTCCAATTTCGAGAAGAAAATACAGTCAACACAGACCAATTCTAAGAAGGCTCAGATGTTAGAATTATCATACAAGAGTTTTAAAGTATTATAAGAAGACTCCTCATTTATTAAACAGCAAAGATACTCACGGTGAATTAAAAAAAAAAACAATCCAAGCAGAAAATAGAAATTATGGAGAAAGAACTAAGTGGACATTTTAGAATTTGAAAATGCAATATCCGGAGCTAAGCACACAAACCACAGAATGCAGAACACAGAGGAGAGACTCATTAAATGTGAAGATGGAACCACAGAAATTAAATCTGAAAAAGAGAGAGAAAAGTATCTTGGAAAAATGATGAGCCTCAGAGACCTGTAAAGCAATATAAGCTGTATAAAACATACATAATTGTCATCTCAACAAATTAAGAATAGGACCGAAAAAAAGTTTGACAAGATAATGGCCACCAAATTCCCAAAGATGGTGCATTTAAAGATTCAAGGTGATCTTTGCACCCACTACGGTAATAAATATGAAGAAAATCATGCCTAGGCACATAGTATTGAAATATTGAAAACCAAAGAAAAATCTTAAATGCAGACAAAGAAAAATAATACAGTACATACAGGGAACTATGAATCAAATGACTTCACTTCTCAGTAGAAAAAACTCATTCTAGAACTCAGTGGAATGCCATCTTTAAAGTGCTGAAAAAGAAGTAAAAATTCTGTCAACTCAGAATTTTACATCCAGGAAAATATATCCTTTAAGGATGAAATCAAAGTAAAAATGTAGGTGGGATTCATGAGTAGTATTTCACACACAAAAAAAAATGCATTTCTATTGAATCAAAATGGTTTTAGCTGATTAATCCTTTTTTTTAATGTCCTAAAAGGAAAATGACAGACATACAAGCTTTGCTATCCCTGTCCTTGTGGTAAAATAAACACTAGAAGTAGAAGGTAAGAAGGCTATTAAATTTCCACAAAGTGTAATACCTAGAGCTGGCAAAAGTCAGCAAACTCCTGTGGGTAGAGGCTGACACTCTTCATGGATCATAAGCAACTTCAAAATGCAAACACTTCATCAGCTTTTTCACAGCATGAAAACCTTGAGAAGAAACACCAACATTTTAGTAATTCATTGGTAGAATACGATGTTCCTCACCAGAAAATGGTGCCAAATGATGAATAAGGATTGACTTCTTGCCACATTCTAGGAGCGCAAATGGGTAAACAGGAGATATTACGATTATTAATCACTGCATTCATCAGAGAGGCACCAAGTGAGTCCTTGATCCTGAAGGGATTTCGTTAGTTGAGTTCAGATTGAAATCCACAGAGCCAAAGTTTTGCATCTACTCTTCATTGCAAAGAATCCGTTGAGGTTCATGGACTAATAACTCATCCCTTTTGGCTTTGGAGACAAAGGTGGAATGAGAACGAAAACTAGAATGTTAAATATCCACCTTCACAAATAGGAAGCAGAGACTTTTGATCTCTACCCTCAGACAAAACGATTACTCTTTAAGTATGTTTCTGAATTGAGAGTTTTTTCGGACCTGGTGGAGCTAGATTCCTTGTTGGCAAAAATGGCTAGGAAAGGAATCTTACAAGCTGGAAAAAGTGCTCATGGAATCTGTTATATTGATCCTAATTATCAAATGGTGTAAATGCTATATGCATTTGTAGGCCATAATATGTAATCTGTATATTGTGTAATATATATACAATTGTCATCCCAAGAAAGAATAAAATGTAAAAATATTTTTGAAAATAATGGTACAAAATCCCCAAATATGGTGAAAGAATTAAAGATTCAAGATGCTTAGTGAACTCCTAGCAGGATAAATATAAAAGAACCCATGGCTAGTCACATACAAGTCACCAAACATGGAAAATCAAAGATAAGGAGATACTCTTGAAAGCAGAGAAAAGAGAAAACAGATATGAAATATAAACAATTACAACATCAGATAGAGCGAAGAATTTTAGATAAAATGGGGTCTCAAATTATAATATAAGTAATACAAAGAATTATTACCAGGACCTATATCCATGCTTGATGTGAAGCTTTGTCATGTAATAAATGCTTACTATATGCAAACTGTTACATGGGGATTTTCTTAACAATTATATGAGATAATGCATACATTATATTCCCCTTTTCCAGATGTGTAAAAATAAATTAAATTATGTCCTGCATTTGTTACTTTCTACTTGTGTGATTTTTTTCTGGGGTTGTGGGGGTGAGGGTTAGAGATGCCATCTTACTGTGTTGCCGAGACTGGATTCCAACTTCAATGATCTTCTCACACTAGCCTCCTGAGTAGATAGGACCTCAGGCACATACCACCATGCCATGCCCAGCTCTATTTGTGTGATCTTTACCAAGTTACCATTTGTCTCACTGCAAAGCCCATACTCTAACAATTATCCCATCCTACTCATACCCTCTGGGACCTGCTCCTGAGGAGCTGTGTGCCTATGAGAGGCGACCATGTAAAAAGAGGCTGTTGGCCGGGCATGGTGGCTCACGCCTGTAATCCCAGCAATTTGGGAGGCCCAGGTGGGTGGATTGCTTTAGGCCAGGAGTTTGAGACCAGCCTGACCAACATGGCAAACCCCATCTCTACTAAAAATACAAAAATTACCTGGGTGTGGTGGTGCGCACCTGTAATCCTAGCTACTTAGGAGACTGAGGCAGGAGAATCGCTTGAACCTGGGAGGTGGAGGATGCAGTGAGCCAAGATCATGCCACTGCACTCTAGCCTGGCAACAGAGCGAGACTCGGTCTCAAAAAAAAAAAAAAAGAGGCTGTGGTACAAATATTTATAAAGCACATGCTCCCCCTTAATAAAAAGGGTTTTAAAGTGAAGTTGCCTTGTCCTCCCTGATTTGGGTGCTCAAAGGTAAAGTAATGCCTCATCTTGTGTGGCAGGTCCTGCTGCGAGCCCCACACATGGATTAGTTTATTGAATCCTCATGAAACTCCTACCATGAAGGTCCTATAAAACTTAGGCATGGAGGTTAAGCAACTTATCCAAAATGACACTGGTACCTTAGGATCCCAAAGTCCAAGTTTTGGACAGCTATGTCTGCTGCTTCCAGAGACTGAAGCACTGATAATACTTGTCTTGATGTCTAACGTAATACATACTGATACAAGGAAATTTCCCTTTCAGAAAAGCTCTAAGCAAAGAAACTCAATCCAAACCTTTGCTTTCTCTTCAAACCTGAGGCTGAAAGGAGAGGCCCTACTTTGGCTGGAGTTAACTACTCAACTGGGTGTCCTTACTTTCTGCTCAGAAGGTGAGTGCCATCTTCCAAAGCTAAAGTTGAACAGTCTTATGTTGGTAGTTTACATCTTCTGTAAAACTTAAGTTTGTATTCTTTGCTCAAGAGTGAATACCACTTACAAGTTTCCAGGAGCCAATTCCAGAGGACTATCACTTCAGGAGGTTTCCTCTCAGGACCAGTGGCTCCTGCCTCTACTGGGGCCAACAGTGTGGTGGATTACCCTGTGATCCTCAGCAGCTGTTAGCAGGTGGTCAGGTGCCCCCATGCTCAGGAGAAAGGAGGCTGCAACAAGGACCTCTTCTTTCCAAATTCTAGGGCTTCAATAGGCAAGAATGAACCTAGCAATAAATAACACATCTAAAAGAAGGCTAACACATCTAAAAGGTGAATAACCATCTAAAAGAGACAACCAATGTTGCTCAAGAAATATCTGCACAAGAACAAATGATAAGAATTTGCCAAGTGTAAATTGCTACACCAGTAATCAGTAAATGAATGAGACCAAACAAAAGTGAGTCCAGCTGGAATATTTTCCTAAGAGGCTGATGCCTTTCCTTCCACCAAAGTCGTATATGCTATATATACGATGGAAAAACAACTGTTCCAAAACATCTACTAAACTGACATTGTTGAGTTTTATATTTTATTGGAAAAATACTGTGACCTAAATGTCACATGGTCCATCCAGCACTTCCCAGTGTTGACTGTTGACTCCTGCTACCAGCTCATCCCTCATCCACTACAGAACTTTCACCAACACGTCACCTCCAATCATTTCAGTCTCTCATGTTATCGCACCACAGCAACCTACAAGACAAACTCCAAAGCTGCAAACTTTACAGGCAAACAACAACTTAAGTGTGTTCTTCTTTGAGAAAAGGAACTGAATATTTTTTTTCCTTCTAGCTAATGGATTTCACCATCATCTCACTTTAGGCCATCAAAGATTTTAAAGAAGGAAGGATAGGGTATGACTAGAACTGCATGTTGGACAGTGAAGGCAATGTCTAAGTTCATATTGCGGCTCTCCGTTCTCATATTATTGGAACTTAATAGGGGTTTACCATGTTTATTAAATGGATGATTGATGACTATTGAATTAATATGATTCATTGGAGCAAGTATTTGTTGGACACCTGATAGGTATGTAAGGTGATCCCTAACTCATGATTAACAGGTTTCCTAGTACCTTTTAAATTGTTGGTGTGTGTTCCAACACTTTCCAGAAAGTTTTATTGGTGGCAATACTCTACAGTCCAATTCTTCCAAGAAGCCACTTTAATACTGGAGCCAAAGACATTTCTTAAAGAAAATTCCTGAATGATCTTCTGAACTCCACAGATGTCTCTACTATATTATCACTGATGGGTGAAACTTTATTTTTAATTGAAAAATTTTATATCAACTACTCTGTATTAAAATACATTTCCTGTAGATATTAAGTAATGTAAATGTGAAACATATAACTACTCAAATCATAGTGAGAACAGAGATCAGAGAAATGACTTGCTGATTCAAATATTTCTTCATGATCTGATAGAAGAAAATGCTCGATATTACTTACTCAGTTGAATAAAAGCATTCAACCTTAAATCCTCATCTTACATAACTCAAACAGAACAAGAATTCCTTTATCTGCCAAGTGAATCCAATATCATTACTCACTTCAACTCCGAACAAGTAGATAGTGTTTGGAGTTGATATTGTGGGCTAATACATGCCCCAAACCCCAACAAGTAGATTTTAATGGGAATATTTTTCCAATAAGAGCTAATAAACATATATGCCCTTACATAAAGTGTACACACAAAAATAGGTGTCGAAAATAAGATGACAGAGTAAAGCATAAATTCAGTCTGCATATCAAGGACTAAGCTCCACAGTGCTCGCCTTTTTTCGATTTAAAAAAATATATAAATATTCGAAAATATTTTAAAGTTCATTGTTACATGCATTGCTGTGCGGCTTCCCTATGTAACCCGGGTAAGGAATTTCCTCGCTAATTCATCACAACCTAAGCGGAATGGCAGACAGGTGAGGCGTATTGAGCATGGCCAAGGGTGGCCGGGCCCCACAGGATCCGTGCGAAATCCGGAACCTCGCTGGCGATCTGGGTTTTTTGCGCGTGGGAGTAAACGTTTCCCAAGTCCCTCACACTCTGGGCTGCTAGTGAGGTTCTGCCAGAATTCCTTAGGCCGCCGCCCACTCCCCTTTCTCTGAACGTCACTAATTTCCTGGAAATAATTCCAGGCACGCATCGCTCCATTAAAGTTAATGAAGCACGTGTCCGTGACAGCAGCCAGCGCCAGCGCCCGCGGGAGAGCCCCGCGCGCGCTTCCCGGGAAAGAGCTCCTCTGCAAGCTCTGGCCCAGGGGGGTCTGATTGTGAAAGGGGGAGGGGCTCTGCCTCCCAACGCCGACCTCTTCTCCCGAAAGCCTCGCAATCATGGGAAACAGCTGCACCTGCCAGCCCAGCCGCAAAGCAGGGTAGGATCTCCAGCCCCAGGGTGGCCGGCGGGAGCGGATGCACGGGCAGAGCCCTGCTGCTGGCCGCGGGTCTACAAAACAGCACACGTTCTCTCAACCCCCGCGATCCGCCAACCATCCTCAGTCACCGACCCCTGCAAGGCATGCAGACGCACCAGCGGCTGCTCACACTCCCTCCACAAACCTGCCGGAGTCTCCACTCTCCGGCCAACTGTAGCCTCCATCTGCGCCCCACGCCCCCGCACAAGCCCCCTCCGTCGCTGGTCCCTTACCTTGTGGCCTTTCCCCGGGGGACACCTGACGCTATTGGAGACTCCTGCGGTTTGATTCATGTCCAGAGGAAGTTGAGGGGCCCAGATTCTCTACCTTCAAAACTTCCTAGGCGCGTGGAGGGTGGCGACAGAGGTGCGCGCCTCGGGGGAGACGCGAGGTGGGTCCTCCTTCTGCAGCCGAGTCTGGGCGAGCGCGAGGGGAGCCTCCACGCTGCAGGCTTCTGTGCAGGGGCGGTAAAATCCGCAGCCCAGAGCTGGAGAAGGAGAAGCAGCTGCTGGGACCCCGGAGGGAAGCCGGGCCGGCGCCAGCGGCTCCGAGGGCGCTCTGCCCAGTGCTGCCTCCCCGGGAAACAGTTCAGGACGCTCAAGACCAGAAGCGGGAGCAAACCCAAAAGGAGCTCCAAGGAGGTGTGTGTGGGGAGAGCCAGGGGGACGCAGGACTAGGCTCTTTCCTGCGCAAGGGGTGGGGAAACCCGCGAAAGCCAGGGAGTCGCGCGCACTCACGCCCTCGCGCCACCAGGCAGAGCCACCGCTGCAAGGAGCCCACGGGTGCGCGCTCGCTCCAGGGCGGATCTTTCCACACCCCCCTCACCCTCAAAAGCTCAGGCTGGAGCGGTCATCAGTGCGGACTCCGGCACCCCACCCACCCAGCAGGGGTTAAGGAGGGACTGGCGCCCACTCTTGCCTACAGCTCCTGCGCAGGGCTCCAGCCGCCAAATCTTCCCGGGATGGTCGGGAGGTGGCATAAGAGGTTTTGCCAGGAACCACTGCACAGGCGAAAGAGAGACAGTGGAGTGGGCGGAGGAGGAGCTGGGACGGCACCCGGGCTCGTTAGCACAGGCTGCACGAGCTACAGCTGAGGGATGCGAGCGCTCTGTCAATTGGGCAGGCGCTGCGCGCGGAGGCCCGGTCGGTGCCATTGGTTGGCGGCCCAATTGGCTTGACCAGGGCGGTATTTGGGGAAGGGCAACAGAGTACATCCATTCCTTTCTGCAATAGAAGTCTCTGCAGCTTCCCAAGAGTTTTTCTTTCTTTCTTTCTTTTTCTTTTGGCACCTGTGAAGTCATGATCTAATTAGTCGGCATTTAGACACAGGTGAAAAGAAATTGACCCCAGGGAACCAGGAAAAATCAGTCAAAAAAGAGCAGCTGCTTCATGAAGACTGCATTGCAACATTCTAGGATCACAAGTCTGAACAGGGGACCAAGGGCACGTTAGAATACAGCCATATTATTTGACAAAATGTTAAATTTTATCCAGGCAGATATAGTTGAGTTTGAATATTCTGAATGGGAATCAAACCACATAATTTGGTTTCTATTTCACCATCCCAAAATCTTGGTTTTAGCCTGTATAAATTGAAGGAAGAAGTTAGACTAATTTATGAGGACCAGAGCTGAACTTTCTTCCTCAAGTGCGTTGGCTTGGTAACAGAAGTACATCCCCTTGGCCGGGCACGGTGGCTCATGCCTGTAATCCCAGCACTTTGGGAAGCCGAGGAGGGCAGATCATGAGGTCAGGAGATCGAGACCATCCTGGCTAACACAGTGAAACCCCGTCTCTACTAAAAATACAAAAACAAAATTAGCCAGGCGTGGTGGCGGGTGCCGGTAGTCCTAGCTACTCGGGAGGCTGAGGCGAGAGAATGGCGTGAACCCGGGAGGCGGAGCTTGCAGTGAGCCGAGATGGCACCACTGCACTCCAGCCTGGGCGACAGAGAGAGACTCCGTCTCCAAAAAAAAAAAAAAAAAAAAAAGTACATCCCCTTACATTGTCCATTTAAAAGTAAAAGGGAGATTTATTTTAGTTCTTCCGTTATTTGCTGATATTCATGGTCATTTCTTTAATGTTCCCAATTCCAAGTTGGAATAATCACCATTTTGTAAAACAAATTATTGTGTTTGGTTGCTTTTGGCTGCTGAAGACATTCAAAAGTCACTCCTGAGATGAATATGAAGGCTCAGCTTGGAGATCAGCGTAATGCAGAGCTTGGCTGTAGATGCAGATGCTGGTTGGAATCTTGGCTTTGCCACCTCCTAGTGCACATCCTTGGGCAAATTATTTCTCTCATTTATTCTTACATTTGTAAGGTCGGTGTTATAGCTGCACCTTTCCACGTGAGGAAACTGAGGCTCAGAAATACTAATGTGCAGCAGGTGCTTCGCATAGTAGTAGGTGTTCATCAGCTGTTACTACCAACTACCTGCAACAATTGCTAGCACTTCACATTAATTTACAGACACTATTGCTCAATTCCAATTTTCTGGCTAACAACTACTCATGCATTTATCTGTGATTACTTGTGTATTTTCCTTCTCCCACTTTGACTGTGAGCTCCATTATAGTAGAAGAGAGGGCCCTTGAGATGGATTGAAGGGAGCAGGCTGAGCAGTGGCCCTGAGAGGAGCTCATCATGATCTCGAGCTTGATGACTCACCCTCGCGTTAGGAAAGACATTTCATTAATCAAGCTTGAACACTTTGCACAGAAAAAGATAAGAAACATGCTATTGATGTCTAATTGATTTTATGTCACTTATGTGACAATATGTTTGACTTTGATGTAATCAGTTATGATTTAGTAAAATAACAGCAATTTTTTCTTCCATGGCACGAATAGTTTTCTTCCTGAAATTTCCTGCATTGTGAATTTGGGGTTTCACTATGTTTTCCTTTGCTTTCTTTTATGCCATCTCCTTTTTTAAAAAAAATTGTGGTATAATGTATAGTAAAATGAACAGATCAGTTTTGACAGTTATGTATATTTGTATAATCCATACCCCTGTTAAGACAGGTAACATTGCCATCACCCCCCAAAGGATGTTTCTTCACAATAAACTACCCCCATAATCAACAACTGTTTGGATTTTTTCACCATAGACTAGCTTTGCTTATTCTAGAATTTCAAATAAATGAAGTCATGCATTATGAACTCCCTCACTGAATGCAATGTTTATGAGGTCCATCATGTTTTTGCATGTCTCAGCAGTTCATTTTTTATTGTTAAATAATATTCTATTGTATGGATGTACCATTATTAATTTATCCATTCTCTTACAAATGATTACATGTGTTAATTCTAGTTTTTGACTATTTATGGATCAAGCTGCTTTAAATGTTCATGTACAGGGTTTTTCTTTGTGAACTCACACTTTCATTTATCATGTATTGATATGTGGAAGTGGAATTATTAGATCCTAAGGTAGATGCAGGGTTGTTTTTTTGTTTGTTTGTTTGTTTGTTTTTAGAAACTGCCAAATCATTTCCCAAGACGTTAGTACAATTTTTAAACTCCTTAGGTATCTATTATTGCATAGCAAATAGAGATGCTACTTGACTTACAATGGAGTTACAACATGATAAACCCATCATAAGTCCAGATGTTCCTGAACTAACGAGTTACAGCATGATAAATCCATTATAAAGTCAAAAAATTGTAAATCAAAGTACAATAAGTTGGGGACCATCCATAATTTGAAAACATGAAGGTTTTAAACAAAGCACATCTATTGTCTCAGTTTCTGAGGATCTTGAATCCAGGCATGGCTTAGCTCTGTCCTCTGCTTCAGGGTATCTCACTAGATAGCAATGAATTTTTCATCTGGGGCTGTAGTCTCATCAGAAGGCTCTACTAGGGAAGGATCTGCTTCTAAGTTAACTCGTGTGGCTCTTGGCAGAATTCAGTTCCTCAAAGGCCTCTAGAGCGAGGGCTGCCGTTCTTTCTTGCCACTGGTCAGAGGATACTTTCATTTTCTTGCCATGTGAGTGTCACCAGCCAGTGTCATCAGGGCAAGTACTCAAGAAGAGCCAGAGAGTACAAGCAAGATGGAAATCACAATCATGTATAACCTGATCTTGGAAGTGACAGTTCACCACTTATGCTTTATTCAATTGATTAGATGCAAGTCACTAGGTTCATCCCACACTCAAGTGGAGGAGATTTTGCAAGAATGTGAATGCCAGGTGGATGGGATTGTTGGAAGCCTTGTCAGGAGCAGCCTTCCACAATCAGCCCTCTGGCCTCCAATGATTTGTGTTTCTCCCCATGTGAAATACACTCACTTTCTTTCAAGATCGCCAAAAGTCATTCCATTACAGCATCAGCTCAAAGTCTAGAATTCTATCATCAGAAACAGTTTCATGTGTGAAGGAGGCTCCTCGGGTGTACTTCCTGTGTATAGCTTTCCTCCATGTTTAGATATGTAAAAGTTAAGAGATAAGATAGTTTCTCACATGTATTCAACATACAATGGTGGGATGGACATTAGATAACAGGTGTAGGCACACCTGTTCCATAAAGAGAGAACTGGAGGCACAAAGGATTTGCTGCTCTAAAGCAATTCTGAAATCCAGCCAGGCAAAGGTTGGGATTTCCTGGCCTGAGGGAGTATTTGTCAAGTTTCTCCACAGTAAAATTACTATTATCCTTTCTCATTTGCATACTGTACTCTTTGTAAGGAGGCGTCTACATGCAGCCTACACTGAAGGAGTGAGGAGTGGTGTTCCACCTCCTTGAGGGCAGAGCGTTTGCATACATTTTTAACATTCTGCTCTACGGGAGATCTGTCTCTTCTCACCCATTCATTTATTTATTATTTAACTATAAAGCATGGGTTTATGAATATTTGTATGATATTTTGGGTTATAATTCAATACTACTCTTATTTATTTTTGCTCACATTATGCCAGCTTTGGCCACTGGGTGATCTTCAGTGGCTCTGTGCACCTTTGGCCACACCCCCATTAGTGTGTGTGTGTGTGTGTGTGTGTGTGTGTGTGTGTGTGTGCGCCTGCACGAGCATGCGATTGGAATATTTCCTTTATGGCACTACAAGGTGCCTCAGGCTCATCTTGTACATTTCCTGTCACTAGAATCAGCCACTTCTCCAAGGAGCCCTGGTTATTTTTATTAGACAATGGTATTAGAAACGAATGTCTGGGCATTACTAGTGCTCATTGCTACTGTGATACTGTTTCTGAGTCCTCTAGCTGACAGAGAATGGTAATGTATTTGTATATACTAATCCAGGTCATACACAAATATCTATAAATATTTCTATATTTAACAGTGTATGTCTATATTCAGCCAAATATTAATTCATACTAATGTCTACAACTCTAATCCGTTGCCACACGAATCATTCCAGCCCTTTTCCCTTACTTATCTGTAAATGCCCACTCCAACAGTGGTAAATCTGGCTCCTGCCTTCCACCAACCATCCAATTCGTTGTTCAGTTCTACTCTATAGGTACAGTGGTATCAGAACGTTTAACCTGTAGCCAGTGGGAAACAGTGTTATTAACTAGAATGCAGTGGCAGTGCTGTGTACAGTTTCTTTTCACTGTGTCTTACAGACTCATTTCCAAAGTTGCTTATGTCAGCACCTTTTTCCCTCCCTCTTCAGTGAGGTTGTGTAATGCATTTTTAATAAAGTTGGTTTTGTCACATTCTGCATTCCATTCTAGGATTCCCTGGCCTCCTAAATACTATTTTAAATTTACATACATTAAGATTTACTTTTTATCCTCAGTGTAATGCATCCACATTGTGTCATACAAAATAGTTTCACCACCCTAAAAGTTCTGAGCTTCACCTATTCACTCCCCAACCCCTGAAAATGGTGATTTTTATGATCACTGTTTTTGCCATTTTCAGAATGTCATATAATGGAAATCATACAGTATGCAGTCTTTTCAGATGGGCTTCCTTCAATTAACAACATGCATTTAAGATTCATCCATCTATTTTCTGGCTTAATAGCTCATTTCCTTTTATTACTAAACAATATTTCATTCTATGGCTACACCACACTTTCCTTATCCATTCACATATTGTAGAACATCTTGGTTACTTCTAGTTTTTATTGATTGTGAATCAGCCTTCTGTAAACTTTTGCATGCAGATTTTTTGTGTGGATGTAAGGTTTCAACTCCTTTGGGTAGATATCTAGGAAAGTGATTGCTGGATCATATGGTGAAAGTATGTTTAGCTTTTTAAGAAACCATGAAACTGCCTTCCAAAGTTGACCATGTCATTTTGCCTTCCCATAAACAATGAGTGAGAGCTCCTATTGCTCTGCTTCCTCCCCAGTCGTTGGTATCTCCAGCTTGTTTTTGCGTTTTCGCCTTTCTAATTAGTGTGTAATAGTACCTCATTGCTGTTTTGTTGTTGTTGTTTGTTTGTTTGTTTTGAGATGGAGTTTTGCTCTTGTCAACTAGACTGGAGTGCAGTGGTACAATCTCAGCTCACTGCAACCTCTGCCTCTTGGGTTCAAGCGATTCTCCTGCCTTAGCCTCCTGAGTAGCTGGGGCTACAGGCATGCACCACCATGTCCGGCTAATTGTTTGTATTTTTAGTAGAGACAGGATTTCACCATGTTGGCCAGGCTGGTCTCGAACTCCTGACCTCAAGTGATCCATCTGCCTTGGCCTCCCAAAATGCTGGGATTACAGGCGTGAACCACCAGGCCCCGCCTCATTGCCGTTTTAATTTGAAAATCCCTAGTCACCAATGATGTTCAGCAAATCTTCTTATGTTTATTTACCATCTGTGTATCTGCTTTGGTGAGGTGTCTGTTCAGATATTTTGTCGATTTTATATTGGAGTTGTTTTCTTATTGTTGAGTTTTAAGAGCTGTTTATTAAATATATATTTGGGGTACAAGTAATTAAGCAAATTTGTATTTTGCAAATATTTTCTGGTCTGTGGCTTATCTTTCGATTCTTCCCCTTGCTTTTATTTAAATTAGCCAATTGTGTATATTTATGGGTTAAAATGTGATGTTTTGACCTACATATATATACATTGTAGAAAGATTTAATCAAGCTAATTAACACATTCATCATCTCACCAACTTAACATTGTGTGTGTGTGTTGAGAATGTTAAAAATCTATTCTTTTAGTGATTTTGAAATATGCAACATGTTATTATCAGGTGTGGCCATCATGCAGTGCAATAGATCACTTAAATTTATTTCTCCAGTCTAAGGGAGACTTGGTACCCTTTGATCCATATCTTCTCCTTTCCCATTTCTCTCCTTCGTTTTTAGCCCCAGTAACTACCTTTTTTCGTTCTGTTTCTATGAGATCAATTTCTTTTAGATTCCACATATAAATGAGATTATACAATATTTGTTTTTTGGTACCTGGCTTATTTCACTTAGCATAATGTCCTCCAGCTCCATCCATGATTCTTTTAAAAGTATCTTTCACAGAGTAGATGTTTTTAATTTTAAAATATTGTACAACGTATGAATTTTTTCTTTCATGGATCATGATTTTGCTGTTCTATCAAAAACTTTATCACAAAACCCTAGATTTTCTCTTATGTTTACTTCTAGAAGTTTTATCATTTTGTATTTTATAATTAGGGCCCTGATAAGTTTTCAGTTAATTTTCGTGAAAGGTATAAGGTTTGTGTCTGGGGTTTTTTTTTTTTTTGGTACATGTGTGTCCAATTATTCCAGCCCCATTTTTGAAAAGACTTTTTTTTTTCATTGACTTGCCTTTGTTCCTTTGTTAAAGATCAGCAGACTCTGCATAGATTAATTTCTGGGCTCTCAATTCTGTTTCATTGACCTATCTACCTATTCTTTTAAATACATGCTGTCTTGATTATTATAGCTTTATAGTGAGTCTTGAAATTTGGTAATAAAAGGGCTCAACTTTGTTCTTCTTCAGTAGTGTATTGACTATTCTAGGCCAATTCTAGGAAGGTCTTTGTCCTTCCCTTATATTTTAGCTTCTGTTTGTTGATATCTACAAAAGGACTTGCAGAGATTTGGATTGTAATTCCAGTAAATCTGTAGACAAAGTCTGGGATAATTGACATCTTAATATTATTGAGTGTTCCCATTCATGAACATGGACTATCATTCTCGATATTGAGCTTTACTTTGATTTCTTTCACCTGAGTTTTATAGTTTTCTGCACATAGTTCCTGTTCACATTTTTCCATATGTATGCCTAGTTATTTTATTTTTGGTGATACCGCAAGTGGTGTTATGTTATTAATTTCACATCCTAATGTCTTATTTCTGGTATATAGAAAAACAATAGACATTTCTATATTGTGGTAGGGTTAATTATAGCCCCTCAAAAGAAACTCACATACTAATCCTTGGAATCCGTTGCTATGTTATCTTTTATGACAAAAGGGACTTTCCCGATATAATTACATTAAGAATCTTGAGATAGGGAGATTATTTGGGGTTATCTGGGTGTACCCAATGTAATTACAAGGGTCTACATAAGAGGAAGGCAAGAGAGCAAAATCAGAGCTGCTGATGTCATAAAGCTATGCTGATCATTTGATGATGAAGAGAGGGGCCATGAACCAAGGAATACAGGTGGCCTCTAGAAGTTGGCAAAAGCAGTGGAAAGGAACCTTGCTGACCCTGGCTTTGGTTCAGGCAGACTGTATTTGGGCTTCTGACTTCTGTAACTGTAACAATGAATTCATTCTGTTTTAAAACACTAGTCCTATGGTAGTTTACTACAGCAACAATAAAAAAATTTAAAAATACATAGTAACATACAAATTATGCAAACATATAATAATACAAAATTTATGTATAATACTATATATAGTAACAATACAAATACAAATATTTGTATATATATAGAGAGAGAGACAGTGTGTATCCTGTAACTTTGCTATACTACTATATGTATAGTAATGGTGCAAATTATACATATAGTAACAATACAAATTATGTATTCATATAATACTATATACACATGATTGTGTATCCTGTAAATTTGTTATACTACAAATTATTTTCAGAATGCCCATTTTGTTGACTTTTTCAAAGTAGAATCTTTGGAACTTTCTTGATAGACAGTCATGTTATCTGCTTAAAAAAAGACAGTTTTTATTCTTCCTTCCAATCTGTTATATATTTGTTCATTTTCCTGTTTTATTGCACAAGCTAGAAATTCCTGTATGATGTTGAATAGGAGTGGTGAGAAGAAGCAACTTGTCTTGCTCTTTGTCTTAAAGGGAAAGCATCCAGTGTCTGGCCATTAGCTGTCATGTTAGCTGTAGGTTTTTGTAGATGTTCTTTACCAATTTGTGGAAGTCCCCCTCTATTCCTAATTTTCTGAAAGTTTTTATCATTAATGGGTGCTGGTTTTTATCAAATGCTTTCTCCACATCTATTGGTATGATGATATATTTTGTTTTCTCTAACTTGTTGATGTAGCGTATTAGAGTGAATCTTTTTTTATTTTTGAGATTGAGTTTCACTCTGTCACCCAGGCTGGAGTGCAGTGGTGAGATCTCAGCTCACTGCAACCTCCGCCTCCCACGTTCAAACAATTCTCCTGACTCAGCCTCCTGAGTAGCTGGTACTACAGGCGCGCACCACCACACACAGCTAATTTTTTTTTTTTTTTTGTATTTTTAGTAGAGACAGGGTTTCACCATGTTGGCCAGGCTGGTCTCAAACTCCAACCTCAGGTAATCTACCTGCCTCAGCCTCCCAAAGTGCTGGGATAACAGGCGTGAGCCACTATGCCCAGCCTTAGAGTAATTAATTTTTAAATGTTAAACCAGTCATACATTCCTAGAATAAATTCCACTTGCTGCTCTTTCTGTTTTTATTATCTGGAAGATATTATAGAGGATTTGGTTGAGTCTTTTTAAAATACTTGGCAGAATTTTCTAATGAGGCCGGGCATGGTGGCTGACGCCTATAATCCCAGCACTTTGGGAGGCTGAGGCGGGTGGATCACTTGAGGTCAGGAGTTCGAGACCAGCCTGACCAACATGGCAAAACCCGGTCTCTACTAAAAATACAAAAATAAGCCAGGAGTGATGATGGGTGCCTATAATCTCAGCTACTCGGGAGGCTGAGGCAGGAGAATCACTTGAACCTGGGAGGCGGAGCTTGCAGTGAGCTGTGATTGTACCATTGCACTCCAGTCTGGGTCACAGGACAAGACTCCATCTCAAAAAAAAGAAAAAAAAAAGAAACAAAAACAAAATTTCTAATGAAACCATTTGGGCCTGCTGTTTTCTTTTTGGAAGGTTATTAGTTATGTTCAGTGTCTTTAATACAAATACACCTGTCAAGATAATCCATTTCTTCTTGTACAAGTTGGTCTATTTCATGGAATTGGTGCATTTCATCTAAGCCAGAGGTCCTCAACCCTTGAGCAATGGACAGGTACCAATCCATGGCCTGTTAGTAAAAGGGCCACACAGCAGGAGGTGAGTAGTGGGTGAGTGAGCATTACCGCCTGAGCTCCCCCTCCCATCAAATTCTCATAGGAGCGCAAGCCCTATTGTGAACTGCCTGCATGCAAGGGATCTAGGTTGCATGCTCCTTATAAGAACCTAACCAATGCATGATGATCTGAGGTGGAACAGTTTCATCCCAAAACCTTCCCACCGCACCACCTTCCTGTGCAGGGAAAAATTATCTTCCACAAAACCAGTCCCTAGTGTCAAAAATGCTGGGGACCAGTGATCTCAGCCATCAAATTTGTGGGCATGCAGAGTTGTTTCTAGTATTTTTGCATATTTCTTTTTATGTCCATAGCATCAGTAGCTATGACCCTGTTTTCATTTCTGATATTGTCAATTTGTAGTACATTTATTTTTTTCTTGGTTACCTTAACTAGAGATTTATCAATTAATTTTATTGATTTTTTAAAGAACAGCATTTCATTTCTTTGATTTTCTCAATTGTTTTCCTGTTTTAGATGTTATCAATTTCTGCTCTAATTTTTTTATGCTTTTCTTCTATAACTTCAAATAATCAACTTTGGATCTTTCTTCTTCTCTTATATATTCAGTAATACTATTAATTTCTGTCTAAGCACTGCTTTCATTGCATCCTACAAATTTTGATAAATTGCATTTTCATTTTTCTTTAATTCAAAATATTTATATTTCTCTTGAGCCTACTTATTTAGATCATGCGATATTTAGAATTGTGTTATTTAATCTCTGCTATAGGTTAAATGATTGTTGCCTCAAAATCTCACATTCAAATTTGATCCCAGTGTTGGAGATGGGGCTTCATGGGAGGCATTTGGGTCTTGGAGGTGGATCTCTCCTGAATAGAGTAATGCCCTCCCTTGGTGAGTGGATGAGCACGTTCTCACTCCATTTGTTCCCACAAAAGCTGGATGTTAAATAGAGCCTGACCCCTCCCTCTTCTCTCTCTTGCCTTCTCTCTCACCATGTGATCACTGAACATGCTGGCTGCCCTTCACCTTCTGCCATGAGTGGAAGCTTCCTGAAGGGCTCCAGGAAAATGGTGGCACGATGCATCTCGTATAGCCTATAGAACTGTGAGCCAAATAAACCTCTTTTCTTCATAAATTATCCAGCTTCATGTATTCTTTTATAGCTACACTAAACCAGTTAAGACAATCTCCAAATATTTGGGATTGTCTAGCTACTTTTCTGTTCCCGATTTCTAGTTTAATTCCACTGTGACCTGATAATATATTTCCTATAATTTTTATTGTTCTACATTTGTTCCTATGTGTTTTATGGCCCAGAATGTGACCTATCTTGCTGTATGTTCTATAGAAGCTTGGGAAGAACATATGTTATGCTGTTTGTAGGTAGTATTTTATTATATAAATGTCAATTATATCATATTGATTGATAGTGTTCCTCAAGTCAACTGTATTCACTGATTTTCTACCTGCTGAGCTATGAATTACTGAAAAAGAAGTTTGAAGTCTCCAACTGCAATGGTGAATTTGTATATTTCTCCCTTTAGTTCCATCAGCTTTTGCATCATTTTTAGGTGTTTTTGCTCTGTTGTTAGGTGAATAAATGTTTAAGATTGTTGTCTTTTTTGAGAATTGATCCCTTTATCGTTATGTAATGCACCTCTTTTCCCTTGTAATTTTTCTTGCTCTGCTATCTTCTTTGTTCACAGCTAATAAAGTTCTATGCAATTTTAAAAATTAGTGTTAACAAGATTTATATTTCTTAAAACCTTTACTTTTGACCTATGTCTGTATATTTCTAATGAGTTTCCTGTAGATTAAATATAGTTGGATTTTTTTACCACTATGAACACCTTTGTCTTCAAATTGGCTTCTTTACACCATTTAGATTTAAAATGACTATTGATATTATTAGGTTAATATCCACCATATTTAAACTGTTTTCTATTTGCTATAATTGTTCTTTATTTTTTACTTTTCCTACTTTTCTGCCTTTTCTGATTTTAATAGGACATTTTGCACAATTTTATCTTCTTTTTTAGCATATTAATTATACATATTTTAAAAATATTTTAAGGCCAGGCACAGTGACTCATGCCTATAATCCCAGCACTTTGGGAGGCTGAGGCAGGCGGATCACCTGAGGTCAGGAGTTCAAGGCCAGCCTAGCCAACATGGTGAAACCCCATCTCTATAAAAATACAAAAATTAGCCAGGCATGATGGCAGGTGCCTGTAATCCCAGCTACATGGGAGGCTGAGGCAGGAGAATCACTTGAACCCAGGAGGAGGAGCTTGCAGTGAGCCATGATCACATCACTGCACTCCAGCCTGGGTGACAGAGTGAGACTACAACTCAAAAAAAATATAAAAATAAAAATATTTTAATGGTAGCCTGAGTTTCCAACATACATTTTAAGTAATCTAACTCCACCTTTAAATGACACTATGCCACCATCATTGCTGTCATTCACTTCACTCATCATATGATACCATCATCGTATTATTACTTTAAATAGTTATTTTTAGATCAATTAAGAATAAGAAAAGAAAAAAAAGATTTTCTTTTACCTTTATTTATTCCTTCTTTGGCACTCTTCCTTTGTTACGCAGATTTGAGTTTCTGACCTTTATCACCTTCCTTTTCCGTGAGGAACTTCTTTTAATATTTTCTTACAGGGAAGGTCTGATGGTGATTATTTCCCTCAGCATTTGTCTGAGGAAGTCTTTATTTCTCAAGTTTGTATTTTTTTCTTTATTTTAGCATTTAAATACTTCACTCCAGTCTTCTTGCTTCTGTGTTTCTGATGGGAAGTCTAATTTAATTCTTGTCCTGTTTTGCTGTAAGTCAGGTTACTTTTTCTCTGACTCCTTTGAAGATTTTCTTTTTGTCTTTGGTTTTCTGAAGTTTGTGTATAATTGTTTTGGTATTTCTCCTGTTTACTGTTCTCTACTTCTTGACTTGTGATTTGCTGTGGTTAATTTGGGAAAATCCTCTGACAGTGTTACTTCAAATATTTCTTTAGTTTCTTGTTCTTGTTCTTCTCCTTCTGGTATTCCAAATAGATGTATATTATACTTTCGAAATTATTTCTGTTGACTTATCTTCAAGCTTACTCATTCTTTCCTCAAACTTGTTCTGTTGATGAAACTATTGAAGACATTCTTTATTTATGTCAGTGATTTTTATTATTTCTAGCATTTCCTTTTGATTGTTTCCTAGAGTTGCCATCACTCTTCTTACATTACACATCTATTTTTGCATGTTGACTATTTCCTCCATTAGAGTCTTTAAAATCTAAAACATAGTTATTTTAAATTCTCTATCTGATAATTTCCAAATTTGTGTCAAATCTGAGTCTGGTTCTGATGCTTGCTTTGTCTTTCTGACTTGCTTTTTCTTGCCTTTTGGGATACCTTAAAATTTTCCATTAAAACCCATACATAATGTATTGAATAGTAATCAGTGAGGCAAACAGGCCTTTAGTGAGCATTTTTTGTTGTTATTATTAATCTGGCTGGGAATCAAGCTATATATAATGTTTGCTGTAGATGTAGGTAGCGGTGGCTTCAAATTCCTCTAGTATCCTTATCTTGTCTCCACTCTTGACTTTGGGCATCCTTATATACGCCTCCACAGAGAGTCTGTGTTTTCTGGCTCTTTTAGGTGTAATCCACAGTTACATTGGAGCCCTGTTAGTGTGGTGAGAAGGTTGGCATAGGGGAAGTATTCTATACTCTTATGATTACATCACAGTCTTTTAGGGGGTCTATGTCCCTTACAAGCATTTCTTAGCTTTGCTTCTCCCCTTACAAGGAACAGGAAGGATATTGGTGTCCAGAGTAAGAAAAGTGACCTTCCCTCAAGTGGGATAAGTCTCTGCTAAAGGTTTTATCCCTCGCTGGAGGGTAGGTCTTTGTCATGGAGAATATTCTGGGTATATTTCACAATAACTTCTCTTCCATGCGCCCCACATGACCATGATGGCATTTTCTCAACTCTTTACTGTGAGAGCTTGGTGGGGCTTCTGGAGGTAAAATCCACAACTGTGTGGGATTCCAAGAGTGTGACCCCAGGAGTTTATCACTCTCACGCGACTCCACACTAGTGCTCCGGAAAATCATAAGCATTGCCACTGAAGTGCTACCAAGAGTTTGTTTCTAGTGGTTTCTGCACCAGGTAAACAGATCTCAGCTGTGACTCCCCTAATTCATCTATCTTTGCAGATTTCTGGGTGGCTGTTTGCTGTAGGAACTTCATTCTCATTTGGATACATGAATTGTCACTGATTTTCAGTTCACTCAGGTTCTTCTTGTGGTAAGAGTGGAAGCAATGACTTTTAAGAACTTTACACATTGGAGTTAAAGCCAGATGTCCTTAATGTATCTTTTTTTGACCTTATGCTCTCCTGTTTTATTCTTCCCTCACTTTATGGCTCTTCTATCATGCTATAAGCAGCAAGAGAAAAATAGTATCTTCCCCACTGCCTGGAAATCTCCTTAGCCATGTAGCCAAGTCTATCAGGTATATCTTCTGTTTTCAGCATAACTGCAGACCACATTAGCACTAGGCTTTTGCCATATCATAATAAACATCTCTCTTCCAATGAGATCACAGAGAGCCATCTCAGAATCAGCCTACTATAACTCCCTTCACTATTTTATATGATTAATACGAAGGCCAGTAAATTCAGTGTCATGTGGCCAGCTTTACTAATAGATCATATTGTTGATAGTAAAATCTGTAGCTTACAGATATGATTGTATTCATTAGAGATCCATTTTTCATCCTGGATGATCAAGACAACACAATAGATTACAAAACGTTAGGCTTCAAGAAACAAAGTACAAGGGAGGTGAGGGGTCCTCAACATTTCTCCTTTCCTCCATCGCTGCCCATTCCCAGGCTCTCTCCCACAGCTCACTCTCCTTCTGGACACCTGTGAGTTCTGTCCTCGCTTCTCCGCAATGTAGCTGTTGCTTTCAACACCCCCAAGCATCTTTGCTATGGCTCTTAAGCTGAAACAAACGCAGACCACCCCAAGCCTCATGTGACAGAGGAATCCTCAAAGCTGAAATCTGGACAAGTCTAAACTTTCAACTTCCTTTCCTAACAGGAATAAGGAAATCAGTATATAGAACAAGTTGAATATGACTTAGGATTTACAAAATGTAATGCAGCCTCACGTCGTTGGGTTCATTTGGCTACCAATTTAGCTTGCTTGACAACTACACATGTTGCTTTTAAAAAATTTCATTAGGAATGTAAAAACACGCAAGTCAATATCTGAGAAAAGAATGGATATCTGAGAATAGCATTTGGGTTTCTGCTAACTTGCTCTGATGAATAAGCTGTAAGTCACTGTTATGCCAACAATTCTGTGAGTTTTTAAATTAAATTTCGGTGACAATTTCATGTTTCTCATAGTAAAATTTTAAGTTCGCTGCTTTTACTATCTTTCAGTAGTCCATTCTTTACACCAACTAAGCAGGCTGCAAGGCACTAAAAATGAACTTACCTTTTGTGCATTATATTTTTACTGGTTAAACTTTCTATCCATCTTTCAGAAGAGTGGGAAAGTTTAAGTTTAGCTACTTGCTATGC
The DNA here is from genome assembly GCF_000001405.40 of Homo sapiens. NCBI lineage: Eukaryota > Metazoa > Chordata > Mammalia > Primates > Hominidae > Homo > Homo sapiens. Next base: position 153,733,210 of record NC_000007.14, on the reverse strand, counting down.
AAACTCATATCCAGCCTTTACAGCAGAGGGAGGCCGAAGCAATAACTGGGGACATTTTTAATGCAACTAAAATGCTGCTGTCTCACATTTAACCCTGTATCCGGGAGAAGCATGAATTGAATTTATTGTAGATCATTCTTTCTCATCAATCTAGAGGCAGGACTGAGAGAAAAGTATCCATGATAATGAAGGTTTTCCTATGATGAACACCTAACACTTCCACAATTAAGTTAGTATTAGCATTCATCAATATTTTCTGAATGCATTTTGAGCTTTCAATAGAGGTGATGTTTCTGCCCAACACTCATACCAAGTACATAATTGACACCTTGGCATCTAGGGCAATTCTGGAATGTCCTGAACCCAATAATGTCATGAACCAATTGCCAGTAACTCTAGATACATACTGCAAAAGTGCTACATTCCTGGGACCTATGATTGATAGTTGTATATTTGTAGGCACATCATGTAAAGTAAGTAAATGCAAGTAAATCCAGTTGAACTTGGAATTTTGGTTGCTTTGGCACTTTCTGCCGCTATGAAAGACCATTGATTACATAACCCCAGGCTAGCTGTGAAATAGTTCAAGATTGCCTTTGGCAAACAATTCCCACCAATCAGAAGACTGTTCTACATATCTTCTTCTGTGGAGACCTATACCATCATACCCACTATCTGCCCCTGGAGTGTACTCCGTGAAAGCTCGCTAGGCTTCCTAGGGCTTATTGGAATGCTAGCTCTGCTGTGTTTTAAAAATTTAATCGTCCTGTGCTTTGTTTCCTACCTTCCAGTCTATTAGGTCTTTCCTGTTGATATTCTTTCCTAATTATTTAGCTTTTAGATAGTCTTTTCAATGCATCTCATAAAGAAAGAGAAAAGGGCTATTAAAGCCTTGCAGTGGGCAGTGATAGGAATAAATGTAACTCTTTGGCAGGAGGCTGTCCTAAGATTTCTGCACTACTTTGAAAAAGTCAACAGCCAGGGGTAGGTGAAGCCCATAGTATTTTTACTGTTAAAACATCTACACATAACTAATCCTGACTGTGCTCTGTCTTTGGAAGATTATTCCAAATGGCATTGATGCTGGAGGAAGAACTGCGGAGAGGGACCATATGGACCTCCATTGACATTGCCACCATCTTTCCCATGCATTGCAGCAGACTCTGTTGGGGTCCTGCCCATATCCTCTTGGCACTGGCTGTATCTGTGCCCACCAGCCTGACTTTCAATTGCAAGCACCTACGTTAGCTGCCTGAGGGCTTTTGCTGCAGCCTGTCTGGGTGTATGGCAGCCTGGGGGTTTCATGGAATGTTTGTCCCCACCCACAGCCCTAGAGAACTCACCAGTGGGACTTGGCAGATAAATACCCCAGCCCTCAACCCTAAGATAGGATAACTTTGAGGCACATGTTCCACCCTGTCTTTCTGATTTCCCAGGGCCCACACTGGTCACTTGATTAACAGCACATCCTGTATTGGCTTCCCTTACCTTCCATATCTCATAGGGTAGTCACGGTAACGCCCTGGAAGAACTCCAAGTACCTAGAGAGGAACAATGAAGGCCTCTGCTGCTGTGCTTTGGAATCCATGGCAGCGTTTGCGTGCAATCACACCTTCCTACTCCTAGCCAATAACGGGAGTATGGCAGGGATACTAGCGCAGGCCTCGCCCTGGCAGGTGTGGGACCTTGCTGGTAGCCAGCTCTGGTTCAAGGACTTCCTGAAGAACTTTTTCATACCCTAGAAGTCACCCAAGCATATTTCCTTCCACTGGGAGCAGACTTAAAGTTTTAATCTGCTAACATCCCAGGCACTCTGTTTTTTTTCCCCACACAGGTATTTTCCCTAATCAAGTCCTTTCATGTTTATTCCCAACATGGTGTCTGTTTCTTGAAGAACAAGGACTAATACATTTTAATTCCCACTCCCCGCATAGTGTTCTTGGCCTCACCTTCCCACTGAACTTCTTGAATGTGATAATCCTTGATTTAGAGGTTATTTCTAGGAAGAACCCTGAACCAAGGCATATTATGAGACATACGCTAACAACCATAACTTTAGTTTAACTTTTCATTGCATAAAATTATATAATAATTAGAACTAGAAGGGGCCTCAGATGAGATATAGCTCAGCATACTCATGTTTCATATAAAGAATGAAGAGAAATTAGTTTATCTCTCAGTTGAGATCCAGGCAGCAGTAGGAGATAACTTCGGATAATTATTGTGAGCATAAGTATTGTAGATTGATGACCTACCTATCAAAGCAATCATTCCAAACAATTAATACAAAATTGTTTGAATATGCACCTCTCTTACAGCAGGATTTTTACACCAGTAGGTTGTAAATCCCAGGAGTACAAGAGCTATGAATTTGTAGATTCCTTGCAATAGGTTACAAGAGTCTAGATTCTGGATATGTAAAGTAGTTAATTCACCTATACACAACTATTTTCAAAATGTACTTAGAGGCTACTATGAATAACATTGTTAAGGGAATTAGGATTTTATTAATAAAAATATCTATTTTAATCCAGTATCTAATTTTATCAGCCAGTATGTACCACTATTTCAGCTACTCTCTGGTAAAGTCATATGGATTGTTATGACATTTGCAGAGTGGATTTCATACTAGGAAATTTTGGAAAATAAAGATCTGTTCCATTTACCTACTCTAAATAAAACATGCAATTAGGATTAGGTGAATCCTTCCCTAATGTTTTTTTCTTTGACTAATAAAATCACAAATCTTAATTAAGTTGTATTTGTCTGATTATATGGCACTCCTGAAGATATACATGTGCTTTTTGAATTGATTGTGTAAGTTAATTCGATGTACCAAACGTTATTTCTAAAACTCTATAACATTCATATGACAAAGTCCATTCATTGTCTAGGTCTTACTATATTAATTAAATGTTAAAATTATGCTGATTGAATTCAGCAAATTGACATCAATATTCCACTTGTTTTTTCCTTACTGGTTTGTTTTCATCCACCATCGCTGTATGTCCCTTATATATACTAACCATATATTCCTTCTGACTGCCCCACACACTTTTCTTTCCCTGATTCTGCTTCAGGCACGCTGGCTGCTTCCCACATTTGGAGCAACCTCCTTCATCCATTCTGGCAAACACTCTTTTCTTTGAAAACTCAAATGTATTCAAACACCTCTTTCTTTGAAACTCAGATGCGTTCTCAGTTCCTCAGTGAGACCTGCACACTTTAGCACAGACAGCTCTACTGACTCGAATGCACTAATTCCTCAGGAATTTGTGTCAAAGTATGATATTGATGGTCAATATACACACCATCACACCTATACAAAATATAGGTCAAATGTGACTCTTCAAATTTAGAGCCTGTTTCTCTGAAGGCAATTTTCCACTCCACACATTGAAGCACTAAAATATTTCAATGCAGAAACATAAAAGTTGCTCTCTCTCTCTCTCTCTCTCTCTATATATATATATATATATAATTTATTATAGTTTGATATATAAATATATAAAGAAAAATAAATGAGTTATTACAGTTTGAAAAAAGTCACTGAGGCTCTTTTTATTGACATGGGTGGAACTGGCTAGACTCAGTCTCCTTAATGATTCTTCAGTTACATTCTACAGCTTCATTAGTAGAACCTTATGAATTTAGCAAAAATCTGGGCTGGTTTACTTTCTGTTTTTTGAAACAGGGTCTCACTCTGTCACCCAGATTGGAGTGCAGTGGTGTGATCCCAGCTCAATGCAACCTCCATTTCCCAGGCTCAAGTGATCCTCCCACCTCAGCCTCCTGAGTAGCTGAGACCACAGGCAGGCACCACCACACCTGGTTACTTTTTTTTGAATTTTTATTAGAGATGGGTTTTTGCCATGTTGGCCAGGCTGGTCTTAAACTCCTAAGCTCAGGTGATCCACCCACCTCAGCCTCCCAAAGTGCTGGGATTATAGGCATGAGCCACCATGCCTGGCCTGGGCAAGATTACTTTTGTATTCTCTATGAGGATGAGTTTGACTAAGCAAATCAATAATGTAAACAAAACTGAACTACTTAAGAGAAAAAATTATTTTCACACATTTAACATATCAGTTATCTTTCTTGTCATGTTAAACATACATGACATACAATATACCATTTTAAAGTGTAGAATTCAGTAGTGTTAAGTGCACTCACAATGTTGGGTAAACATCACTGCTATCTTGTTCCCGAGATTTTTAATGATACCAAATGGAAACCTCGTCTTTCTAATTGGAAATATCCTCATTTGAAGTCTACAAGAATGCTCATTACAAGCAATTGTAATGCTGATGAGAAGTTGGAAGTTGGAAACAACCTAAATATTCTTTACCGGGAGAGCATTGGGACAAATACCTAATGCTTGTAGGGCTTAAAACCTAGATGACAGGTTGATGGGTGCAGCAAACCACCATGGCACATGTATACCTATGTTAACAAACCTGCACATTCTGCACATGTATCCCAGAACTTTTTAAAAAAAAAGAAAAGAAAAAATTATCTATAGAGGGGGGAAAAGAGTGGAAATGTGATATGGGCATAAAAAAATTAACAGAGAAACAACAACAAAAAAGCCTTATTGGCTATCACTATTTCTACTTAACATGATGCTAGATGTCCTAGCCAGGACACTAAAGCAAGCAAAATAATTAAAAGACAAAAAGATATAAAGGAAGTAACACTGTTGTTATTTGCAGAAGATATGACATGAAGAAAACACTACGGGGTTTACAAATAAAGGACCAGATCTAATAACTGATGATGAACTGAGCATCATCAATACACAAAAATCAATTTTTGTCTATACGCTAGCAATGAAAAGTTGAAAATAAAAAATTTAAAACTACCACATACAAAAGCATCAAAATAGCATAAAACTATTGGTAATAAATTTAGTAAAAGTTGTGCAAATCTGCTACATGAAAAATAGCAAAATATTACTGAGAGAAATTAAAGAAAGCTAATTAAATGGAGAGATATAGTTTATGAATCAGAAAACTCAATACTGTATGATATTCATTATTTGCCATATAAATTGTCATATAAATTGATACCTGAACATAAAATTTATCTGGAAATGCAAAGAACATATAAGATACAAAATGATTTTGAAAAAGTATAAAGTTTAAGGACTTATACTATCTGATTCCAAGATTTACTATAAAGCCATAGGAATAAAGGCCCTGTGGTATTGGTGTAGGAAGAGAAAAAGAGATTGATGGGGTAAATTTGACTCACACATATATCATCAACTCATTTTCAAGAGATTTGTCATCATCAATTGATTTTCAACAGAGACACGAGAGCTAGTCCATGAGGAAAGGAAAGCATATAACAAATTTGCTGGGACAACTTGATATCCACGTGAAGAAAACACTAAGCCTTCATTCATAAAATAGATCATATACAAAATTTCATTAGAAATAGATCATGGACTTAAACAAAACCATAAAATTTCTAGAAGAATAACTTTGCAAACATGAGACCGGCAAAAAATTTAAAACAGAAGACAGTGGTATTAACTATAAAAGAAAAAATGCAAAATTGAACTTCATCAAACTTAAAATAGTCTGCTCTTCAAGAAGACAGTATTGAAAAAATGGAAAGGCTAGGTACAGATTGCAACCAGATATTCCCAATACATATGTCTGCCCAAGATTTATAAAGAAGTCTTATAACTAAATAATCAAAAGACAAGCTATCTATAGAAAATGGTCAAAGGACTCAGCAGACACTTTACAAATGAAAATATATGAATGGCCAATGAGCACATAAGACAATGATCAAAATTATTAGCCATCAGAACAATGAGAATTAAAACTGTATTAAGATACCACTTCGTGGCCAGGCGCGGTGGCTCACACCTGTAATCCCAGGACTTTGGTAGGCCGAAGCGGGTGGATCACAAGGTCAGGAGTTCAAAACCAGCCTGACCAACATGGTGAAACCCAGTCTCTATTAAAAATACAAAAATTAGCCTGGCGTGGTGGCAAGCACCTGTAATCCCAGCTACTCAGGAGGCTGAGGCAGGAGAATCGCTTGACCCTGGGAGGTGGAGGCTGCAGTGAGACAAGATCGCACCACTGCACTCCAGCCTGGGCGACAGAGTGAGACTTTGTCTCAAAAAAAAAAAAAAATGTGGGGGTGGGGGAAGAATATATTCATAAATGGAAGTACTACTCATTGACTGAAAAACAGAGGACAACAGAGGACACCACTGTATTGTTCCATTTGCACGAACTGTACAATCTGCAGTAGAAAAAGCAGGTCAGTCACTGCTGAGCATGGGGCAGGCCAGACTGTCTGCAAAGGGGCACAGGGAGCTTTTCGGAGTTGGGAAAATCTACATCTTGATCAAGGTAGGCTACTCAAGCCTATACATGTATAAAATTGCATCAAAACCTATAACTAAAATATGCGCATTCTATTGTATGTAAATTACACTACAATAAAATGAATTAGAAATGAGGTAGAACTCCAGTTACTGGCATCGAATGATACCTATAATAATTTGAATGGTTAAGTCCAAGACACAGAAAAAGATGTGTAGTACGATCTGATGTATTTAGAAAAGGAGTATGTATGTGTGTTGTGGATGCACATTTGTGAAAATTCCAAGATACTTTTTGCCAGTCTTTTCCTAAGCCTAAAGAGTGATTTCCTTTTGTGGAGGGAAGGAGTATCAGCAGTGGTGGTGGTAGGGAGGGGATTTGGAATTTGAGAAATGCGTGAAGAGGAAATACCTTTTTGTTTTGTTTTCATTCCAAATACTGCTTATTGCCTCCCTCTGCCTTTAGTTTTTTCAGCAAGAATTTATTTGATTTTTTAAAAAATAATAAAAGAAAAGCTGTAAATATGTTCTTATCCTCTTTCTGGGTCCTGTGCAACTTGACAGTGACACTTGCATTACAAATTATTTTTAAAATTCTTAATAATAGTTAACACTTACTGTATGAGAGTTATTTCATATACTGTGTGCTCTGTACCATGCTAAGCCCTTTGTGTGTGTTATCTTGGTTACTTCTCACAATAGCTTTATGATCAAGTTTCGTGATTAGTAAACGTGGTATCAGAATTCAAACTCATATGGCCTATTCTAAAGCCTGTTGTGAATTGATTGCACTATACTTTCTAAGTTTACAGGGTTTGTTAGTAGCAAAGCCAGATTTCAAATCTCAAACTTCTGATTTGGTTCAGAATTCTTTTTCATTTCTTGGTGGTAATCTCCAAGGTAAAAAAATATTTTAAAAGGCATTTAAAATGATTTTATCAAATTTTAGGATAACGGTAGTACACAGCCACAAAAACTAAGAGTAATCTAGTGTATAGTTTTCTAAATATTATTTTGGGTGGAACTTATGGTTAATTCTCATTTGTTATGGAGCAAAGATTGAAGTTACTTTTAAATATCATACACATACTTTTATAATCAGGTGTAAAACTTTGTGTATATACCATTGTCCCTTGGTATCCATGGGGAATTAGTTCCAGGACCCTCCTGCAGATACCGAAATCCACAAATGCTCAAGTTCCTTCTATAAAGTGGTGTAGTATTCATGCATAACCTACACAATCCTCCCATATACTTTAAATCATCATAGATTACCTATAATATATAATACAATGTAAATGCTATGGAAATAGTTGTTACACTGGATTGTTTAGGGAAATACAAAAAAAGTCTGTACACATTCAGTACAGATACAACCATACTTGTTTTTTAAAATATTGTTTGATCTGTGGTTGTTTGAATCCACGAATTCAGAACCCATGGATACACAGGCCAGACTATACTTACTATTGCACTGGGACTTTCAAAGACTGTTATCTGATAAAATGTTTATTTAGAGACAGGCATATCATACATTGACACCAGAACCTGGTGTCTACCTCTGAGTGTAGGACAAATGTTTAGTACTGAGTGTTAGTTTAGTACTCTCATTGTATTCTTGTAGGTGATGTAGTCATTCAGTATTCAATATAGTCTTAGAATATTGAATATTCAATATAGTCTTAGAATATTGAATATTCAATATAGTCTTAGAATATTGAATATTCAATATTCAATATAGTCTTAGAAATATTAGAATGTAATACCCCATTCATTGATAGATCTCCCTAGGTTTGTGGAACTGTAAAATAACTTAGTTGTCATTCAGTCTGTGTGTGTATCCTTTGTTGAACATTTGATTCATTCAATTTTTTTAATTTAAGAATAATTGATTAGTTCCTGTTAGTCAATGTTCTTGCAAAAATACTCAACTTCTTCAAAGGAGGAGAAATAATGAAAATAAAAGGATATGGAAGGTGCATCACTCTGGAGCTAATGCCATTTGGGAGCCTTTTCCACAACTCAGCCTGAATATATGGATGGAAGGAGCAGTTGCCCAAACCTACAGAGAGCCAGAGAGAGAGGGCTGCCTGAGAGGAGTTATGCAGTGCCTCTCCTGCCTCTGCTCTTCCCAGCCTCTGCTCTTCCCAGCCTCTGATCTCCCACCAGGACCTTATGGTGGTGGAACCCATGCAGAAAGCGAAGGGAAGAGAACCTGCTGATGCAGTACATACAGGTCTGGCTCCAGATACCCAAACCAGGGTAGAGAAGACTGCAGGCTGGATCAGGAGAGACATTTGGAAAACATCCTGCACAGTCTCCAAGATTTAAGAGGAGAATATTGATGGAGCTATATGAAGGACAGATACACAGATAGTACATGACTTCCCTTGAGAAATGGCAAGATGTGGTTATATTAAAACTGGATTTCTTCATGTAAGCATCAGTAATAACTGAGTAGCAATTGCCCTCTTTCAACAATGAGTGAAGTCTCCACTCACTCTGCGTCTTACCCTTCCCACTTCATTCAGATTTCCTCTGTACGCATTTGGGTTCCAGCTCATTCTCTTACTTATAAAAGGAATTCATTATCAACCAGAGGTTGCATAGAAGATAATTTGCCCAAGCTATCTAGTTACTGGTGGATACAGGTTGAGAACCTAGGAGCATTAGCCATGATAGGTTATCTTACGCTATGGTTGCAAATCATTGCTGAAATATCTGTGGTTTATTATGACAAAGATTTGTATTTTAATTTACTCAAAATCTCCTGTGGGTCACATGGTGACTCAGAGACATGGCCTGTCTCCACTTTGCTGCTCTGTCATCTCAATGTGTGGCTTCCAGGTTAGCACAGCTGGAGAACAGAAGGCTGGAGGGCCACTCAGGGGATTTTGCTCCACCGTGGAGGGGATTTTCATCTCTAGTCAGAGTCCCCAGGCTGGAATTACTCACATGGCTCTATCCAACTGCAGGAAAGTTGGGAATTGTAATTTCTGTGTGCCCAAGAAGGAAACAAGCAGCTATTGGTGAGTGTGAGCAATTGCTCCCACAATAAGAATCTTTCATTTTGGTCCGGGCTTTTTTCAGCTTAATAATGCCACTTTTTGTTCTACCTTAGCCGGTGTGTTGACTGTCATATTTGCAATGCAGACCTTCAGAGCTATTCACACAGGAGATAGCAAGAGGAATGCCTGCTGGGGGGCTCAGTGAAGACCCTGCAGAGGAAAAGTGACTTGGATTTTGTTTTGAGGCTTGTGTAGGATTTAAAAATGTAAGAAGAATGTTTTAAGTTATTTCAAACTGTCCACATTGACTCAGTAAAGGTAAGCGGGAAGAATTCTCACAGACTGTCTTGGTAAACCAGGCAAGTCAGTCTTACTCCTAGTAAAACAGTTATGCAGAGAAAAATCAGGTTGGATCTTTGAATGCTTGACTGTGGATCTTGGACTTCACCTCACAGTTAATAGGCAGGAATTGGTTCAATAGCCAGTAATTCTTAGCAGGAGGAAAGAGTGTGTCATTTGGATTCTATAGAACCCATTTCACTCTCCATTTGTACTTGCAGATCCAGCTTCAACACAATTTTCTTATGTTCTGAAAGTTCAAGCACAAGCACTTGGGGGTAGTTGGCTGTGTGTTTGTGCCTTGGGTTTTCTAAGACTAACCACCCAGTGAATTCTGTAAAACCCTGTTAAATGATGTTCCTAGCCATGGAGGACCAGGGAAAGCCAAAGGCAGAACCGTCTCTGTGAGTAATGATATAGCTGCAGACCCTGATGGGGCGCAGTGCATTATTAATAGAACAGGGCATAAGGATGCATGCTGTCAGAGCTACCCCGTCTATTTTTGTGTGACACGGGGGACTTGTAGCCACTGCATTGATTTGCAATGGTGAACTGTCATTTCCAATAACAACTGTCCATGACAATATTTAAAATAATATTGAAAATTCACTGAATATAATATTTTTAAAGGATGTCATCTTTTAAAAAATATATGTGGATTTTAAAGACAAGTAGATGAGTAGAACACCAACGATTATTGTTAAATTATCCTAAATTTACCTGGGATTGCAATAAAATTAATGTTCCCTAGAAATTGTGAATGGTTGAATTAAAGCATAATAATTGAATGCAAATACCACAAAATTTTTGCTTTTCCACTTTGGCTTTTTGTTTTGTTTTGTATTTTTTGAGACTGAGTTTTACTCTTGCTGCCCAGGCTGGAGTACAATGGCGTGATCTCGGCTCATCGCAACCTCCGCCTCCTCTGTTCAAGCAATTCTCCCGCCTCAGCTTCCTGAGTAGCTGGGGTTACAGGTATGCACCACCACACCCGGCTAATTTTTTTCGTATTTTTAGTAAAGATGGGTTTCTCCATGTTGGTCAGGCTGGTCTCGAACTCCCGACCTCAGATGATCCGCCCGCCTCAGCCTCCCAAAGTGCTGGGATTACAGGCGTGAGCCACTGCGCCCTGCAACTTTGGCATTGTTAATAACCTATAGGGTTGTCATTAAGTTTTAAAACAGCAAGTAATTTTGTTTATTGCCACCCTGGTTAATCTCCTTCCACTCCTGAGAAAAACAAACAAATGGTGACCTCAATACCCATTATTTTCTGGCACAGCTTTCCCTCTCTCTCTCCAGGTGAAGTCTGTGCAAGTGTGAGTTAAGAGATTTGATGAAATTATTCACCCAGGTGTAAGTGTCGGTATGTTATTAATACTTTCTCCAAGAACATGCACATCTTCACCTGGGCTTGCTGCTGCCCCACGTAGTAAGGATGCAACAGTTTGTGGTTCTCTAGAGAGCTTTGCCACCAGTTTTGCAGGGAGAGGGCTTTTAGTGTCTTAGCCATAGTGACATGTAAACAATTGATATGAGAGTTTTTCTTGAGAATGAATTTTTATACAAAGAAAAGGGAGAGGAAGAGAACATTGCTGGCCTTGGAAATCTGAAAAACAGACACAAAACAGGAAAGGAAAGAAAGCAGATTATTTAGTTTACCGTCTTCATAATTTAAGGTTAATGTAGTTTTGATATGCCCCCACCAAATCTCGTGTTGAACTGTAATCTCCACTCTTGGAGGCGGGGCCTGGTGGGGGTGTTTATATCATGGGAGTGCATTCCTCATGGATGGCGTGGGCCATCTCTTGGGTGATGAGTGAGCTCTGAGTTCACAAGAGATCTGGTCATGTAGAAGTGTGTGGCAACTGCCTCCCACTCTTTTGTTCTTGCTTTTGCCATGTGAAGTGCCTGCTCCCACTTCACCTTCCTCTGTGAGTCAAAGCTCCCTGAGGCCTCCCCAGAAGCTGGGCACCATGCTTGTACAGCCTTCAGGCTTGTGAGCCAATTGAACCTCTTTTCTTTAAAAATTACCCCATCTCAGGGTCTGGGGCAAAGGTACTCCAACAATAGACGATGCTGTTGGCAATACCTGCTCGATTCCAGCCAAACCACAGTGGAACCTGCCCCTGCCAGGGTTTCAGCAGGGCCAAGCTGGAAGCTGATTTTCCACCCTAGCTCCTGTCCCAGGGAAGCAGGCCATGGGCTCCAGTTTCTCTGCGGTGTCAGCAGGATGCAGAGTAAGCCCACTTCCACCAGGCATCGATGATACACAATGAGGCAATGCAAGGTAGAGTGGTCCGCGTTCTGCTCTCCCTTCCCTCCCGTACTGGCCCTGGGCCCAAAGGAGACTGAACAGATACACAGCCCTGGTGCTACATCTCAACAGAGAAGCTGGCTATTAAAAAAAAAAAAAAAAAAAAGAGTAGGCCGGGTGCGGTGGCTCACGCCTGTACTCCCAACACTTTGGGAGGCCGAGGTGGGCAGATCACGAGATCAGGAGATCGAGAACATCCTGGCCAACATGGTGAAACCCCATCTCTACTAAAAATACAAAAATGAGCCGGGCGTGATGGTGCACGCTTGCAATCCCAGCTACTCAGGAGGCTGTGGCAGGAGAATCGATTGAACCCAGGAGGCGGAGGTTGCAGTGAGCTGAGATCGCACCACTGCACTCCAGCCTGGAGATAGAGCTAGACTCCGTCTCAAAAAAAAAAAAAAAAAGTAAATAGGATTCACAATCTTATCAAAATGTCCAGAATACAATAAAAAACCATTTATCATAGCAAGAACCAGAAAAATCACAAATGAATGAAGAGTCAATTGAGACTCCAACATAAAGATGACTCAGGTGCTGGGATTACCTGCAAAGAATTTTAGAATAATTGTCATAAAAATGCTTCAATAAGCAATTATGGGTTCTCTTGAAACAAATGAAAAAAATAGAAAATTTCAGCAAAAGTAGAGCCTAGAATTAAAAATGAAAATCACGAGAATACCTCAAATAAAAGGCTATGCATGGGCTCAATATGTCATCTCAATGAAGTGGAGGTGACAGAGGATGGAATCCGTGACCTTGAGGATAGCTCAGTGGAATTTGTTCCATCTGAAAAACAGAGAAAACAATTATAGGGCAGCAGAGTCTCATGGGTCAATAACAAAAGAGCTCACATTTGTATACTTGGAGTCCAAGATAAAACAGAAAAATGTTTAAAGCAGCCAGGGAGAAATGAAATGTTGCTTACAGGAGAACACCAATTCAAATGGTAGCAGATTTCTCATCTCAAACCATGGAGACCAGAAATGAATGAAGTGCTTTTCCAAGTGCTGAAAGAAAATAATAGTCACCTGCCAATTCTATACCCACAGAAATTATCCTTCCAGAATGAAAGGGAAATAAAGAGGTTTTCTAGACAAAAGAAAACAAGAGAAATTAGTTGCATAATAAACCTACCCTTACAGAAGGGCTGACAGAAGCATTTTTTTATTTTTGTTTTTTATTTATTTTATTATTATTATTTTTGAGATGGAGTCTCATTCTGTTTCCCAGGCTGGAGTGCAGTGGCATGATCTGGGCTCGCTGCAACCTGTGGCTCCTGGGTTCAAGCCATTCTCCTGTCTCAGCCTCCTAAGTAGCTGGGATTACAGGCGCCAGACACCACACCCAGCTAATTTTCTGTGTTTTTAGTAGAGATGGGGTTTCGCCATGTTGGCCAGGCTCCTCTCGAACTCCTGACCTCAGGTGATTCGCCCGCCTCGGCCTCCCACTGTGCTGGGATTACAGGTGTGAGCCACTGTGCCTGGCCATACCTCATGAGTTTTTAAAAGCGATATTTGATGTTTGAAGCAAAAGTTACTATGCCATCTGATGGGATGCTCAATGCATGTAGAAGAAATACCTGAGACATGTATATTTAAAAGATGGGAAGTGGAAAGACACCTAAAGGAAGGGCGATCCTCCACTTTACTCCACGTGATAAGGCCTCACTTCCGGGGACTGTGATGGGTTAGGGTACATGGTGGATCCATTGACACTGAACTCGCAGTGCTCTGCATGTCGCATGTGCAATGGGGCCAGGGAGCTGCAGGGCTGCCCTGGAGCGGATGAGGGGTGGCTGGAGCTTCGCAGAGGAAATGGGGTAGATTATGTGGGGCTGTTGGTTACATTGAGGCCACTGTAAAGTGATTGGATGTTTTTCTAAATGTAGGTATTTAGTTATTAGAATAAATGAGCAAGAAGTGACAGAATCTGACTTGATTTTTTTTTTTTTTTTTTTTTTTTTTTTTTTGAGACGGAGTCTCGCTCTGTCGCCCAGGCTGGAGTGCAGTGGCGCGATCTCGGCTCACTGCAAGCTCTGCCTCCCGGGTTCACGCCATTCTCCTGCCTCAGCCTCCCGAGTAGCTGGGACCACAGGCGCCCGCCACCACGCCCGGCTAATTTTTTGTATTTTTGCTAGAGACGGGGTTTCACCGTGTTAGCCAGGATGGTCTTGATCTCCTGACCTCGTGATCAGCCCGCCTCGGCCTCCCAAAGTGCTGGGATTACAGGCTTGAGCCACCTCGCCCAGCCGACTTGAATTTTTAAAATATCACCTTAGCTACAGTGTTGAGATTTCAGTGTGAGGGTTAAGGGCAGGTGCAGTACGACGGATTAGGAGGCTATTTCAGGAATCCAGGCAAGGCCATTGCGTGTGGAGGGGAGAAGCCAGTGGGTTCTGGGGGATGGTAGTTTCAATACAGAGCCAAAGGAAATCTTGGTGGTGGAAAAGAGGGATCTTTAGGATGGCTCCCGGAAGTTTGGCTTCAGTGGCCACTAATTGAGGTGAAGAAGACTGCGGGAGAGCAGGTGGGGTGGAAGATCAGAAGTCTGGCTAGGGTTGAGATGCCGATTAAGCATCCAAGCAGCTGGATATGTAAACCTAGATTTTGGAAGAGAGCTACAGACTTGGGATAAAAAATTGGATGTAGTTACTATGTGGAGAGTGCTTAAAAGGATGAGATTGGATGCGGTCACCTAGGGAGCAGGTGTCAAGTTTACTCATGGAACCATGAAAATGTAAATCTGGATGGAATATCTATAACATCAGCAAACAAGAATGAGGGGCCTCTCTATTTTTTGCTGGTGTACCCCAATTCTCCCTATAGCACCTGGCATATAGTAGTCACTTGATAATATTTACTGAATGAACAGTGACACGTGTGACCTGTCCACCATGACCAGATCAGCATCAGATCTGGAGCAACAGTGGAAATCTTCTCATTTCTAGTTCAATGGTCGTTTATTGTCCCTAACTCTCCTGCCAGATTTAATTCTCAATATCTTACTCATGTTCAACACTAAATTCTGATTACTTTATTGGTTGTTATTTTTCATAAGTTATTCTTAAACTTATGATGTCTTTAAAACTAAAATTAACTGCTTTTTTTTCCTATTTTAGGAAAAAATGAAGACAGGCTAATTTTGTGATAAATCAAATTTGAAAGAGAGTAAGATTTTTTAATTTAATAAAAATGCTTTTTACCCATTTTATAGAATTATAACAGTATTCAACCCTTTTAAAACATGGTTACTATAGATTTTCTCTACATCACAAGGAATTCAATACTATATTAGATATTAAAAGCCTAAAAACCTAAAGATTGATGATGGTTTGTGTCAGACAAGTTTTAAAATAATAAGGAAAATAGGTATAGGGAATGTATTGATAATAGAATGTACATTTTCTTAAGTATAGGCTAAATTAGATTTAGGATTGTATTAATTCCAAATGAATCATTTTATTAGCACTAGCTTAGAGGAATAATTTCTTCCATACACAGAAAATTACTGTGTATACTCAATATTACTAAGATATAAAAGCCATTAGGTTTTTGCTTATTATCCTTTTTCTGACTTTTCTCCATATAAGTGAGAAGCAATTATCGCTTGAATCAACAATATATATTAATTTTTTAAAATAGAAATAAATATAAAGCAAGGTTATAATTTTTATGACCATAGGCTCTAAGAAACCTAACCCTGTGTTTTCCATAGAAACCATAGTCCAGTGTTTGCTCTGTTCCCAGCAACTTCATAGAACACAGCTACCATGAGTAATGAGAATTGACACCACCTCTTTTTAAGCGCTTTAACTTCGACATTTCAATTTGGTTGAAAATTTTAATCCCTCCGTGTGTGTTTGTGTATGTGTCTGTGTGTGTGTGCGTGTGCATGTGTGTGTGTGTGTGTTTGCGATGAAAGAAAATACACACACGAATTCTCCAAAATTCCTATCAGTGACTTAATCAACATGTATTTCTGAAGTTCTTACTTTCTTCAGCATTTTCTTAAGTTCTTTGGAGAACATGGACATATAAAGTATTCATTGCCCTCGCTCCAAAATGTGCAATTTAATGCAGCATACATTGCAAACAAATTTATAAGGAATATCATATTGTAACTAATAAGGGCTACAGGAGCTTACTGGCCTGTCCGTACTCTAAAGACTAAAGTGGTCTAATGAAGGGGCTGCTTGGAGGATGCAGAGGCTGAAAATGGCAAGCATTAGGGCAGGTCAGAGAAAGGGCTGTTTATTTCAGGAAGAATACATGATACTAAGCATACCATAGACATTACGGAAAGTAAATAAAGAGTAGATTTACACTATATGAAATATTTTAGAGTAATATGATGAAATTTACCCCTAATGGGAAAAGACTGCTAAGTTATTGCTGTGTCATAACTATTTTATTGTGATTTAAAAGCTTTGCATAAAACAATATCTGGTATCTTCAGAACTAATATTGGATTTGAAGTACCTTGCTATTAAAACTTCTCTGACCATCTAATTGTATTAAAAATAACATGCTGGGAATAGGATGTGTCCTCGAATTAAATTGCTTTTCAATGGCATTAAGGTAAAATAATGCCTGTGTGTTTATTGTTTTTATTAATATGACATATTGTGTGATATCTGGGCCCAACAGCTGTCTCAATTGTGGGTGATATTTATATAAGAGCAAACTTTAAACAGATGACAACTCGGCAGATTCAGCAGCGGTAAGCCCTTCTTGACTCTTTTCTGCAGGTTGTGGATGAGAGAGCTGTCCCATGGCTGGGCTGTTTTTACGTATACTGGCTGCTTACAGGATATCACGCTGCTGAATGACGTGTACTTGAAGACCAGCAGAGGGTGGTGGATGTGCCTCTGCCCACGCTGTGTAAAGATGGCGGCAGAGCGGACCCAACAGCACCCTTGGAGTCTACACAGGAAGATAAAGTCATGCATGGGTAATGTCCTCTGGCTGGTTCTGAAATATATAAAGGCTGCCATTTTTCAGGGACAGAGCAAATTATCCTACACCTCTTTATCCTCTAGAATTTAATTTCCAGTTGCCTAAGTCTGCATAGCTTTCCAGTCTCAGGTGCAAATGGCCCTCAAGTCTCCTGATGTCCACTGAAGCTGTTTGGGGTTTTTGTTTTTACCCGATTTTAATATTTTTTTCTGTGATCCATGCAGAGCTCTAGCATCCTCACTTCTTTAACTAAATTAATACCTTTAATCTGATTGTAGTAAATTCTTGCTGTAACCTGAGATCCCTTTTCTCTCCCTGGTGACATTGCATCACGCGTCTTTGGTTTTTTGTGGATTGATTTTATTGTTTAGCTCTCAGAGGATGTTCTTATTTCCAAGTAGCTGGAAATTACCAAATACCAATCATAATATCCAGAAGTACAAATTAATAACGGGATAGTAATAAATAGTACAATTTGTACTTATAGTTTATGCCGTTTTTCTAAATTACATGTTGATCCTTTTTAGTGGCAAGCGGCCCATCGGTATTGGCTATTGATAATAATTGAAACAATATGCCATGCGATCCCCTCTAACTGTGCAGATGTAATGAAGCATACATCTGCCAGATGGAAGAAGTTACAGTATAATGTACCCTGACTTGCTGTTGCAGGGTTGCTAAGTACAGTTTTTTTTCATTTTTTTTTTCCCAGCATTTTCGCTGGTATCATTGGGTATAGACTCAGTCAGTAGGGTACCTAGCAGTCTGAGCTTGAATACTTGAGAATTAATTTCAACACACCTTTGACTGTTCCCTAATGTTCTCCACTTAAATGTGTCATAGCGAAGCCAAGGGTAACTAGTGTTTTGTGAAGAAGAACTGTCCTTTCGTGTACCCACCTGCAAACTTGAGTATACATGTTGGGTGTTGAGTGCTGGAGAGAGAGAAATGATTTACCCCTCTTTAGAGATACCCCATATTGATGAGAGTGATGTGCTTGGGCATGGCTTGGAGAACCAGTGGGGTGTTTGGAATGATGGCTTTTGTCCATTTCAACATTGGAACCCTGATCCTATATTATAATAAGAAAGGTAGATACATGGCAGAATCAAGTATAAATTGCTTATCATAACGTTTGTAGTTCTTTGAGATATAAAAAAGCCTCCCAATTGTCCTATAGAACTGATGTTTATTGTTTCTTTTAAATAAACATAAAAATTGACCTTCCCAGTCTTAAAACTTAAACATGTTACATTTGTATTATCTGAGTTCCTTTCTCAGAAAATAAAGGATCAGGCCTCCCAGACAGTATCAAAGAGCGAAACTTACCAGATCATGGCATCTGGACCATGAGAAACTAGACTCATCACCTGTGGTGATTACCTAAACCTGCTTCCTGTTGACCAGTTCTTCTTCTTTACCCCTCCCTTATTCCTGCTTTCCCACACTTGGTTACATTTCTTCCTCACTACATACACCCATCATTTCAGTTGCTCAGGCAGGTGGATTTAAGACTGATCTGCCATCTGCTCTCCTACAGCACCCAATTAAAGCTGTCTTCCGTGGCAGTACTTGTTATATCAATGACTGGCTTTCGGTGCAGCAAGCAACAGCACCTAGACTGAACCCCTGACATTCAGGTAACAAAATCAATTTCCAGAGGACATAGGCTTACTCTGCTACATTTCCTGTCTTCCTCGAATATGGCATCAAGTTTGAAAGTGGCCCTACAACTTTGATGAGTTGAGTTTTATGACATTTAAATAAATATGCATTAAACCAAATTGTCCCCAGGATTTTCCACAAAAATCTCATAATTATAGAGCCTGTGGTGTCTGAGTTCACTTCATTATTTTCCAGGAAAATTTTGAACTAGAAAAAAGAAATTAAAATGCTCCAAAAGTCACAGCATAAGAACATGTCCTAATTCTCTGTAGATTGCGTGTTTAATGGAAGAAAATGCTCCTTGCTGGGGTGAAGATGCTTCCTAGGGCAATCAGAAATCTGCCAAAAGTTTTGTAGGGGATTTTTTTTTTTTTTTGCTTTTGAGTTTTTCTCTTATGGAGCAGGATAAATGGATCAGCCTGTTAACAGACTAGGCAGATGCCCAGCATATCTGAACTACATCATTTCTTTAGACTCAGTAGGGTTTTGACTTGAACGCTAGTAGTCTCCCATATGTCTTCCTGAAATCTAGACCTTAGGTGCCCTCTGTGGGGACTGCTGTGTATACCTGGACTCAATACACTTACCTAGTCAGATGAATATAAACTGTCAGTCTTGGATCACCTACCCACTCCCTTCCAGAGTACAGAGTCAAGCTCACTGCAAGGGAGCAGTTTGCCCAGGGAGCCCAGTGCCCCTTGAAAAATGAACAGTGAAGAGATGGCTCTACATATGCAGACTCTTGCTAGTAACTAGCAGGAGAAACCATTTGCAGTGGCATGTCTTTGGAATGATCGTTTGCCAACAGCAAGAGAGAAGTATTTTCACCTTATAGTATAATTTACCCCAAGACACAGCTCCGTCCTTTCTTACCAAGGGTGCATATGTGTACATGAGTGTGTATATCTGAAGTTTACTCATTGATTAGGAAATATTGCAGGTTCTCTAAAGCTTGAATATCTTGGGCTGTTACAAATTCTATTTGACTGGGAAAATAATATTTTTAGGAACTCACTCAAAAATGGACACATGCTTTGAAATAGAAATTTAAGTGGTTTCTCCAAGTAACAACAATCATGTGTTCCTTTCTTCCCACCTCTAGAGAAATACACAACAGCGAAACAATGTAGAGATACATGAGAGTCAATTGGTTATCACTAAGTTGTATTAAGACCCTACAGAAGCTGCATCCATGTGGCTGCAAAGGACATGGTTTCATTTTTTTATGACAGTGTAGTATTCCATGGAGTGTATGTACCACATTTTTTTTATCCAGTCCTCCATGGATGGACATCTAGGTTGAGTCCATGTCTTTACTATTGTGAATAGTGCTGCAATGAACATATATGTACCTGTGTCTTCCTGGTAGAACAATTTATATTCCTTTGGGTATACACCCAGTAATGGGACTGCTGGGCTGAATGGTAGTTCTGTTTTAAGTTCTTTGAGAAATCTCCAAACTGCTTTCCACAGCAGCTGAACTAACTTACATTCCCATCAACAGTATATAAGCATTCCCTTTCTCTGCAACCTCGCCAATATCTGTTGTTTTTTGACTTTCTTATAATAGCCATTCTAACTGATGTGAGATGTTAACACAGGAACAGAAAACCAAATACCGTGTATTGTCACTTATAAGTGGGTGTGAAACCCTGAGTACGTGTGGACACAAAGATGGGACCAATAGACACAGAAGCCTACTTGAGGAGGTAGGGTGGGAGTAGGATGAAGGTCCAAAAACTACCTGTTGTCTACTATGCTCACTACCTGCGTGACAAAATCATTTGTACACCAAACCCTAGTGACACATAATTTATACATGAACAAAACTGTGCATGTACCCCCAAACCTAAAATGAAAGTTGTAAAAAAAAATAAACACATGTGATGTGGGAGCATAAAGCAAAAACAAAATTAGTTGGCTTAACTGACACGTAGAGAACATTCCACCCCAAAACAGCAAAATACACAGGCTTCTCAAGTAAACATGGTTCATTCAATAAGAATAATTATATCCTAATATATTAAAAACCTTAATAAACTCAAACCATATGGAGTATATTCTTGAATTGCAATGAAATTAACTACAAATAACTAAGGAAAATGATATGATTGTCCCTGAATATTTGGAAATTAAAGTAATTCTAAATACTTATGGAGAAAACTGGGAATACTCAGAAAAATCAAAACATATTTTGTACTAAAAATGAGTATGTAACATATCAAAATTATGAGGTAGCTAAAGCAGGACTTTGAGGAAAAATTATAGCATTAAAAAAAGACCCTGCAGAAGGATAATGAGACTGAGGGCTGTTGAGTCGTTAATGGGTAAGGCTGGAAGCCAGAGGGCCTCTGTGCTAGTTTACAAGGAGGCTCATATCTCCTACAGTGGAAGGGAATGACATAGCTCAGACAATTAGGAAGACCTAATTTTTAGAGCTGCAGAGCTCCAGGGACATATGAATGCATGGCTGAGGTCACTGCTCAGGTGAGAAAAGGACTGAGACCAGAGACCGTGGTACAAGGACATATGTCTGGACAGATATGTCTCCTTTCCTGCCAGGCCAATACCAAGAAGGAAATGCTAATATAGCCCAGTTGGGAACATGCTGGCCCTGATCAGGGAGGAGGGACTCTATACACCCAAAGAGTTGAATGAATTAGCTGTTTTGTATGAGCAGGAACCAGAGGAGCACTCCTGGGATTAGAAATGATGCAACCATGTTCCTAGAGCAGCCCTTAGAAACTTGAAAACAGCAATGCCCAATACTCAGCAGAATGGAAATGCCCAAATTGCCCTGTCAGAAGCCAGAGGATATGCTGAAGGAAGCAGAGATTGCATATTATGTCAGACCAAAAGACCCAAGAGAAGGTCATAGTCCAAGAGAAGGAGCAGAAAGCTCACTCTTCACTAAGACCATAAAGAATGTGCTGGGAGAGGGGCACCATCATCAATAATAAGTTTGGTGGTGGCTCTTCTGGTGGTTGGAGAGGCAGTCAAAGGAGTCCACTCAACAACATCATGAAGATGATGGAGCTCCATGCCAGGAGAAGCCAGGTTCTGGGGCTTCACCGCTAGACGCCAGGAGGTTAGAGGTGCGACCAAGGGGGTGTGGCCCACAGGGACTTGAGGAGATGGTTAATAGAGTGTCTGTAGTGGGTAAATGAATAGGCAGCCAAGAAGAATGTTGCTTAACATCTATAACTAGGAAAAAAAGTTAGAACGGAGTATCAGAAAGTCAAGCACAGTCACACTGTTAACAAGTCCAAGTTCCTGCTCAGTTGCCAGACCTCAGCCAAATTTTCAAATTCAGAATCCACTGGCATTATTCCTAGGAAGAAAGACCCTACCATACCATGGCATATGCTGTGAAAACGCCCTCAATCTTCCTCAAAGGGACCTGTAGCCATTTACTTAGGCTTCTTTATACTGAGGAAAAAAGAATAACAAGCCATTTCAAAGACTACTTAATAAAGGGCCCGAATTGACATTGATTGACCCGAATAAAAATCCAAAGATCCATCATAGCCCAGCTTTGGAGCACAGAGGGCTATGAGAGTTAGGCCAAATTAGAAATTGTGGCTAAAGTCCACCTTTCAGTGGTCTGCTAGGTCCATGAATCTACTCAAAGGTCATTTCTACAATCTCCAAGTACATAATTGGAACGGACGTCCTTAGTAATTGTAGGAACCCCCTTATTGGGTTTCTGCAATGTGAGAAAAAAACTGTCATCATGGAGAAAGGCCAAGTGGAAACCTCTGAAATTCCCTCTCACCCCTCTGCCAAAATAGTAAATAAAAAACAATATTGTATCCTGGGAGAGACAGCAAAGACTTGTGCCACCATTAAAGATCCAACATAAGAATACAGCAAGGGTGATCCCTGTTACGTCTCCATTTAACTCATCAATTTGGCTCCTGCAAAAACTGGACAGATCCTGGAAAAAGACTATTGATGAGCACAGATGAATAAATAATAGCTGTGCTTGCAGACAGATATGGTATAGTTGCTGGAGCAGACAAATATGGCCTCATGTCTATTGCAGGCAACCATTGATTTGATAAATGTGTTTTTCCCATTCTAATTAGCAAAGATGATTAGAAATAATTCATATTTACTTGGAAGGGGCAAAAATATTCACTTACATTTTGCCTCAGGGTCATATTAATTCTCTCACCCTCCTGTATTGTGGTCTCTCCAGCCTTCCCCAGATCCTACTTTAATTTTCCCTAATAAGTCCTTTACTGTCTTCTTTTCAGAATATCTTCACAAACACAATGAGAATCTCAGAAGCTATAGAATGTCTGACACATACAAAAAGAAAGAAAGAAAAGACAGAAAGAAAAGAAAGAAAGAGAAAGAAGAAAGAAAAAGAAAGAAAGAAAGAAAGAAAGAAAGAAAAGAAAGAAAGAAAGGAAAGAAAGAAAGAAAGAGAAAGAAAGAAAGACAGAGAAAGAAAGAAAGAAATCTGAATTCAGGACTAGATCTAAAATAATAAAAATCAAAAATGAATATCTGACCCTATGAACTTAATTTTTGCCTATCAAAGTATTTTTCTGTTAGCTTGTTTTCTTTAAAATAAATTGAATAAGTTAAAAGTCAGCATGACCTAGTGAAGACTGTCAACCATAGCTGCATGTTAAAATAACCTAGAGAGCTTTAGAAAGAAAAAACAGCAAGGCCTTTAACCTGCTCCCAGAATTACCGATTTCATGGTCTGGATGAGCTTAGCCATTAGAATTTTGACAAGGAAATGAGTCTCCATTTTCTCCTGTCAGAGAGAAATAATATTTTTTATCCTGGATGGTCATTATAATGATCTAAGCAGCTAGAATACTCTTGCCCATGGCTTGCTTGCTCATTTCTGCCAAAAATTTTATAAAATATTTGCTTCTCAAAGGTGCCCCACCTGTCACCATAGCAAAGGTTGTGAGCTCCCCCACGACCCTCCCGCCTTGTCCCTGCTGGATTCCTCACCAGGGCACCTTAAAATACCCCATAGAATTAGTATGTTCACTTTGCTCCTGGTTCGTCTTCCCCTCCTGGCATGTAAGCTCCACAAAATAGGGAATTTTTGACCTTTTGTTCCACGCTGCAATATCTAGGTCAGAAGCTGGCAAACTACAGGCCGTGGGCTAAATATGCTCCAGTGCCTGTTTTTGCAAATAAAGTTGTATTGGAATGCAATCACCCATTGTGTATGTATTGTCTATAACTGTTTTTGCAAATAAAGTTGTATTGGAATGCAATCACCCATTGTGTATATATTGCCTATAACTGTTTTTGTACTGCCCTCAGTTGCAACAGAGACTGCCTTGTGGCCTGCAAAATCGAAAATATTTATTATCTGGCCCTGTACAGAAAAAAGTTTGCCAATCTTTGATATAGGAAAGTATCTGGCATGTAGTATATGCTTAATAATATTCTTTCATTTATTCAACAGGGTGTCTAGCACAAAATTAGCATACAAAAATGGTCAATTTTATGTTTTGTTTGATTACAAGTGAGTATGGCCAGATCAGAGAATCAAATCCCTAGAAATTCATAGAGTAAAATGTTCATCCAAATGAATTAAAGTAATTGGAGTAGATAGTTTCTTTACCTTCATATCTTTTTTTGTTTGTTTTGTAGAGGGAAAGGGAAATGATTAGTAAAAGCGAGGTTTCACTTCCTAATCCTTTTGTTGCTCACTTAATTTTTGTGCTTGTTTGCAAGTTTCAATTAATATCAATCAAAATAATTCTCCCTACTTTGTAAATGGTGTTCAATTGTTACCATGCAAAAGGTGAATTAACCTAGGACAGGGGTTCAGGCCTCTGGCTGCCCCCTAAGCTTCGGGGTCTGCGTGATCATCTTCTGGCAATCTAGAAGGGATGCTGTTTGGAAGCTGTGCTTACCATCATTACGCTGACATTGATTTTTAAATTGTCCATTAGTGTATTCATAAGGGAGCATATGCTTTTTTTGCTAGAAGCAAAACAGAACTTTATTAACAGAACCCTGACTTTTCCTTTCTTCTTCCACCTTTAAAGCTTGATCTTTTATGAGATATGGACTTCTTTGCAGTCTGACAAACTTTGTAGACACTTCTCAAAATAAAGTTTATAAATGCTAAAGGAAGAAGAAGGAGAAAGCCATGAGATGACAAAGGTAATAAATTATATTGAAATTGTAGTACTAGAAATTGAAGTTTTTAAGCAAAACTTTAAAAGCAACAAATATTTGATATAATAACTTCTGTGATTCTGTATTTAATGTGGTGGATATAATAACAATTATAATTTCGAAGTCATGCTGAGAGTAAACATTTCAAGATATTTGGAGCCACTGTGAATGTGGTATTAAAATACTGAAAGTCATAATTTCTGCTGGTGAGACCGTCACAGGTATTGCTAATGCAACTGTGGCTGCTGCCTGGATGCATAATGGAAGTAGAGGCTAAATTTCGGTTAGCAGAAAAGGAAATCAGATGTAATTTTTCCCTTGTATTCTTTCTAACTCTTTTTCTACTTTAAGCGTTAAATTTACTTGTGCACTCTCTAGCCTGTTTCTTCCTCAGAAAGTATCCTCCACCTTTTGCCCATTTAACATTCTGACAAATTTGAGTCCATACATTTTTATTACTCCAAAAGAGGTACCTTTTAAACTGTACCTTTATCAGGAGTTGGAGATCAGCCTGGCCAACATGGTGAAACCCCGTCTCTACTAAAAATACAAAAAATTAGCAGGGCGTGGTGGCACATGCCTATAATCCCAGCTACTTGGGAGGCTGAGGCAGCAGAATTGCTTGAACCGGGGAGGCAGAGGTTGCGGTGAGCAGAGATCACGCCATTACACTCTAGCCTGGACAACAGAGCAAGACTCCATCTCATAAATAAATAAATAAATAAATAAACTGTACCTTTAGAGTCCCAGTGAGATCTTATTTTCCTTCTAAAGAAATTGCTGACAGTGGCCCCTAATGTCATATACTGAAGTACTAGCTCCTGAAATCTTATCACAGGTGTACTAGGAATTCTACTTATGTTTATAATTAGTCTCGATCCACATTAGTCAATTTGGCATAGCTAGTGCACAGTCTGAAAGCTGGTGAGATAGATGTAGAGTTGCAAAATTTTCAATTTATCTATTAGGCAGCAGGAGGCTACAGTGGGCCCTATGCAAAACAATTCATGTAGCATTATGGGAATTTGTCCTTTGCACTTCCTGGCTATCTTGCTTTTATGTGCATTTATTACTAAGAAGTTGTACTCATGGAGTATTGTATTATCATTGTTGATAAAATAATAATGATATTTTGCAGTCACCATGCATCTTTCTTTGTTCCCTGACTTTGTTTGCACAGGAAAATTAAAGAAACAAATTGCCGTTTAGTACTTTTCCACCTCTGCAGTAAAAAATCGTCAGGAAAGCACAAGCTCAGAATTATCAATGAGCAGATGCTAACAGGTTATGAAACTATGCAAATCAAAGTACACTTGAACAAATGAACTGAAGTTGCTGCCTTGTCAACTTAGACATAGCTGGTGGAACTCAGTACTGGATGTTAGGGAAAATGTTGAAAATAGAAATGTCTGTAACTTTTTTTTTCTCTAAACTGAGCCTTTTCTGGGTGGGAAGAAGTACTGATAAATTTACAAACTCTGTTTTGCTTACCCAGTGACATTGTCCTCCCCTTACATTCTTGCTGCAAGATACCCATTTTCCTTTCTCCCATGAAATGAGATTTTAGGCACATAAACTTATGCTGATCCAGGAGATGTGAGATAAGGCGGGGCTAAGAGTTTCCCAACTGATGTCAGTCGTTAAAACAAAGAAAAAATACTGATAGCAATTTTATATCATGTAAAATAGATGTCCCCTAGGTTTCCATCTACATCTAACATTTTATGATTCTAATATAATCTTACAAAATAATAATAATAAATGGAAAACTGGAGAGCAATGATTATTTGATTAGAGTAGTAGGAAAACACTGAAAATTACTATGTACCAGGATTTCAGATAGGTATTGCGAAATAAGAATAAAAAAGATATCTTGCCCCCAAGGGCTTGAAAGTGAAATAAAAGAGACAAACAATAATCTGTTCATTAAAAAACTGTGTGATGAATGCCTTGAGAGAGATAAGTACAGGTTGCTAAAGCAGCAAAGACGTTCAAAGAAGACTTCCTATCGGGTGTGGTACTTGAAGTAAGATGAGATGTAACGAACTAGAAGACTCTGTCTAAATGAAGAGAGGTATGGAGGCTTCCTATTTAGAGAAAACAGTAGGAAGTCGGAAGAGATGAGCACATTAAAGAAATGATGATAATTTAATATGGCCACAGGAGTCCACAAATTGTACAGGTGAACATATGTCCCCCATATATTCACCTATACAATTTAAAGCAGAAACATATGTATAGTCCAGTGGCGATCTGGGGCCAAGATGTTCTGTGAGTAATAAAGACTGTTCTCTTATCTGGAGACCTCATATTTCCTGTAAGAATCCATCTGTCTGTCTATCTAATCATCGTTTCTGTCTTTCTATTTTATCTATACTTCTTTCTAGCCATGATGCTATTAAGAGAATTGTTGGCCTGGAAAATAGATCTGGAGAAAGTACAATGTTGCCGCTTAGAGAACTACCAAGTTTAAGACAGGTAAAGAAACAGAGAGGATTAAGTAAGAAGTCTCAAATTAATCCCTTTGAAGTATCAGAAAGAGACAACACAGGATGTGGAAAAGAGACACTATTTGAGGAGACTATGAAAGGGAATTGTCTATGATTGTTCAAAAGCCAATCTTCAGATTCAGAAATCCCAGTGAATCCTATGCAGGAGAAATAAAAAGAAATCTATACCTAGAAATATGAGACTGAAAACGAAGAACAACGTGGACAAACAGTCTTTGCCTTTCAGAGGGAAAAAGACAGAATATCTGCAAAGAAATGATCATTAGCTTAAGAGCTACTTTCTCAACAACATAACCAGCAAATAGAAAGGGAAGATTTCTTAACTGATTATTATCCCACAAAACCATTTTTCCAGAATGAAAACAAAATAAAAACATTTAAAAACAACAACAAAACCCTGAGGGAATGCAAATCAACAGACTGCCTCTTTCATTGAGAAAGTCTTGCTGTGAAAAACATGTCCCCTGCAATAAAGCGTTCTTAATGAGGTAGCTAATTTGCATTTGGATCAATCTGCTTATTAGATTCGGAGCAGTAAGTAACAATTTACAGACCAGTGCTAATATACAGACCACACATTAAATATCAGTGTTCAAAAAGTTGTGTTTCAGAAATAAAGAAAACAGTGACAGAGTTGAGATGTGAAAATAATAGTAAGGAAAGAAAATGGCACACAGAGAAATCTAAAAAAAGCAGTAAGTGTGTTTTTAAAAAAATGTGTCCTTGGAGGTTAGAAACAATAATACAAGGGTTAGGATAGTTAGGAATGAGTGACCCAAGTTAAAGCATTATAATGTGTCTAAGTTGTAAACATTGGTCATCCCTTACACTTTTTAAAGGTCTACATGTTAAAATTCTTAGAGATAGGGAAAGATATAGAAAGAGTAACATCCAAACTAGTAGAGGGGAAAATGGAACTAAAAGAATGCCAGCAAGAAAAACAGACCTTAATCATTCCAAAACAGGAAGAAAAAAAAAAAAACAGGAGAAAAAAGGGCACAAATACAAAGAAAAATTAGTACAGAAGAAATGAATTCAATCATATCAGTGACCAGAATGCTGGCCAAAATTCTTCAGTTAAAAGACATAAATCATAAGAACACAGAAAACTTGAAAGTCAAAGGATGGAAAAACATCATGGTATATGTTGTACACTGTACATATAAACAAAATTTTTTGGCAATTATACCTCAATAATGTTGGAGAAATTAATGAAACATTTTAAAAAGATATCAGACAAATACTGTTTTGTTTTTACTTAGGCAATGCTATTAATATAGCAATATATATGACTGGAGAAGCTATAAACTACAGTACCACCAGAGAAAATACAAGAAGGGAAGCATTTTAAAAATAAAAATAATGATTATAGGTTAGTAGTTTGCTTCCCTAAGAAGAAATAGCAATTTTAAAGGTATCCACCTAATTCTGTAACTCAAAATATAGAACACATAAATATGTACAGATATAATGTTTCACAAGGGATCAATGGCAAATCTACCGTTAGACGGAGACCTGAATGGTTGGTGAAGTATAGATGAAGGGAAGAGCCAAATGTGCAGGTGCAGCAGCTGTGCACGTTTCCCACAATGCATAAAACATCTCGGGAGAGATGAAATATGGGGAAAGTAACAGCAGTAAAGAAAAAAGAAGCAGCTGGGATTTCCAGTCTAAGAAAAGAAGAATAGAGAACTTGAGGTGCAGACACAAAAGCCTCGTTCCTGTCATTTTAGGGTTTCTTCTCTGAGAATGGTCATCCTGTGTCTAGGCACAGCAGGCCTTGGGAAGGTAGCCTCTATATCTCCAAAGTTTCTGACCTATACTGTTGTACTCCTTATCCGACTTTTAAGAGCAACATGCCCAGTTAATTTCAGTTACCCCTAAGGATGGTTGTGTATCAAGACATTCTCAGACATCCACAGACTGGCATGAATGAGCATACTTGCTGAGGGGAATCACACAGAGGGTGTGCAGCTTTCAGCCTCAGGAGAGAGGAAAGGAGCAGGAGAAAACTCACGCACGCACTGCTCTCGACATCAGGGAGCCATACATAGCCACCGGGGTTACCTCATATGCGATAAGCTGTTTATAGATGTGTTTTCCCCATTGGATTCTGTCTTGAAGGAGTCAAGTATTTTTCCAATCTTTGACTACTTGAGGTATATTACACTCCTGGATCAGAAAACTGAAGTCAAGAGTCAGCTCCATCTCCTATGTGGTGGCCCTACATTCTCCCCTGGCTGTGAACTGTGCTTATTCCTGCCTCTGTGGCTTGCTCACAGAAGCCCCAGTGCCTCAAATCTTCACATTTGGTTCCACCTTTTCAAATGTTATGTGATTTTCAAAGCCAACGTTAAATTCCACCCCTTCCATGCAGCCCTCCAGCTCAGATTCCTTCCTTTTCTGAAACTGGATGCCATTTACATGCAGGTACTGTGTTATGGTCTCCCTCCTTGGTTTCCTAAGCTTGAGCCTTGGGTACAAGTTGCAGGGCAGGGTTCATGCTTATTAATTTGCTTGTATCATACACAGGGAAAATGCTGCTCAAATGATCCACTGTTGGATTGATGGAGACACCTACATGAATGACATCACTTGTCTTGGATTCTTTTAGCTTAGAAATGCAATGATTTTATGACAAAGTTTCTAAATTTCACAAAGGTGAATTTTGAAATTGATTTTGAAATAATTTAATTCTAGCTATTTCTTAAACTCCAATATACCTGCTAAGTTATATGGTAATATGGTCTTTGTGAAAATAGATAGTCTATTTATGCATTTCTACCAGGTCACAGCCATTACAAACTTCATGAGAATATATTTTTTTGTTTTTTTTTGTTTTGTTTTGAGACAGGCTCTTACTCTGTTGCCCAGGCTGGAGTGCAGAGGCACCATCAGGGCTCACTGCAGCCTCTACCTCCATGGGCTCAGGTGATCTTCCCATGTCAGCCTCTCCAGGTAGTTGAGACTACAGGTGCACGCCACCATACCCAGCTAATTTTTGTATTTTTGGTAGCAATGGGGTTTTGACATTTTGCCCAGGCTGGTCTTGAACTCCTGGGCTCAAATGATCCTGACCACCTCAGTGTCCCAAAGTGCTGGGAATATAGGCATAAGCCACCATGCATGGCCAAGAGTAGATTTGTCCCTGTTCTTCCAAACTTCTTATTTAGTTTTGTAATTCATCATCATCATCAACTTTGAAGTCCCTTCTGTCAAGTGATCCAGGCTTATTGAAATGAATACACAATTGGAAAGAGTGGGGAAACCGTTTCTCTTCTCATAAAAAGAGTCATATTTTTCTTTTTCTCACAAGAAATACCTTGGGGTAGCTGCATGAGAAATGTGGACATTTTTCCATAAAGCACCAAAAGATAATACAGAACAAAACACAATATGTCAGTTCAGTGAATGGAGGAAAGAAACAGGAAGAAAAATGTCTTTTAGCTGCAGCCTAATAGGGCTTCACAGATATCTCTATGGTAAAATATAAATGAACCCGTCAAGAGTTGTTGACATGTGGAACAATAATAACATCCCAACTACCTTGAAATCTTGTTTAAAATGAAGACTCCTGGAGGAACAGAATTGAGAGCATACTTCAGCAAAGGAGCTCTCCATAAATATGATAAAGTCATTTCAATATCCACTGCCTTCTCTTAGCTGTTCCCAGGTGCTTATGTCCTCATGTGTCCCTTGTGTCCACAGATACCCAAGCACTTGTTAGCTTACACATAGCTCTAGTCATGACCTTTGGGTTAGCAGCAAACAGCTGGTCCAGAACCCTTCACCCCAGAACCAGCTGAATCCACACCAACATCTGTCTGTCTATCTCTATCTATCTATCTCTCAACTATCTATCTATCTATCTAATCTATGTATTATCTATTATAAATCTGTCTGTCATCTATCTAGCCATCACCTATCAGTCTGTCTACCTATTTTTCTATCAACCTATTAGCTATCTATTCATTATTTATCACCTATTTATCATCTATCTATCCATCTATTATCTGTTTATCTGTCTATCATCTGTCTATCTACCTAATCTATGTATTATTATCTATTATCAAACTACCTATCATCTATCCATCTATCATCTGTCTACCTATTTTTCTATCAATCTATTAACTATCTATTTATCTATTATTTATCATCTATCTATTTATCATCTATCTGTTATCTATTTGTCTATCATCTGTCTGTCTATCTATCTACCTACCTACCTACATATCTATCTGTATTAGTCTGTTCTCATGCTGCTAATAAAGACCCACCTGAGACCAGGCAATTTAGAAAGGAAAGAGGTTTAATTGACTCACAGTTCTACATGCTTGGGGAGGCCTCACAATCATGGCAGAAAGCAAATGAAGAACAAAGCCACATCTTACATGGTGACAGGCAAGAGAACTTGTGCAAAGGAATTCACATTTATAAAACCATCAGATCTCATGAGACTTATTCACAACCATGAGAACAGTATGGGGGAAACCACCCATATGATTCAATTATCTCCATCTGGCCCCGCCCTTGACACATGGGGATTATTACAATTCAAGGTGAAATTTGAGTGGGGACACAGCCGAACCATATCTCCATCCATCCATTCGTCCATCCATCCATTCGTCCATCCATCCATCCATCCATTCATAGAGTCATATATCTGAGTCCTGAGCATTCTGGCATATATATTTCTGTGTACAGGGGCTTCCTTGTGATTATGCCACTCATTTTGGGAAAAGAGGAGGATAAAAGAGCATTTTGCGGTTTCTACCTTCTCCCTTTGCAAATCTAGGAAGACAAAACTGGCTAATGAACAGATTGTGGGTATATTTAACCACTATACCCAGTGGTCCTCTTTTCACTTTATATGACAGTTCTTAAGTAGCAGAGCTGGTACTAGATGGGTGATGGAGGCTTTCCTATACTTCTCTAAAATCATACCCTGTAGATGACCACTGGGTCTTTCTGGGTGTGCTTAAGCCTCACACCATTGTATGGAGGACAGTGCTGTAGGGAAAAGGGAGAAAAGCTCCAGACAAGATGCCCAAATGCCTGGGCTCTAGTCTTCACTGTGAATATCTTCAAATAAATAGATG